>NC_000011.10:134149057-134458245 GCF_000001405.40 Homo sapiens
GTATTTAGCCCATGTTAGACTTACTCCGTGTTTTTCCCTGCTTGCCACCAGGCCCCTTGATGGCTCTAACTGTGTGTTGGCTTTGCAGGGCGACTTCAGACACAAGTCATCGTTTGTGATCTGAGACCCGCGGTGTGGCTGAGAGCGCACAGAGCGCACGTGCACATACCTCTGCTAGAAACTCCTGTCAAGGCAGCGAGAGCTGATGCACTCGGACAGAGCTAGACACTCATTCAGAAGCTTTTCGTTTTGGCCAAAGTTGACCACTACTCTTCTTACTCTAACAAGCCACATGAATAGAAGAATTTTCCTCAAGATGGACCCGGTAAATATAACCACAAGGAAGCGAAACTGGGTGCGTTCACTGAGTTGGGTTCCTAATCTGTTTCTGGCCTGATTCCCGCATGAGTATTAGGGTGATCTTAAAGAGTTTGCTCACGTAAACGCCCGTGCTGGGCCCTGTGAAGCCAGCATGTTCACCACTGGTCGTTCAGCAGCCACGACAGCACCATGTGAGATGGCGAGGTGGCTGGACAGCACCAGCAGCGCATCCCGGCGGGAACCCAGAAAAGGCTTCTTACACAGCAGCCTTACTTCATCGGCCCACAGACACCACCGCAGTTTCTTCTTAAAGGCTCTGCTGATCGGTGTTGCAGTGTCCATTGTGGAGAAGCTTTTTGGATCAGCATTTTGTAAAAACAACCAAAATCAGGAAGGTAAATTGGTTGCTGGAAGAGGGATCTTGCCTGAGGAACCCTGCTTGTCCAACAGGGTGTCAGGATTTAAGGAAAACCTTCGTCTTAGGCTAAGTCTGAAATGGTACTGAAATATGCTTTTCTATGGGTCTTGTTTATTTTATAAAATTTTACATCTAAATTTTTGCTAAGGATGTATTTTGATTATTGAAAAGAAAATTTCTATTTAAACTGTAAATATATTGTCATACAATGTTAAATAACCTATTTTTTTAAAAAAGTTCAACTTAAGGTAGAAGTTCCAAGCTACTAGTGTTAAATTGGAAAATATCAATAATTAAGAGTATTTTACCCAAGGAATCCTCTCATGGAAGTTTACTGTGATGTTCCTTTTCTCACACAAGTTTTAGCCTTTTTCACAAGGGAACTCATACTGTCTACACATCAGACCATAGTTGCTTAGGAAACCTTTAAAAATTCCAGTTAAGCAATGTTGAAATCAGTTTGCATCTCTTCAAAAGAAACCTCTCAGGTTAGCTTTGAACTGCCTCTTCCTGAGATGACTAGGACAGTCTGTACCCAGAGGCCACCCAGAAGCCCTCAGATGTACATACACAGATGCCAGTCAGCTCCTGGGGTTGCGCCAGGCGCCCCCGCTCTAGCTCACTGTTGCCTCGCTGTCTGCCAGGAGGCCCTGCCATCCTTGGGCCCTGGCAGTGGCTGTGTCCCAGTGAGCTTTACTCACGTGGCCCTTGCTTCATCCAGCACAGCTCTCAGGTGGGCACTGCAGGGACACTGGTGTCTTCCATGTAGCGTCCCAGCTTTGGGCTCCTGTAACAGACCTCTTTTTGGTTATGGATGGCTCACAAAATAGGGCCCCCAATGCTATTTTTTTTTTTTAAGTTTGTTTAATTATTTGTTAAGATTGTCTAAGGCCAAAGGCAATTGCGAAATCAAGTCTGTCAAGTACAATAACATTTTTAAAAGAAAATGGATCCCACTGTTCCTCTTTGCCACAGAGAAAGCACCCAGACGCCACAGGCTCTGTCGCATTTCAAAACAAACCATGATGGAGTGGCGGCCAGTCCAGCCTTTTAAAGAACGTCAGGTGGAGCAGCCAGGTGAAAGGCCTGGCGGGGAGGAAAGTGAAACGCCTGAATCAAAAGCAGTTTTCTAATTTTGACTTTAAATTTTTCATCCGCCGGAGACACTGCTCCCATTTGTGGGGGGACATTAGCAACATCACTCAGAAGCCTGTGTTCTTCAAGAGCAGGTGTTCTCAGCCTCACATGCCCTGCCGTGCTGGACTCAGGACTGAAGTGCTGTAAAGCAAGGAGCTGCTGAGAAGGAGCACTCCACTGTGTGCCTGGAGAATGGCTCTCACTACTCACCTTGTCTTTCAGCTTCCAGTGTCTTGGGTTTTTTATACTTTGACAGCTTTTTTTTAATTGCATACATGAGACTGTGTTGACTTTTTTTAGTTATGTGAAACACTTTGCCGCAGGCCGCCTGGCAGAGGCAGGAAATGCTCCAGCAGTGGCTCAGTGCTCCCTGGTGTCTGCTGCATGGCATCCTGGATGCTTAGCATGCAAGTTCCCTCCATCATTGCCACCTTGGTAGAGAGGGATGGCTCCCCACCCTCAGCGTTGGGGATTCACGCTCCAGCCTCCTTCTTGGTTGTCATAGTGATAGGGTAGCCTTATTGCCCCCTCTTCTTATACCCTAAAACCTTCTACACTAGTGCCATGGGAACCAGGTCTGAAAAAGTAGAGAGAAGTGAAAGTAGAGTCTGGGAAGTAGCTGCCTATAACTGAGACTAGACGGAAAAGGAATACTCGTGTATTTTAAGATATGAATGTGACTCAAGACTCGAGGCCGATACGAGGCTGTGATTCTGCCTTTGGATGGATGTTGCTGTACACAGATGCTACAGACTTGTACTAACACACCGTAATTTGGCATTTGTTTAACCTCATTTATAAAAGCTTCAAAAAAACCCAAACATTGCTTCATTCTTTGTTATTTGCTCTTACGTTGGGTTTGTCTCTTCTTCCTAGCATTTCAGTGGTTAGGCATGCACACTAAAAATGCTATCAATCACCCATCCACCAGGGAAGTCAGTGCTGGGCAGGAGGTCAGCCTGTGTGCTCAAGAGCAGTGCTGCGCCTCTCCGCCACCGAGCCCACCTGTGTTGCGGTTCCCACTTGGGATGGCAGTGGGCAGATCTCAGTGGCATCCCATCCCCCAAACCAACCAACGCACATCATCACTTTGTACTTTTGCTTTTGTAATACTGGGATTAAAAAACAAACCAACTGCATTTCTTTCTGGATATTGTTGAACAAAAATAGCATTCAGTTTACCCACTAGTGCTAACAGAAGAGACTCAAGCTGTTCCCCCATCATGGGAGCAGCCCTTAACAGAGGGCTGCACAAATCGGCAGTGCTGCTCTGGGGAAGGCTGCAAAGCCATTTTTTCCCAAGAAGGGATGCTGTTCATGTCTGTTAGGGAAAGCACACCGCCTCTGCCTGGGCACAGATGAACTGCCCTTCAAGACAATCATCTTTTTTCTAATAGGGAAGATTTGGTTTCATTCCTCTAACAAACAAACATGCTTTATGTAAAATTAAAATGATTACCAATAAGAGCTCTGTTCTAAAAACAGAAAAATCCTATTGACTACTGGAAGGCTGTATTTATGCTAAACCTTTATTACTTTTAGAAAGCTGTACACTTTTTTAAAAAATTTGCACTTATAAATAATAGAAAAAATATTAGAATCAAAATTTCGTCATTACAGATGGGAAAATATGTACTATAAGGAATTCAAGTTAACAGAGGCTTGATTTATATAAAAGAAAGCTGCAGTTTTAAAGTTGTGTTCCTTAAAGACCAGATTATAGCTTATCTGAATGGGCTTGACACTTTCAAATGGAATAAAGTTACAATATTAAACAGATTAGGGTAAGAAAATCTAAATCTGGCACATCTCTATTATTTGACAGTGTTTAACCAAATACATCATACAGAATAGAAGGTGAGTGCCAGGCCCCTGAGGAGGAGCTCTCGTGTTCCACAGCAAAGCGCTGCCCAAGGACTGCGGGAAGTGATCCAGCTGCCTTCACACGGAGGACACGAGACTGCTTCCTCAAGGGCTCCTGCCTGCCTGGACACTGGTGGGAGGCGCTGTTTAGTTGGCTGTTTTCAGAGGGGTCTTTCGGAGGGACCTCCTGCTGCAGGCTGGAGTGTCTTTATTCCTGGCGGGAGACCGCACATTCCACTGCTGAGGCTGTGGGGGCCTAGGGAAAGGACATGTGCAGTCATTCTGGAACTCAGAAAAACCCTGACAGAAACATCCACCTCAAAAGGAACACTGCTAAACTTACGGTTTATCAGGCAGTGATAAACATAAGATGTCATTTCCTTGACTCCGGCCTTCAATTTTCTCTAAAAGGGAGTCAAACAAACACATTCAGCTTTCCCAGAACCTCAAAGGCAGTGCATCTATCAGCCCAGAAGGACACCAAGAACTTGCCTTTGGCTGACGACGGAGTCCGTGGTGTCCCGATGTAACTGACCCCTGCTCCAAACGTGACATCACTGATGCTCTCTGCATAAAGAGGAGACACCACTGAGTGAAAGCCGCGTGGTCTATCGGAGGTCTCTGTTCTAGTTGTCCGTGGGACGTAGGCAGGGTGTCCACATCAGTGTCCCAGCGGCGGCCCTCAGACCTCCACTGGACCCTGTCCCAGGGCCTGGCAGTGTTGAGGGCCCCTCCTGGGGATGCTCCTTTCCGTCTCTCTGACCCCCTTCTCTGACCCGCAGCCCTCAGGCACTCGGCTGGCCCCTGGGCCTCACTGTTCACGCCTCTGGCTTCCCTCCCGCCGTCTTCCATCATTGCCCCTGTCCCGGTGACCGCCCTGTCCCACTTACTACACCTCCTACTGTGGCTCACCCAGATTCCCTGAGGACACTTCAACTCCTTGCCTCTGCACCTCCACGCGTGCCTGCTGGTTTCCAGCCAGTGACTGGAGCATGCGCGCTGGAAATATGGCACCGTGAGCAGCTCCTCCACATGGAATCAGCAGCCAAGTCCTGTCCCTTCTACCTCCAGTCGCCGCCTCATCCTGTCCCGTCGTGCCACACTGGGAGCGGCTCAGTCCACCTCCCCCCTCGCCCTTGATTGTTCATGGCACCTACCCGCAATGAACCCCCTCCAGTTTGCCCTCAGGAACAGGAGAACACAGTTGAGCAGATTCCACCGCAGCTTGGGTGTGAATTCTGGCTCAGTGTCTCACCAGCTGTGTGAGCTGCTCTGAGACCCTCAGGTTTCTTCATCTCTTAAGTGGGTATAAAAACATAGCTACCTCATTGGGGGGCTGCCAGGACTACATGAGGTTATCCACGTTGAGTGCTTAGCATCGTGCTGGCTGCAAGGGCAGTGCTCAAGAGATGTTAGCAGCCACTGTCATTTATTAGCAGTATCATCCCTGCATCACTGGAGTTATGTTTCATCAAGAAGCTGGTAAATTTACTGCCCTGCTTCAAGACACCTCAATCGCTGTGTTCCTAGGAGAGCCTGAAGTCCACCCTCAGTCTCAGCTGGTCCCAAGCTGCCTTTACAGACTCACCTGTTAGGCTCAGGTGCACGCGTGCACAAACACGTCCACCCTCCTGCGTCCTCTTCCTCAGCAGGCCCTGTCTGCACATTATGCTTCTCTGCACCCCCCCCCCCACCGCCCCATCTGCCTACACATGCCACCCTGTCTTGGAGGCCCGGGTGGTGCAGCCTCACCCCTCCTGGGTGGTGCAGCCTCGCCCCTCCTGGGTGGTGCAGCCTCGCCCCTCCTGGGTGGTGCAGCCTCGCCCCTCCTGGGTGGTGCTGTACCCAGTGCATAAGCTGCCACCAGCACACTCCCGGGAACAGCACGGGCTGGGCAGCTGCTTGCTGGTACCACTGAACCTGCTGCCCTTCTGCAAGCACATGCGAGGAGGCAGCTTCAGAGCGCTCCCCGTTCTCCACTTGGTGTCTTGAGTATGGACTGTGTCTTCCCATTTACAGTTCAAAGCTCATCAGCGCACTGCAGCTGTGTACCCGATGGCTACTTGAGTGTCACTAATAGACGATGGTAGAGAATTCCTCATCACTGCTAGATCTGCTTATTCTGTTTCGGTGAAGTCTCTCCTTGTGCTGTCACATGAAATTCCCTTCCTGACACACACACTGCTCTTCCTGTTTGGAAGCCCATATGCACTCCAGGAAATTAGTCTCCCATCTTTACAGAAGCCCGGGTGCGGGGGCTCTGACGTCCCCCATGCACTGTGCGTAGAATCGAAGGCAGCAGCGTCTGTGCCACCCGAATGGTAACAGTAACAGGGACTTGCTAAAACCCCCACAGATTTTCAGTTAAAATCCTCGCTCTGAAAATTGACTAATTTTCATTTCCATTTAGCAAAGCCACTGTGAATTGGTGCTGAACTGGGTGGCATCTTTCCTGCCAGCTTTGAAGAGCTGAGACACTTCCTGACAGTCTCCCCCACCTAAACTAAAAGTTGCCAAAAAGAATCTGGACGTATAAACCACAGAGAAAACAGAACTGAGTGCTTTTAAACTATCTAACAGTTCTCCCAGGAAGGGGAGACCTCCAGGCATTTCTTCCTGGTTCAGTATAAAGAGAGACGGACAGAGACTGCATCAGCAGGAATATTATGTCCAAGAGCCTGGAGCAAGAACAAGTACTCTACCAACTCAATGACACCGGGCGCCTGATTTCCAGCACAAAGCGTGGCTCCACACAGGCAGATGAGGGCGGCATGAACCCTCCACGCCAGGCTGCCCTGTGGAGAAACACGAGCTGCTAGGAAACAACCCAACACTGACATCAGGGACTCAGGATGAGCACAACGAAAATGAGATGCGTTCTCCCCGTTTCTTCAGCATATGGCACCTCACTGCCAAAATAGAAGCTCTTGGCACTCCTGAGCCAGGAACATCGAACACACAGCAAGCTCTAACACACAGAACATCGCACCTGTCCACGACGCAGGATCCCAAATTACCCACTGCCTTTAATGACAAATGCCGTCATGATTCGGTTGTCGTCTGAGGGTGGGGGTGGGATAAACTCCCTTCAAAGGGGGACCTGGATGAAAATTACCTCTAACCTGTTAACTATTCTAAGAGATCACAGCATCAGTGTGACAGAACCAAACAAGCAAGTAGCTAGAATACAGCAGGTGCTCCACACACATGAGCTGACTGAAGCAGTGACTAAACGAACGGCAGGACACCTTGCTGCTCTGTTACCAGGAAGAGCACCTTAGCACGCTCTCATCTTCCCCTGCAGTCAGGACTAGGAGACAGGCTGGAGAAGGGGCACAAGAGTTGGGACCAGAAGGCCTGGGCTCAGCGCCCAGCTCTGCCCTCCCAGAAGTCTCCGGGAGGAGATCTCTGACACCTCCCAGGTTCCAGGCACTGTGGTCTGTGGAAACAGTGAGGAGTGGAATGGCCAGGGACGAGCGGGGCTGGATGCAGCTTGCTGAGGGCACTGTGCACAGCCGGGCGCAGAGCGAGGGGCACACAGGGACACGGCGGCAGGGCCTAGCCACTACTCCACAGATTTAGGACAGGAAGCATTTCTTCTTCCTGTAAGAGTTTTCTCAAAATAATGGTTTTTATGAGGTTTGACACAATATGAAGCTATCACACAAGATAATAGGAAAAGAATACTCAACTCTCCTAACTCACCTCTGTTTTGAAATCAAAGGAAAAGCACAAACAGTAGGAAAAAACATGGAGGGGAATGAGACACAGGCTCCGAGCAGGGGTCCCCGGGTCTCTGGTCTTGGCAGTTGCAGAGCGTGCATGGTACCTGCTGGTGCTGACGTCTGCCCGCCCTGGGAGCAGGCCCACCCAGCAGCGCCCAGTGCACCCGGACAGCCCAGAGACACGGAGGGCCGCCTCCAGAAGGCACCACTGGGTCAGTCACCCAACCTACCTGTGCCTCAACGGCATTGTCTGCTCCGCGGGCCACTGTGGTGTTTGACTGACTGAATGTAACGACACTGGAACAACATACTCGGTCAGTGCTCATGGATCAAGCGACCGTGGTCACTGTGAAATACTCCACCTCAGCAATGCACTCATGGTTCTGACCATCAGAACTATCCTGCACCGGAAGGAGTTTTACTGCGACTCTAGCAAACACATCACGAATGCAGGAGAGACTGAGGAGAAGCCCACGTGTTCCGATCAGTTACTCACTCTCGGGGGTGCTGATGGCCCGCTTGGTCACGTGCTCAATCTCGCCATTCGACTCTTGCTCCAAACTGTATGAAGACACTAGAACAGAAAAGGTGCTGCTATCCAGAAATACCCCCAAACAATAACGAAGAGCAAAACAACCACATGAGAAAACATATCTGCAAGACGTAAAGTCAAAATCACTAGTGTTTACAATTTTCTTATAAAGAGGCAATTCAGGAAGAAATACAAATAAATGATAAACATGAGAAAAAATGTCCATTCTCATTAGGATTCAAAAAAATAAAAGAGTCTAACTTGGCATAAGTGATAGAGGACAGTTTGACACTATCCAAAGTTTTTAAATATCCATGGCCTTTGACTGCTGGGAATTAATCCCAAGGATTACATACATACAAGGCTATATGTACAAGGATGTTTACTGTGATAGTATTTGTATGGAAAAATTGAAAATCAACATTTCAAAGAACAGGATAGTAATAAATCAGTTATTTCCACAGCCACAATGCTATAAAGCCACTGAAAGCAAAGGTTGGAAAGAAAAGTTCATGGAAGCTGTCTACTACATCTACTACATCTGACTTAAGAATGCAGGGAAACAGGTCATAAAACAATGCACGCACAGATCACAATTCCATAAACAAAACAAAACACGTGTGTGTAAGAGGAACAGAATAGCTGGAGGAAGGAATGCCTCACTGCTATGGGTGAGTTTCATATTTCACTCTATTTTCCAAATCTCCTAGAATAAATATGCATTGTTTTACTACCCATGATCCTAAAAGCCCAATTAACGTTATTTGTTTTAAAGATAAGAAAACACACCGCTTTGAAAGGAATAAGAAGTAGCTTGTTCTGTGTTTTCATCTGTAAATGCTCTACTGTGTCTGGCACCAAACATAAGGCTTACCCTGACTGCACGTTTTTTCTGGGCTTCCAGAATTTAAAGTGAAAGGCAGCACTCCTAAGCTCCGACTCCGATGCCTGCTCTTTGACTCCACGGCTTTCTTGACAGAATTCAGGATTGCAATGGTGCTCAGGGACATGGGCCTGTGGAGAACAGCCACAGCCGCTGACTTTCTCACTGCAGACCACTGCAGAGGTGACAGTGCTGCACTGTGTCCCCGCGTGCCTCCTCACCGGCGCATCCCTCACCACCCTCATTCAAACCTCCCAGGGCACAGTGTGGAGCGGGGTGGCAGGCCAGACAATGACAATGACTTTCCTGCCCACGCTTGGGAATGGCAGGGACGCCTCTGAGAACATCGCCACAGAGAACCAGCCCTGATGTGGCCTCCAGGGGCTCTTTACCTGGCTTTGGGCAGCAACCTCTGCAATGGCCCTGTTTCAGGTGTAGGAGATGATACTGCTACATGGCCAGCACTTGCCCTGGGTGTGCAGGGCTGGCTCACGGCAGGTGACATGGCAGGGTTTTCTTGGCCAGCAGGAACTGGCACTGTTTCTAAACACAGGGCAACCTGGTAGAGAAGATAAAGAGTATGTACATTCTAATACTTTTTAAGTTTTCAAAAACGGATATATGATAGTTGTACATGGTTGGGGGTCCATATGAGATTTTGATACATGTGGACAACGTAATGATCAAATCAGGGTAATTGGCATCTCCATCACCTCAAACGTGAGTATCTTTTCTTTGTGTTGGGAACATTCCAATTCTTCTATGTACTTTGAAATATACAGTAAATTGTTAAACTGTAATATCTCCACTGTACTGAATACTAGAACTTATTTCTTCTATCTAACTGTATTTTGGTACCCATTAACCAACTTCTCTTCATCCCCCTTCTCCCACCCCTTCCCAGCCTCTGGTAATCACCAAAAATCCACTCTCTAACTCCGTGAGATCAACCTTTTTGGCTCACATATATGAATGAGAACATACAATCTTTGTCTTTCTGTGTTTGGCTTATTTCACTTAATATAATGTCTTCCAAGTTCATCCATGTTGCAACAGATGACAAGATTTCACTTTTTATAGATGAAAAGTACTCCACTGTATATGCACCCCATTTTCTTTACCATTCATCCACTGATGGACATTTGTTTCCAAATTTTGCTATTGTGAACAGTGCTGCAATAAACATGGGAGTGCAGGTATGTCTTCGACATCCTGATTTCCTTTCTTTTGACTATACAGTCAGCAGCGAGGCTGCTGCCTCATATGGTACCTCTACTTTTAGTTTTTTGGAACCTCTATACTGTTCTCCATAGTGGCTGTTCTACTTTCCATCCCTACCAACAGTGTACAAGCCATTCCCTTTCTCCATTTTAACACTTTATTGGAATAGAATCTTCACGTACTATGAGCAAGTCCATAAGTAATGTACTTTGAAGCCATATCAACCCTGGGTAAGTTGAATTTCCTTTTCAGAAACAGAATACTATGAGAAAGCTGCCACTTGTAGATGCTGTGGCATGACAGAAGAGAAAAAGGAGTATGCTACTTTGTGCTCATTGGTCTTTCCTACAAGAGATCTGCCTGCATTCCTCAGGACGGTGAGCAACAGCTACTCCTAGAAATGGCCGTGTGCCGGTCTGCTCTAAAGAGGGAGTGCTGGGGGAAGATGCGGACACACTGACACACCCTGGCAGACCTAGGATCTATAGTCACCAGCTACTGCTGCTGCCAGCTCGCTTCCTGCACCACGTCCTCATGGAAGGGAGGTCTGGAGCACAGTAAATCCATCACAGACAGAAAGGCACGAGGGAGTGGCCAACAAGCAGCACTCTCGAGGCCTTCGGGCTGACTAACCTCTGATGACGGAGATCTTGAGAGGTGCCAGACAAACGACAGACTGGTAGCAGACAGCAGACTGGACTGTCTGGTCACAGTGCAGTGGGCCCCACACCTACCTGTGCCACAGGTGCCACCTCAGCACCTCCAGCCGTCCCGGCCACATCTGCATGTTTTGCTAGCTCCTGCTCCTGGACCAGCTGTTCCTGGTACTTCTTCATGTCATACTCAAGCTCTGATGCCAGCTGTTTGTCAACTGCAAAGAAGTCCTTGAGCTCATCTCGGTAATCCTGCATCACCTCCTGAAACAGAGCCAGGAGCATCCTTTCATGTTTTCTTGAATAAAAACGTAAAGCCCTAAACCCCCACGACACACCTTCGCCTGTGTAACAAACCTGCACATCCTGCACGTGTACCCCTGAACGCAAAATAAAAGTTAAGAAAGAAAAAAGCCCCCCAAGTCATGTTGCTTGATAAATCATAGGAACAATAGGACTGACATTACTGAAAGCAGATGATTTCCATTCCAGTAACTAACAGGTACAATGGTATATTTGGAGCAAACACCACTGGCCACACAAGCAGAAAAATATGTGAGTAACTAACAGTTCTCTCTCTTAGGAAGCATCCTGGCTATGTGGCAGTTAATGGGCAATCTCTCCCAGGTTCCCAATGGGAGAAAGACATGCTCAGACACAGCCTCTGGAGCAAGTCCCAGGATGCATGGATCTAAAAGCTGCTCATCTGTCTACATTAGCCTCCCCATTGGCTCTCAGGGGATTCCAACTAAGGCTCAAATCCCATCTTTGTGTCTTCTTCTGAAGATTTTACAGAAAACCTTTTCTCATACCTAGGGAAAAACATTCTTAGGTCTTAAAGAGGGGTGCCAGGGGCAAGACCACTTTGCTAAGAGAAAGAATCATTCCACCTAACAGTAATAGGGAGAAAAAGACACTGCAGTTCCAACTGGGAGGGAAGTCTCAACAAAGAGAAGGAATCCATGCACTTTTCCAGCTGCCACTAGGAGTGGGTTCCACAGGCCAATGAAGAGACTCCCTCAAGCTACTGACAACAAGCAACGTGTGGCCATCCTGTGTGTGTGCTCACAAGCAGGAGGAAGGCTTATTTTTCTTAAGTGTTTAAGTAGTCTATGTAGGATCAAAGCTCTGTTTTTGTTTTTTTTTTTCCTTTCTAGGGTCTAAAGTCAGGCAATAAATACAAGAATATTTGGAAGTTTTTATTTTTATCATACAATGAGACTATCTTTCCTACCTTGGCTTCCTAGTATAAAAAGCTATTTGAAAATTTATATTCAATGTAATTTTTGTTGAGGCCTTTATTGGAAAAAAAATTGTAGCATTTTTTTGAGGAAGAAAAACACATAATGTGAACAGAGCTATAACTGCTGAATTAAAGAAAAACTATGTTGCATTTATTTCTTAGTAAAAGATTTTGCAAGAAAGGTCTGAGGCCCCACTTAGGTCCGCCCTGCAAGTCAACACATCCTGGGTTTGCTCCGACTGAGCTCCTCATGGTCCCCTTGCTTGACAAAGAATTCAGCCTGGTGATGGCAGCTCCGAAGGCAGCTCCTGCAGGGCAGTTATTTCCTGACCTTGTGAATCTGAGTCAGTGCAAAAGGTAAGCACCCTGAAATCAAACCCGAAGACTCACTTTCACCTTACCCCCAAGCAGCATGAACGAAGATGACTGTGTTCTTGACCCCAGCTGGGAAAGTTTTCCAGATGGACTTGAACTCCATTAAGGGAAGACGTGCTTGGCACAGTGGGCCGGCTCTTCACGGCCCTGGCTGCACATCCAAGGGAAAGAGCGGCTTTGGTGGAACCCACAGCCAACCCCTAGCTCCACAGCAGTTACCAAGGTAATGTTGGGTTTGCAGAATTTGGGGTTCTAATCATTCACGGATTGCCTGCACTGTCATAACTGGCAGAAGATCCTAAGTAATGAACTGGTAGGACAACAACCACAAAAGCACAGGCTCCACCCTTACCCTGAGATAGTGCATGAGTTCCCGCAAAGCTGGGATCTTATTTTTCTCCAGCACAGTCTTCAGGGAGATGATAATTGGAATAATATTTTCTATGAAATTCCTCTTCTGAACCTGGTAACACAAACAAAGACATGTTTTAGATGTATGAACTTCTGAAAGACAGGCCTCTCCTTGATCTAGTTCTTTGAGTAGAGCCACCCTACCACACTATGTAAGTTTATTTTTGCTTTTCATTATGATACTGGATGTAGAGGACCTCTGCTTTTCTCTGGGAGACTTTGTAAGCATTACCTCAAAACACTCTGAAGGCTTTGTAAGATAGGGTGGGGACAAATACTACTCATATATTCTAAATGGGGAAAAAGAATTAGAAACATGTTGAGTAGCTTTTGACAAAAGCCCCAAATCTCCACAGAAGACCCTGAGGGACCTTGGCTCTTGCTCCACCTTCAGTCCTCAATTCAACACCCTCCCCTTGGAACAGAAGTCAGCTCGTTCTGGCTACCCAGAGGGACACTTCGTATTCCTGCTGGTGAAGGGACAATGGTCTAAAAATGGCTAAGCATGAAGACAGCCAGCTCTGTCTCTCTCTCTGTGTACACATCTACAAAATACTATGAATTTATATATATAGTACCTGATTTGACCAAGTCTTCACACTTTACCTTGAATGATCACTAACCACAAATATTCTCCAGTGAATCTCTTTAAATTAAAAAAAAAGCACTATAGTAGCCCACATATGCAAGATTTATCCTCCTGAAGCTGAAACTACTCTTTTCCTTCTCATTTAAAGTCACTAGTGTATGTTTCTTCCTTGTAAACTACTCATTTCTAAAAAGTCTTATCAGAGTTCCTGAAACAGAAGGACAACAAGTAGAGAAATAAGCAATTTAATAAACCCAGATGTGAGCAGATGTTATGTTCAGGAATAGTCTTAAGAAGTGGCTTCCATGCATTCACTTGACAAGTATTATCAAGCACCTTCTCTGTCCAGGCAAAGAGCTAACCCTCTGAGGATGCAAAATGAAGCTAAGCATCCCTGCCCTCCAGCCACTTCTAGAAAGTGTGTGTCTCAAGGGAAGAGGTGTTAAGTGGCAGGGTGTTAGGGAATTTAGGTATGGAGATGGGATGCCTAAGGAGTGCATGGCCATCTGATGGATGATCCTGAGGATGTGTGGAGAAGGGAGGATGGGTGGGTGAGGGCGCTGCAGACTTTAGACCCAGAGGCAAGAGCACACGAGTAGGGGGCAGCTCGCAACTGAGGTGCAGATGGCAATTTGAAGTGGAGAGGTTAGAGGTGAGGATGGAGGGAGGTATGGGAAAGGTGGAAGGCACACCAGAAGTTCTTGTTTACCTTGAAAAAGAAGAATCAGGGTTTATTCAGAAGATGACAGGAAGCCACCAGCATAGTTTTTAAAGATTTCACTAGTGAAGTATAACATATGTAATAAATTTACCCATTTTAAACAAACACTTCCATGAGCTTTGACAAAAGTCTATATGGAATAACCAGCACTACAGACCACTCACCATCTATCACCCAAAAGCTTCCTGCCACCCCTCACAGTCAACCTGCCTTTAGTCTGTTTCAGATATAATAAAATGATCAAATTTGTACTTAAGAAAGACTGCTGGGCTGGGTGTGGTGGCTCATGCCTGTAATCCCAGCACTTTGGAAGGCCGAGGCGGGCAGATCACGAGATCAGGAGATTGAGACCATCCTGGCAAACACTGTGAAACCCCATCTCTACTAAAAATACAAAAAAACTAGCCGGCCGTGGTGGCTGGTGCCTGTAGTCCCAGCTACTAGGGAGGCTGAGGCAGGAGAATGGCATGAACCCAGGGGGGCAGAGCTTGCACTGAGCAGAGATCGTACCACTGCACTCCAGCCTGGGCAACAGTGTGATACTGTGTCTCAAAAAAAAAAAAAAAAAAAAAGTTAGCCAGGCACAGTGGCAGGGGCCTGTAGTCCCAGCTACTCGGGAGGCTGAGGCAGGAGAATGGCGTGAACCTGGGAGGCGGAGCTTGCAGTGAGCTGAGATCGCGCCACTGCACTCCAGCCTGGGCGACGCAGTGAGATTCTGTCTCAAAAAAAAAAAAAAAAAAAAAGAAAAAGAAAGAAAGACTGCTCTGGCAGCAAGGTGGTACATGGCCTGTGACAGAAAGAAACCAGAAACAGAAAGGGTGGTAAGGAAACCATGGAAATGGGATAAGCTTAAATAAGGTCAGAACTAGAGAGATAGATTGGTAAGAGAAAACAGGCAGGATCTTGTGGCAAGATATGATCAGAGTCTATATCCTTGGAGTCAAAAGCCTCCAGAGGCCAGGTGGGAAATACACATTGGCAATCCAGGCTAGGAGGAAAACACAGGCCTGCAGAGGCCTGTGGCAGCCAAGCTCTGCCCCAGTCATTCAGATCCAAATTCTACACTTCCTGCCAACAAAAGCCTCAGCCTGACACACCAGACTCCAGTCTGCAAGAGCACCATAAACTGTGGGAGAAAGAGGAGATGAAGAGCAGAAAGAAGAGATGACTGAGGGAGTTTTGACAGAGTAAGTCAGAGACACCCGGAGCACGTCCTGGCAGCAGGGGGACCTGAGCTCAGGCTCATGAGAAATGCTGGAGTGGGAAACAGGTTTGAGAATTGTCACCATCTGGCAAGAGTTAAAGCCATCAGTAAGAAAGAAGTCAGCACCAGAGCATGGCACCAGGATTCCAGGGAGAACACGGAAGCCAGTAGATGGTGAGAAGAGTGGGACACTCACTTGTGAAATGAGCTTAGGGGAGCTGCACACTCACTTGTGACATGAGCTTAGGGGAGCTGCACACTCACTTGTGACATGAGCTTGAGGGAGCCGCATAATCACTTGTGACATGAGCTTGGGGGAGCTGCACACTCACTTGTAAAATAAGCTTAGGGGAGCTGTACACTCACTTGCGACATGAGTTTAGGGAGCTTCACACTCACTTGTGACATGAGCTTGGGGGAGCTGCACACTCGTGAAATGAACTTAGGGGAACTTCACACTCATGAAATGACCTTAGGGGAGCTGAACACTCACGTGTGACATGAGCTTGAGGGAGCTACATACTCACTTGTGACATGAGCTTAGGGGGAGCTGCACACTCACTTGTGAGATGAGCTTAGGGGGAGGGGCACACTCACTTGTGACATAAGCTTAGGGGAGTGGCATGCTCACTTGTGACACAAACTTAGGGAAGCTGCACACCCACTTGTGAGATGAGCTTAGAGGAGCTGCACACACTTAGATTAGCTGAGGGGGAGCGGCACACTCACTTGTGAAATGAGCTTGCGGGAGCTGCACACTCACTTGTGAGATGAGCTTAGGGGAGCAGCACACTCACTTGTGAGATGAGCTGAGGAGGAGCTGCACACTTGTGAGATGAGCTTGGGGGAGCGGCACACTTGTGAGATGAGCTTAGGGGAGCAGCACGCTCACTTGTGAGATAAGCTGAGGGGGAGCTGCACACTCGCTTGTGAGATGAACTTAGGGAAGCTGCACACTCACTTGTGACATGAGCTTAAGTGGAGGGGCACACTCATGAGCTTGGGAAGGGCGCACTCGTGAGATAAGCTTCGGGGAAGGGGCACACTTCTGAGATGAGCTTAGGGGAAGAAGCACACTCGTGAGATGAGCTTAGGGGAGTGGCACACTCATGAGATGAGCTTGGGGGAGTGGCACACTTGTGAGATGAGCTTACGGGAGCAGCACACTCACTTGTGAGATGAGCTTAGGGGAGCAGCACACTCACTTGTGAGATGAGCTTGGGGGAGGGGCACACTAGTGAGATGAGCTTGGGGGAGGCGCACACTCGTGAGATGAGCTTAGGGGAGGCCCACACTCGTGAGATGAGCTCAGGGGAGCAGCATACTCATTTGTGAGATGAGCTTGGGGGAGGCGCACACTCGTGAGATGAGCTTAGGGGAGCTGCACACTCACTTGTGAGATGAGCTTGGGGGAGGTACACACTCGTGAGAGGAGCTTAGGGGAGATGCACACTCACTTGTGAGATGAGCTTGGGGGAGGCGCACACTCGTGAGATGAGCTTAGGGGAGCTGCACACTCACTAGTGAGATGAGCTTGGGGGAGGGGCACACTCACTAGTGAGATGAGCTTGGGGGAGCAGCACACTCACTTGTGAGATGAGCTTGGGGGAGGGGCACACTCAGTGAGATGAGCTTAGGGAGAGCAGCACACTCACTTGTGAGATGAGCTTGGGGGAGGCGCACACTCACTAGTGAGATGAGCTTGGGGGAGCAGCACACTCACTTGTGAGATGAGCTTGGGGGAGGGGCACACTCACTAGTGAGATGAGCTTGGGGGAGGGGCACACTCACTAGTGAGATGAGCTTGGGGGAGCAGCACACTCACTTGTGAGATGAGCTTGGGGGAGGGGCACAGTGAGATGAGCTTAGGGAGAGCAGCACACTCACTTGTGAGATGAGCTTGGGGGAGGCGCACACTCGTGAGATGAGCTTAGGGGAGCTGCACACTCACTAGTGAGATGAGCTTGGAGAGGCACACTCACTAGTGAGATGAGCTTGGGGGAGCAGCACACTCACTTGTGAGATGAGCTTGGGGGAGGGGCACACTCACTAGTGAGATGAGCTTGGGGGAGGGGCACACTCACTAGTGAGATGAGCTTGGGGGAGCAGCACACTCACTTGTGAGATGAGCTTGGGGGAGGGGCACAGTGAGATGAGCTTAGGGAGAGCAGCACACTCACTTGTGAGATGAGCTTGGGGGAGGCGCACACTCGTGAGATGAGCTTAGGGGAGCTGCACACTCACTAGTGAGATGAGCTTGGAGAGGCACACTCACTAGTGAGATGAGCTTGGGGGAGCAGCACACTCACTTGTGAGATGAGCTTGGGGGAGGGGCACACTGAGTGAGATGAGCTTAGGGAGAGCAGCACACTCACTTGTGAGATGAGCTTGGGGGAGGCGCACACTCGTGAGATGAGCTTGGGGGAGGCGCACACTCGTGAGAGGAGCTTAGGGGAGCTGCACACTCACTTGTGAGATGAGCTTGGGGGAGGCGCACACTCATGAGAGGAGCTTAGGGGAGGCGCACACTCACTTGTGAGATGAGCTTGGGGGAGGCGCACACTCGTGAGATGAGCTTAGGGGAGCTGCACACTCACTAGTGAGATGAGCTTAGGGGAGCTGCACACTCACTAGTGAGATGAGCTTAGGGGAGCTGCACACTCACTAGTGAGATGAGCTTGGGGGAGCTGCACACTCACTAGTGAGATGAGCTTGGGGGAGCTGCACACTCACTAGTGAGATGAGCTTGGGGGAGCTGCACACTCACTTGTGAGATGAGCTTGGGGGAGGGGCACACTCACTAGTGAGGTGAGCTTGGGGGAGGCGCACACTCGTGAGATGAGCTTAGGGAGAGCAGCACACTCGTGAGATGAGCTTGGGGGAGGCGCACACTCGTGAGATGAGCTTAGGGGAGCAGCACACTCACTTGTGAGATGAGCTTGGGGGAGCAGCACACTCACTTGTGAAATGAGCCTGGGGGAGGCGCACACTCGTGAGATGAGCTTGGGGGAGGCGCACACTCGTGAGAGGAGCTTAGGGGAGCTGCACACTCACTTGTGAGATGAGCTTGGGGGAGGCGCACACTCGTGAGAGGAGCTTAGGGGAGGCGCACACTCACTTGTGAGATGAGCTTGGGGGAGGCGCACACTCGTGAGATGAGCTCAGGGGAGCTGCACACTCACTAGTGAGATGAGCTCGGGGGAGCTGCACACTCACTAGTGAGATGAGCTTGGGGGAGGGGCACACTCACTAGTGAGATGAGCTTGGGGGAGGGGCACACTAGTGAGATGAGCTTGGGGGAGCAGCACACTCACTTGTGAGATGAGCTTGGGGGAGGGGCACACTCACTAGTGAGGTGAGCTTGGGGGAGGCGCACACTCGTGAGATGAGCTTAGGGAGAGCAGCACACTCACTTGTGAGATGAGCTTGGGGGAGGTGCACACTCGTGAGATGAGCTTAGGGGAGCAGCACACTCACTTGTGAGATGAGCTTGGGGGAGCAGCACACTCGTGAGATGAGCTTGGGGGAGGTGCACACTCACTTGTGAGATGAGCTTGGGGGAGGTGCACACTCGTGAGATGAGCTTAGGGGAGCAGCACACTCACTTGTGAGAAGATGATCTTAGGGGAGCAACACACTCACTTGTGAGATGAGCTTCTTCTGAGCTTCCTGCATGACTACATTTGCCAAGGCCATGTCATCTTCTTCCATAAGGAGGTCTTTGTCTGGTTTAGATCTCATTGCCAAAAGCTTGATCTCCTTTGAGCTGAGGACCTCAAACGTGTCTGAGAGTAACTCACTGGCGTCCAGGTCCAGGGGTAGGATGCCATCAGCAAAGCACGCTGAGAGACAGAGAGAGAGAAAAACGTGAGCTTCTGAGAAATGCTCTGGCCCAGAGAGGAGGTGTAATTCCCACAACTGGGGGGCCATCTGAGGCTGTCAGGGGGTCTGCAAGGGTGTTTTGTCTGGGGCACAGCTGATGCCAGAGAAGGACAAGATGACAGGGGTCTTCCTGCAGTGCCAGGGTCTCCCTTACTAGAGGCCTGCTGGGCCATTATCAACACAGCATTTCATTTGCAAACACACACATTTTCTCCCACACACACTGGGCTTACCCAAAATACTAAGGCAGATTTTGGAAGTGATGTTGAATCGCTGTTCATCTGTGAAGTGCTCTAGAAGAAATTTGTAGATTTTCATTCGTCTCTCTTTGTTTGACTTTCCCTTCAATGAAAACAGCCGCTTCTCTCTGTGGCAGAACGGGACAAGTTCACTGCATCACATGGGCACGGGTGTAAGGGATTTAACACTGCACTTTAACTGCATCCTAAAAGCTGCATGCCAAAGACTCCAGTGCACTACAGAGATCCCAGTGCTCATCACAGGCGCTGCCCTTAGGAAGCGATTCTCACGACTGTATTTTCTTACGCCATCCTGCCAAGCCACAGTAAAGACCTGGGGCAGGGTCTGCGTCCAATCACTACATGCAAAGAGCCTAACCTCCCCTGATTCCCCCAGCTCTTACCCAGATACAAGGAGACCAGACTTAGCTGCTTCACTGACCTCTCTGACTGGGGGAACTTGTTGTACTTCTCATGCTTCTCATAGTTATTAAAGTGAAAAATACATTCAATGAAGTGTTGGAAGAACATGACAGGGTTCCTCTTCAGTAACAGGTGAGCCAGGCAAAACTCCCCGAAGCTGCAAAGGTGAGAGAAACAAAGAGGGAGACCCATTTGCTATGTACCAACAGTCTCTGAATACACCAAGAACTCTGCTGAGCAGAGGAGAGCTGTACATAAGCGTAGGGATTCAAAATCTATCCCAATAAACAGTTCCCTCGGATCCAAAGAAGACAGAAATTCAGCTATTTGGTCTGTCCTTGCTCCACAGCTTCCTTTCTAATCCAAGGTAAGTATATTTTTTCCACCAGGTTTCCTTTCAAAATTGACACAAGGTGTTGTCATCCAGCTGCAGTTCAAGTGGGGAAAGTAATCGACCAACTGAACCCCAAAGCTGCTTCTGCAATCAGAGGCCAGTGGTCTTATAAGACTGATGCAATGACAACAGTCACCAGAAAAGGGATATCTGGCCTTCACCTCCCAACTTCAAGTTTGTTGCCCACAATTATGAACAAAAACCAATTTTAGTAACTGGAACTTTTTTCAAGAATAAGGATTAATGACAAGAGCTTCACAGTTTGGATCAGGAGGACAAGTTCCCTCTGCAAAGCAACTGACTCAATGCGCTTTGGAATCACCAGCAAGCCCTGGGCACTCTCCTTCCACCCATGCCCTCAACATATCTGTGCAATGCTGCACATGGGACACAGATGCCACCAGGACCCTACCAAAATGAAGATTTTCAATGCCAGATGTAAACAGGCAAACTGTTTGACTACAGGCCACCACAGAGTTTCTGTTCATCACGATAGTAGGTGACAGAGTGCCAAAGCACTGATTTTTGCTCAGGGGTCAAACTAACATGGTGCAGGACTCACTGTGATACATTCACACTGTCAAGACCAGTGTTTTAATTTAATATCAGAGCTCAAATGCAATTTCCACCCACACAGGAGCACCAGTCAGCTCTCCTTGGGAGAGGAGCAGTGTCAAAGACTGTCCAAACAGCAGACACTGGCTCTGGAGGGCATTGGGACTGTGTAGGAGACTGACTTCTCCTTTCCCCAGTGGTGCTCCTTATGCCAAAATTCAAATCAGTTTGTGTTCACAGCACACATATCAATTAAAAATCAGAGAAGGTAGATGAGAAATCATGATGGAAGTAAGCCCAGATAAAAATTCCACTGTAGATAATTACACCTTGACTATTCACCTAGGAAATACGGGAGCAGCTTGACCTAGAAATATGAAAACAAAATAAATAAAACTCTATTCAATAACGAGAATTCCTTGAGACAAAATTCACTTAAGGACAACCAGAAGCACCTGTCTGATCTAAGAGTAGTCAGTTACTTTGTACAAATTATGTTGTTTAATGACCCATGTTTGAAAGGCAAAGGTCACAGCATCAGATGAAGTTATTTCTAAACAAGGGTTACTTTGGTAAACCATCTGTGACAAGAATGAAAAAAACCACTAAACAAACAAGGATTTATCTTCTGTGGTATTTTATTATAGTTAATCTACTATGGCATGGCAGTTTCCACATTATGTGAACTTTCTCCTCAGAAATGAAGTCACATATACGAAAATGTAAAGCCAGATAGAATCAGCAAATCTTCCACAAGAAGAGGGTTCCCTCTGAGTTTGGACTTATGTCAATGCCAATCGACTCAGTTTAGGTCAAGAATACACATGGGTGGAGGTGACCAACAGACAAGATACTGCGGAGTTTAAGCCCTAGTGAAAAACTTGCTGAACCATCTATACAAATAAATTCCATAGCAACATAAAACCATGCCAGGATTCACACGCTGAGGGCTGAAAATGTAGTCACAGAGCTTTCTAGCAAGAGAAACTGGAAGCCACAGCCAATGTGTGATATCCACAACTCATCTTGGCTGCTGTATTCACTGGGACTTTATTAAGAGGGCAAGTTTCAGCCTTGATTAGATTAAGATGCACAAATCCTGCAAGCTTCCTAATTGGAGAAGAGGGACTATTTTGTTTCTTGTTTGTCTGCTGAAAAGTTAGGAGAAATTAACATTCCAAGTAATGCTTCCTAGAACATTCCTTTAGAGTGACAAGAGGCAGCACTCTCTAGGTATGTGGATTAGGAAACCTCCAGGATTCTCAAGAAATCTTAGTAAGCTGGGAGCTCGTTCAGCATCCTCTCCCCAGCCCTCAGGACCACCACTAGGAACGCACATACCCACACCACCAACTCAGGGATGCGGTCTATGGATTTCACACAGCACGAGCTGCACGAATTATATGGAACACAAAGGGAAGACCAGCTAAATCTGAGTGATTACCTTATTACAGCCTTGTAAAAAGAAGTTATTACTCTCTCACTAAGAATCGAAATCCAGGATATTCAAACAGCCCAAAAGGCCACAAGGTAAGAGCCATGTGTCCACTTCTGTTTTCAGCTTTAGTAGGAAACATAAAAATCTGACTTCAGATTTCTTCATGAGCTGAATGCCATTCTGAAACAGGGTGTCTGCTCAATAAAGGCAGACTCAAGAGTTCATGCTGAACTCATGTTCCTGACCTGGCCTACAACACATCTATCTCAGGTTAGGACTGGGGCTCAGACCCATTTATACCAGAATTCTACCTGAGGCTTGAAGCAGTATTTCCTACACCCTAGTTCTCCCTGGCCACCACCCCAAATCCAAGCGCCTGTGATGGTCTGTCTAGACCCTGGTCATCCCTGCATTGCTGCTTCCTTCCTCCATGTACTCTGCACTCCAGGTTCCACGGTGAATCAGGCCCTACCCTCCACAGCCAACTCTCAGGGCACTCCCTATGCTTCCCCTTCATAAATGTGGGCCGGCTGTCCTCCAAACACAGCAGTTCTCTCTCAGCCCTCCCAAGGGGAGGCTGCTTCATCCCTCAGTCAGAGGATGAGGAGCACATTTCCCGGACCCCCAGTGCCTTCCTGCCTTCACCCACCAAATGTTCACGGCATGTCTGCTTGGTTTCGTGTTCCTTTTCTAGGGATGCGGAACAACAAAACCAAACTCATGCCCCTCAGGAAACCTACACATAGCGTGTGGACCAGATAGTGTGTTGCCAAAAGTGTTCTGACACTGGAAGACAGCTGGAAGTGGGTCCAGTGAAGTGCGGAGAGTGTGGGCTGGCTGCTGTTAAGACGCCTCCACCTCCACCTCCCCGTGGTGCTCCCACCATCTGCCTCTTGCGCTCTCTGCTACCTGGTTCCCAGTTTTGCTCTCCATTCCAAATCCCCGCAGGACTCCCCATGCAGATGAGCTACTGAATGCCCTAACTTTCTGCTTTCCTGACTTCATTGTTTCCAGTGACCATCCCATCTGGACCCAATGTCACCAGTGCAGCCACGTCGTGGACCCTGTTGCCACACTGGAGATCAACTGATGACTACCCTGCTGATCCTTCCAGTGGTCTGGCTCCTGACTCCCTCACCCCATTCCGATTGTTCCATGGCTTCACTAAGGCCTCCAGATAGTCGCGTGCTTGCTTCCTTTTCTCCCAAACCAGGCCATCCTTGTTGTTGCCCCCTTTTCTATCTCAATGGTCCATTATTTGAGGCGCTGTCCTGCCTTGAGCTTCTGGCCCTGCCTCTCTACACTCCTGTGGCAGTGCCCGCAGTGCCCAGTTAAACTACAATAATCTGCTTAGTACTTGGCTGTTGCCCTGTGATTACAAGGCCACCACCTATCGGGCAGACAGGAAGACAGATCATAGAATTCTGTAGCCTCCAAATTTGGGGTTTATACCAGCGATTAAAAATGTCATACAGGCCGGGGTGGTGGCTCACGCCCAATCCCAGCACTTTGGGAGGCTGAGGTGAGAAGATTGCTTGAGCTCAGGAGCAGCATCGTGAGAACCTAATGCTACAAAAAATAAAACATTAGCTAACTATTTGGGAGGATGAGGTGGGAGGGTCACATGAACTTGATTGAGCCCTGATTGCTCCATTGCACTCCAGCCTGGGCAACAGAGCAAGACCCTGTCTCAAAAAAAAAAAAAAAAAAAAAAAAAAGTCACACAGAGCGGGCAGGCAGTGCAAGGACCTGCAGGGGAGGGCAGAGCCTCATTCTACAGAATGTGGGTGATGGGGAGGCAGGGCTGCAGGAATGAGTGGGGTCCAGCTCTAGCCCCTGTGGCCAGCCTCAGAAGTGACCATCGTCCAGATGCAGCCTGTGGCCAACAGCTCTCCGTGGAGGAGCTGTGACTACTGAGGCCCCCAACCTCATAGCTGTTCAGTAGGGGGCTGCTGAGGAGGTGCTCAAAGCCCCAGATCCCAGGGAGGCGGGGGATGGTGGGGACAGCACAGGTGTGGTCCAGGATGTCCTCTTTGAGATACCACAGATGGATGAAGGCTTGCAGAGCATGTGCTGCTGAGTGAGGCTGATGGGGAGCAGACCTGGTTCTGTGTGCAAGAGGTAGAAAGCCTTCCCCCAGAGCTGTCCGTGCTACCTGCCCCTGGCCCACCCGGACAGAAACTCCTCATCATCCGCAGCACCCCAGCTACTGAGCTGCTGGAGGATAGCAGCACTGGGGCGGCCCCACCATGCTGCAGCCCCTGGCCCCACTGCCACCTGGCCTAGCCTCTGCCTGCACAGGGCTCCTCATTCGACCTGGATGGAGGGCAGACCCTGATGCAGGGACTGCCCTCCATTCAGATTGTCTAGACTCTATCTGAAGTCCAGCTGGTGCACACACCTTGAAGAGAGCCACTGGTACCTTTTCCCACCCCGCACAGAGACCCCAACTCACTGTCTGCTTTGTGTGGGCCGGGGTGGAGGGGACTACAGGCTGGGCTCACTAATAAAGACCCAGAACCTCAAATTAGCCGGGCGTGGTGGCGCACGCCTGTGATCCCAGCTACTCGGGAGGCTGAGGCAGGAGAATCGCTTGAACCAGGGAGTCGGAGGCTGCAGTGAGCCGAGATCATGCCATTGCACTCCAGCCTGGGCGACAGAACAAGACTCCATCTCAAAAAAAAAAAGAAAACAAACAAAAAAACAAAACAAAAACAAAACCCAGAACCTCTAAGAAAAAAAAAGTCATAAAAAATTCAATAGGCTCTGCCACCATAGTCTCTTCCTAAGATCTGCATTAGCAGAAACACACGAAAAAACGTATTGCCTGCTGTGGTGACTCAAGCCTGTAATTCCCACACTTTGGAAGGCCGAGGTGGGTAGATTGCCTGAGCCCAGGAGTTGGAGACCAGCCTGGCAAAAACGTGTCTCTACAAAAAAGTACAAAAACTAGCCGAGTATGGTGGCATGCACCTGTAGTCCGAGTTATCTGGGAGGCCGAGGTGGGAGGATCACTTGAGCCCAGGAGGTCGAGGCTGCAGGGAGCCATGACTGTACCACTGTACTTCAGCCTGAGCAACAGAATGAGACCCTGTCTCAAAAAAAAAAAAAAAAAAAAAAAAGCAAACAAAAAAAACAGTATCTAACATAGCAGATAGGCGTAGCCTTTGGCCTAAAAATCAAAAGTCAGGCACAGAAAGATACATATATATATACATATATATATACACACCACACACTCTCACTCATATGTAAGAGTTAAAAAAAGGGAGGGTCACAGAAGCAGAGAGAAGAATTGTGGTTATCGGAGGCTGGGAAGGGTACAGAAAGGCTGATTAGCACATATAAAATTACAGGAGGAGTACAGGAAAATGCTCAACAGCACTGTAGGTTGAATATAATAACAACAATTTACTGTCTATTTTCAAAAAGCTAGGGAGAGGATTTTGAAAGTTCCTGACACAAAGAAATGATAAATGTTTGAGGTGATGGTTCTGCTAATTATCCCGATTTGATCATTGCATGCTCTATACATGTATCAAAACATCACTCTCTGTCCCATAAATATGTATAATTATTACACGTCAAATAAAAAGAAAAGGAAAATTTCCAGAGAACAGACTAACTTAAATTACAGTTAGCAAATGTAGTCATCAGCTTTTCAAAGCTGAAAATCATGGTCTACATTTGAACCATGGTTTCAACAAACCCAGGATGCGGACATAAAAGGGATAGATTAAGGGGGAAGTGTTAAAATGCTAGAAGAGGCCCTGGTAATCTTACTACACGGTAAAGTATATCTATGCTCTTCATTTGATTGATGATCTGAACACCCATATGTACAAATCCCACATACAGTTTACTCATTGATCATTGCTCTTTTTCACATACACATATAGGGGCTAACAACAGCGGGGAAAAATGAGGAAATGCAGGTTAAGTAACCGATTTTACCTCCCAGGTGCATCATCTGAAAGCATTCCCAGCCTGTCTGATTACACCTTCTCCTGGGCCACGTACTGCGTAAAAAGTCCTGAGAGTCAGTATAGTGGACACGTTGTGAAGGTAAGAGGGTGTGTGAAGCTATCTAAAAAAAGGTGACAGCCTTAGCTTTTTGCCTCTGGTTCTAGAAAGCAGTAAGTAGAATGTTAGTTTTACTGGTTTGTTATGTGAAATGTTCCCCTCCTTGGAAAATCACACCTAAAGAAAACTGAGCAGAAACTTCCACGGAACTCAGGGTAAATTATTGGTGGCTATATTTAGATCCAGAGGGACCCACTGTTAGCAGCCATTTATAGTTAATGAGCTCTGTAAAGACCTCTTCCCCACTGTGGGGCTTTTGCTATGGCATTCAGCATTCTACTTTCCAACTGCAGACTTGCTTGAAAAAGAATTACTGTTACAACAAACTCTAGGGTAGCAAATTCTATCAGACCATTTCTCAACCCCTTGAAAAAAATCTTTAAAAAAAAAGATGCAAGGATAGAAATTAATAATTGCCAAAGTCACTCCCCCACGCCACAGAAGTCTGAAGAAATGCCCATTTCCAAGGAGTCTTGTCATCTGTACACTTGATTCCACATTGTGCAATTTCATCTTAATTCCTAGTTTCCTCCTTAAAATTTCTGCAATTAAAGTCTCAGCTCTTTATCAAAATTAACTTTTTTTTTTTTTTGCCTAGAAATTAACAGTGAGTTTCTAGTGGCTGCTACTCTATACAGTGTAATACAGCAAGCATATAATATTCTTCAAGCTCCTTCAGGAACAGCAAACACTGTCAGCAAGTGCAGTCAATGCTGAGATTATTCAATGATGAATCTAACCATTTTCTTTTAAACTTGTGTGCAAAACAAAGGTTTGTTATATTGCTTAGCATCTTAAAAATCTGCTAATTTTCCTGGCACCTACCGAAAGCTCACTAAATCCTACTTAACTCTAAACCAATCTGAAAAAAAAAGAAATCCAGCATACATCAGAAATGAGGTAAACTGTTGAGTCGTCTGACGTGAGGAAAAGATTTACCTGGCAATGTCTGGGTGTGAATCGATCAGAGTGCTGACAAATCGGAAGAACAGGGAGCCCTTCCATTTCACAAATTCCTCCTGTGCAGAGAGAAGCCGGCATGTTTCAGAGTGCGTCATCATGGGCAAGCCTCACTGTTCCCAGCCACACCCCACCCACCACGCGGTCTGTCCCCGGCACACTGGCTGAGTGCACAGGCACACACTTCCAAACCGTCGGAATGTAGTGCCGAGAAGTGTATGTGCAGAACAACATCACCCTTCTACCACAGGAGAAAAATGACTCAAAGCACATGGCATTAGAGGGATGGTGCCACCCTCTATTTATAATACGGTTCGTAATACATGAAAAGATGAGCATACAGAACATACCAGGACAGACATACAACCTAAGTGAAAGGTGTTCTCCCCATTATAGGCCAAACATGGGCTCTCAGTGTGTATAAAAATATCTAACGCTCTGCAGAGCTCTATAGTTCACTAGGTTTTTCCGCACACGGAAACGTCCCACTGGACTTGCAGAGCCCAGCGCGAACACCATGATCCCCATTTGACGAAGGAAGAAGTTACCTCTCAGAAATGTGGACTTGTCCAAGTTAAAAAAGAATAACAGAATTCAAACTAGAACTACTTGTCTACTGAATATGCTTTTCTCTACATGGTACTTATTTTCAAAATGAAACTTCTCACTGCTTGACAGGATGTCTGAACAAAGTCCCAAAATGAACATTCACAAGTAACGCCGTTTAGAAGGTTGTGCTAAACATCAGAAGAGTAAAACTCCAGACCAGAGATGAGACAATTATTTTTGGATTCTACTACAAAGCAAGCACATTTCCTATGCTACTCAAATATTCCCTTAAACCAGAAGCAATGGTGAAGGGGAAAGGACAGATTGAACCCCCCTACGCACCTGCAAGAGATTGGTAAGCAAGATGAGTGTCTGCTTCCGGATGAATGGGTCGGAATCCTTCAGACACATGGAGATGTTGGGAATATACTTGTCCACCATGATGGTGTAGCGAATGCAGAGATCGCACATTACAATGATGACGTTGTTGCGGACAGCCACGTCCTCACACACCTCGAGCTCTCGCACCAGGGCTGGGATGCTCTTCTTTGCCAGATCCTCGTGCTGTAAGCACAGCTTACCTGGCACAGAAGACAGGAAGATGTCTCAACTGTATTCTAAATCCTAATTCCATTCCTAAATTTTCTCCAGATACATCTTGCTAATGGCTTCTATTTCATCAAAGTTAAAACATCATGCCCACAATCACAAACAACAAAAAACTAAAGGCAGACAGACCCATCTTGAATAGTCGAATAAAAATACCTAAGGAGAAATAAACTCCCCAGGAGTTATATACTATGGGATGTTCCTTTACACTAATAAAATCATCTTCCTTTTAAAGTCAACATTTGAATTTCGCAGTTATCCCCTTACCTGGAAAATGATCAGCAAAGCCTGAGAGGTGAAACATTTTACTCCTGATTATACATATCCTCTACAGATGCTAAATACCCATGCTGAATTTGAAATCTGAGCTGGGTAAATAGGAAAGAATGCATGTCCCCTTTCTTTCTTTCTTTCTTTCTTTCTTGTTCATAGTTGAAAAGGCTGCTGAGTTTTGTTTGTATGTTTCTTTTGTGCCTGGGAAATGTTTTGCAATTCTTAGGTATTTGAAAAATAACTAATATTACAAAAAAATTAATAACTTAGGTAGCATGAAATATACACTCACACTAAAGGAAAAATAAAAAAACAAAAAAACAAAATACAATTTCCAGCACAGAGGTCAGTGTTTTCAAGATTAAAAATAATTTGAGTTCATGGAGAAATATGTAAATAGTCATCTAGCCAATTCTGGAAAGTACTAAATAAACCATTTCCTTTTATGGAAAATTTATTTCTTCATTTCCAGAACTCAGTGCAGTGCCCGGCACAGAACAGACTTCGTGGGGCTGCATTATGAATATTAAAATATTACAGGAATATTCAAGTCAAGTGAAGGTATTGAAAAAAAATTACAGAAACAGGTATAATTGTAATAAATTAACATAACCCTACTGAAAAACAAAAGCTCCCTCTAGACCCTCTAGAGAGTACCTTAGTCTTGAGGACTTATCAGCCTGAGGGCTCTCATGACCAGCACGCAGTTATGCAGAGCTCAGCACTCAGATCAGAGCCACCTCTAGGAACCACATGGCTGAGAGCAGACACAGACAGGCTCCGCAGCCCCTGACACAGTCCCATGGCTGGGCTTACTTAAGACAACAGCTACACACAGAACGATGTCAAGCCCCATTCTCCCATGTTTTTCTTACCTAAGGTAATGATGGCATGTGCTCTAATCACAGAGGGCATGACAGAACCTCTGACCTGGGGGGGTGGCTGAGACGCTGGGGCCTCACTGCTGCCTTGAGATGATGGTGCTGCAAAGAAGGGAGAGAAAGTTACCGACAGAACCTTGAAACGGCATGCGTGCTACAGAGTATGATTTCAAATGCCTTACAGTGGTCAGCATCAGCAGACGAAGCCAGGACGGACTGAATCAGAAGGAAGATGCGCTTCTCCACCCTGGCTGGACACAGCTGGGCTATATCCCCTAAGGTAAAAATGTACTTCACCTACAAAGATAATTGGTTTTACAGTAAAAATAAGGCAAAAGAAAAGTGAACTCTAGCTAGATTAAGGACATGTCAATGGAGTATTTCCTTTATCCCCCAAATTTAAAACAATGTTACTAGTTTTCGTTTCATAAAAATACATGGCTATTGTAAAAACTTAGTCACTATGTAATGAAACTCATCCAAAATTAGGGCAAGCATATAATTTTATCATCTAAATCTAGACACATCTGCAAGTAAAAGGGGGTGCTATTAATAATTATTTTGTGAAAATAGGTGTACGCTAGGGTTATCTTGGGTAAACTGGGATACATCTACCTATAACCCTACCACCCAGAGACACCATTATTGTTTTTGTGTATAACTTTTTCAAAGTATTTCTATAGTCACGTGGCTTTATGTTTACTTTTCTTATACACTTACCAAGTATAGTATTTTGAAGTCTGCAATGATTACTTTGAATATTAGGCATCGTTTCATGTCAATATGTATGACACATATGTTTAATGACTACATAAGTATATGCCATTTCAAAACTAGGACTGTCGTCATAACTTACTGCACTATTCCAGTATCAATGAACACTGATGCTGTTTCCCTTTGCTAATGTTTCGATTAGCTCTGGTGAACACCTGTGTATCCTTAGATACTGCTCTCTTTCCTCAGAAGTAAAATCCAAGGTAAAGAGTATATAAAGCTATTTCACATTTTGAAACACATTTTCAAGTTGCCCTCCAGATTATTTTTCTATGTAGACCCCATCAAAAACCTACTCACAGCTGCCATGCTGTGTTTCTTCATAACATTCAGTTTAACAACTAAGTAATATTGTTCTTTTTTTATTTACACCCCAAATGAAGGGATGATGCTGAATAGTAAAATGTCAAATAAAAGCTTATTCTAGGGTAAGAAAGCCAATAACAAAGTATATGAGTTTAAAAGAATCTTGAAATACTGTATCTCTTCATTAAAAAAATATTTAAGTTCTATTTAAAGAAGCAAGAATGAAACTATGTATATAGGGCAAAACCTCTCCATATATATTTTGACTGAAGAGTAGATTTTGATGACACGGTTAACAGTTGAAAAAAACCTGGGGGAGGAGGGGTGGGGACAAGACTCACTGACCATAGTAAGCATCTTTCTTAATGTGGGCAGAAATGAGAAGAGCAAGACCCTCTAGAAGCCCTGGGCCAAGCCTGTGCTACACTCCCTGGTGCTCTTACCTAAAGCACCCAGGTTCCCATAGTGAGGCTCTGTATTCCTGATCACGTGCACAGTAGTGCCTCAGGCTCAATGGTCTTCTCTTTGAACAAATCTAAGCTTGGTCGGTGATCACTGGGCGTTAGGAGAGCTAGGCCAACAAGCAGAAACTGAACACAGAAAAGACGTGCTCCACTAATTTAAACATATGAGAAAAATGGCCCGTTTTGGTTAAATAATGATCTGTGCTGAATGGCATCAAAAAGCAGCTCATTATTTCCTTTACTGGACAAAGTCAGATGTTGGAACCAGAATTACTGCCATACATCTTATCCCCAGTCAGCCACTGAAATCAGCCCACTGTCCCGTCCTGGCTCACGGGAATTTCTTGCACCGTTTACAGTTTCTAAAGCAGGGGTGCCACAGAAAACAATCTTGGGGCTCCAAGGTCATCTGTGTTCTGAATTGTCAAATCTCTCATTTTATTTCAGTCATTACTTGGCAATTGCTCAGCACTGTTCCCCAGTTCTACTGTCTGATGTTCAAATAGCTCAGAAGACATGTTAAATTTTTAAAAAAGCAAACACACAAACCAAAAACACTATACTCACATTATTATTTCTTACCTTACATTTCTAAGCTTGACTATACCAACCTTACAACACATACTGTGTTTTCCCTACTGAAATCAGGCTTCTCATAAGACTGAACTAGATGAAGCGTATACCATTGAGTTTCCCCACCGATAAAAAGTATATAAGAAAAAAATGAATAGGTTATCAATTTAAAAATATCTTCTAAAAAGAGAAAGTAAGCTCTAGGCTAAGACAGCTCTTTTGTTAAAAGCATTTAAAGCGTACATGACAAAGTCATCTTTAATAGAACCTCACGGATAAAATGGAAGCGAAAAGAATGGTTAGGAAAAGCAGTCGCTTACCAACAGGTCTTCGTCCATATTCCCTGTTCCATTCTCCTTGAGAACGATGTTGGAGAGGCGGTGCTCGCAGGTGGAGAGTACATCCCCACACACCTGCGTCAGCAATTCCTACGGCAAGTCAAAAGTCATCTCTGAAGGGCCCCGCACATCTCCCAGACTACCCATGAAACACCATGTTCTCAGAAGAAACTATGATCTTCAAATGGATAGGCTGTAGGGGTGCTTCCTAGCTTTCCTCTTTCCCACAATTTGTCCAAAACCACAATGACATGCATTTAAGCAATCTAGCCATGAGTACTGGCTAAGTGGAATTTATAAAGAACGGTGTATATATCATCTTTCTTTTTACATTTGCCCTATAAGAGCAAAAGGCCAAATATTTACAATGACCCCATGTAGTAATTTGTAAGAGATCTATAATAGTAGTGCTCCTCCAAAAATACAGAAATAAGCTGTAGTTTTGCTGCCATATACAGATGATGAATTAACTACTGTGATAAACATTTTTTAAAGACATAAAATAGAGTTGCTACTCTTCTGAAATTTATGCATTAGGGACAAGTGTTCCGTGTCTCTCACTGATTACAATAACTTCAAGGGGTGACTTCTAGTGCACATTGGACTGTTCCTCTATGCCAAGGAAGAGAGAGAGCTCCCAACCACATTCTAGAATTCTTGGACCTCATTTTCTGTAGGAAACCATTCCAAAACACCTAGGTTGAGCTAAGGGCCTCCACCCCCTTGCTTCCATGTTACCCGATGCCGACTTTTATTTTAGGAATGATGACATTATGTTGAAATTATCTGCTGATGTGCACGCACCTCCCCCACTCCTCTGTAGTGCCTTAGGAAGGGACCTGTGTTAACCATCATCCAGTGCCTGGCAAGCCACCACTATGAGCAATGCTTTTAGTCTGACTTGCCCTAACGTATCTGGAAACTATTGGCTTTATTACTTCTAAAAGAACTATTACATTTAAAATTTTAATAGATTGCACAACCTGGACCACAACATTGGCCCAAAGAGTTTCTGCAATTCTTATGCTTGATCCCAATGAGGCCAGAACCTGGGTACTAGGACTAGTAAGTTTCGGTATCACAGAATCTGGGAAAGCTGACAAGGCCACCCAATCCTGGCATTCTCTCCACATGGCAGCCTGTTCCAAGTCCTTGTCCAGCTTCTCCTGAATACCTCCAATAACAGGGGACATGCTCTGGGGCAAGCCCACCATTTTGGGCAGACCTCAGTAAGTTTTCTCTGCAGTTCACCAAAATTTATAATTTCCATTCATTGGTCCAGATAGGTTGTCTGGGAATACCAAATAAATCCAATTCTTTTATCTGAAAGTCCTTCATAAATTTGAATTTAGCTAGGCAGCCTACCGTCCCCAACCCTTCCCTTCTCCATGCTAAAGACTCCAGGCCCTTCTGCAGTTCCTTACATAACTTGCTTTGTGATACCCTTATTTAACTGCTCTCCTCTAGTTATATTCAATTTCATCAACACTTCTCTGTAAATTTGTCACTGATACTGAACTATCAGCCAGCACACAGGATCACTGCTCCTCTTGTTCTAGACACTATTTCTACTGATACAAGATCTCATCAATTTTTTAATGACAGTCACAAAACAGATAACAAAAATGCCCAAAGACCACAGTCCTTTCATATATACTGCTGCTGAGCTATATCTTTGGGTAATCTGTTGCTCTCAGTAAAATAAATGATATTCACTTACAGAGAAAAGAAAAGGAGAAGCGTGTTTAGGGGAAACAAGCGGGTCACATGGATTGAAAATATCCTAACATTCCAGACAATCTCAGGGCCTTGCTCCTCTGTCAACCACCAAGTGAGGTTGTGTCGGCAGATTAAAACCGTGGCGGTCTTTGCTAATGCAGTAGTAAGCCCCACCCGCTTCCAGCTCTCAGTGTCTAACCTGAAGACAGTTCTTGCCTTCCTCATAGGCTCTCATGACAATGTAACCACCGTCCTAATGGCCCTGGGCCAGCAGCAAGCGGCAGATGACTTCCTAGGCCCTGACTGCGCGCTGTACACATGATTCTTTTTCCAACCAGTGCTGGTGAAAAGAAAATTAGGAAAAAGTCAGAGGCCTTAGTTCTAGTCCCAGCTCTGCCGGTAGTAAGTTGTGTACCACTGAGCCTGGAAGGCTTGTGGTTTCATAGTCTGTAACGTTAATTCCTCCTGATCACTCTTTCCTCAGTCTTACCACGCCTGTAATCCCAGCACTTTGGGAGGCTGAAGCAGGCGATCACTTGAGATCAGGAGTTTGAGACCAGCCTGGCCAACATGGTGAAACCCTGTCTCTACTAAAAATACAAAAATTAGCTGGGCCTGATAGCATGTGCCTGTAATCCCAGCTACTCGGGAGGCTGAGGCACGAGAATTGCTTGAACCTGGGAGGCGGAGGTTACAGTGAGCTGAGATTGCGCCACTGTACTCTAGCCTGGGTGACAGAGTGAGACTCCATCTCAAAAATAAAAATAAAAGTTTGTCATATAATTTCTTGGGTCTTGAGATAAAGGGTTAGAAAAATCAAATAATGCAAGTATCCCTTTCATCAATAAAACAGCTTAAAGATAGATACCAGAAAAACACCAGGCACCATTTCATAAGAAATAGGTCAACAGTCTTAAGTCCCAAGCAAAAAAGTTACAATCATTGTTTTAGTTGATCTGTTAGAAGTAGAAAATGTAACATCTTAAGGAAGGGCTTTCTCTAATGAACTTGGTCAAGAAAAGGAAACACAGGAAGGTAGTTGGGGAGATCAGCTGAAGCCATCATTTTCTTTTATTCTGGAAAACTTAAATATATCCCAGCAATTATTTAATTTTTGTTTTCTATAGCCATTATTAATAACCCCAGCTCTACATTTTTTCATTATGATTGGTACTAAGAGTATATCTCATGATAAAAACAGAATAAATATATGGTAATAAAATTATTTCTTCAGTTACTGGTATGCATACCTTTTAAGGAGTCAAAGTACCTCTCTGCCTCCCATAAATCACTGATGTGGATTTCTGTTTATATAAAAACACTAGCTGTGGGCTATAGGCAACTGTGGGGACACGATACCAACAAGAGATATTTGAGTAGTGTAACCTCATAGTAACAGGACAGGCATGTCCAAGATTATGACTTATCAGAAGGTCAGAAACCTGTTCTGGAGGGAACTTCCTGCTTAAGTGGAAAATTGTCTATAAGTGTTCTTGGAATGAGAGTGGAAGTCAAGGAGAAAGAGAACCTTGCAGAATTCTCACCAGGAAATGACAATCAACAGGAATGCTTACCTAAAGACACTCGCACCTGCGATCAAGGTGGTGACCATCTAAGGGTGCCGTGTCTCTTAGGCAGCTAAATCTTCTTGGGGAATGTCAATTGCTAGTTATGTAAACCTTGCCTTGTTGCGGCAATAGCTGCGGGGGACATCCTTACACGTCCTCTTATTTATAGAGAATGCTCCTCACACTTCAAAACACATACAGTAACATCCTAAGCTCAAAGAAGTCAGAAACATGTCAGGGAAAGTCTGGCCATACCTGCTCCTCTGCTGGTGTCTCTGCAGATGCTCTACAAAGCCTCTGCAAGGCGTCAACAGCTGAACTGATCACCTCTAGAGACCACTGAAATCCATTCAGCTTACACTTGACAGCATCTATGAAGGAAGTCAAAACCCCTGAAGTTCAACTGCTTAAATATATTCAGGTATATATACACACACACACACACACACACACACACACACACACACACCTGAAATGAACAGCAATGCATTTTCACATAAGATTCTCCAGCAGACACTCACCAGTCACTTTGTCCCGGGTGCTCTTAGGAAGATGCTTTGCAATATGCCCAATCACACAGAGAATATGTCCTAAGGTGTTTGAATTGGGATTCTGCTGACTAGAGAAAGGGCAGGAGGAATATGAAGGGAGAAGCAAGTTAAACACTGCTGCCAACAAAGGCCTTTCTTCTGGATTAATAACACTGGAGGAAGCAGGGTAGGTAGCATGGCTTAGGAGTCAAGCTGTGGGAACATCAAGGCATTTAATGTACTTGGACAAAGGGGAAATGGGTGAAACATGATTCTTATTTTTTTCATGCTTGTTTTTATACCAGGTTTTAAACAGAAGGTCTCTGTATATGAATAGCTATGAAAAAGCTCACTTCCTTAAGTCTTGGGCTTTGTTTCTAAGACTCTTCAGTGTCATTACTGGTTAAATTAGAAGATACAAACCTGCTGATTTTCTCCCAAGATTGTATTATTCTGCTGTAGTCCAGCCTGGGTGAGGAGCCAGCAATCTTGGAGAGCAGCATCCAGGCAGGTGCCGAATGTTCCGTGCCAGTGTGAGATATTACATTGTTTATAAAAGTGGGTGAGAATTTTTCTTTCTTGGACCAGATATGAAAAGCCTTATTTAAATATCGGCTGGAAAAAAAAAAGATAGAAAAGCAGAATTGCAACTGTAAATATACAAAATGATTCAGATGGGAGCCTCACTGAAAGGGTATCAACTTCTGCTGCTCCAGGACTCAAGTGGCACATGAAACTTATATGTAGACGTTCCTAATTAGTGGCGTGTCTGATACCAAACTAGGTATCTTTTAAATTTTTATTATTCTACTATCAGTTATATTCATTTTTCCCCTCATAAAATATTCCTTAAAGTAAAGAATAAAATTTCACAATTCATTTCAGACTCTTCTTATCCTCCTCCCCTCCAAAATTTCTACATAACTGCATGGGGTCAGTTACAGATACATCCAGAGCTTACACAGTTATAGTGACAAAAATTAGTAACATTGTCCTTTTTTTTTTTTTTTTCTTGAGATGGAGTCTCGCTCTGTCGCCCAGGCTGGAGTGCAATGGCGCGATCTCGGCTCACTGCAAGCTCCACCTCCCGGGTTCACACCATTCTCCTGCCTCAGCCTCCCGAGTAGCTGGGACTACATGGCAGGATTGTAAATGACAACCTAACAATTAAATATGATGATATTAAATGAGCTAAAATATGCAATAACTTAATACCACTCAGAAATAGATATTTCAAACCTTTTCAAAATAAAAAACAATGCTTCTGATGTACTAAAGTGTTTGTGTTATATTACTAGTTTTTGAGACAGGGTCTCACTCTGTCACCCAGGCTGGATCACAGTAGTATGATCACAGCTCTCTGTGTAGCCTCCACCTCCTGGGTTCAATCAATCCTCTTCCCTCAGCCTCCAGAGTAGCTGAGACTACAGGCATGGTCACCATACCTGGCTAATTTCTCTCTCTCTCTCTTTGTCTGTCTTTCTTGAGACAGGGTCTCACTATGTTGTCTAGACTGGTCTTGAACTTCTGGGCTCAAGCCATCCTCCTGTCTTGGCCTTCCAAAGTACTGAGATTATAGTTGTGAGCCACTGTGCCTGGCTGTCACTGTTGTTTTAGAACTATCTCTTATTTTACTTCTTCCCAAGTCACTGAATGGGATCATATGATTCATGAGACAATGCCATATTATATATTTAAATGAAGAGAAAAATACACTTCTTCCCTTGATTAATTTTTCTTAGACTTCTGGGAAAACACATACACATACATACCCACACGCGAACATCAGGAATTCCTCATTAAACTGTTTTTAGAAGGGAAATTCTCAAAACATACAGAATAAGGTAACTGTAACAAAATAAACACATCTATATACCATAATAAGCATATGCATATAAATGAAGTTTTGCTAATATATCAGCTATTGATTAAAAATCCATCCACAGATGTCAAGTCTTACTACAGTTAGCTTACAACATGATTTATGTCTGATTTATGTCCAAATACCACAAGATATAAGCAATGAACAAGTATTTTTAAATTTATTTAAAAATAACGATATAAAATATTAAGTAATGTTTATTATATGTAGCCAACAGAATTGGGAAAAAATCCTCTGAACTTGCAGAAATCTCAAACTTGGCTCCTCTTTGACAACTCCCAGCCCTCCACTCCCAGCCAGCCTCCCAGCCCAGCTGAGGGCCACAGCCATTCCCCACCTGGGCAGACTGTGACCCAACACACTAACTTCTATCTTAGTACCAAAACCAACGGCCATGCTTCAGGCCCGTCTCCATGGCCTCCACCAGAGGTTACTGACTACTCTTGCGCTGAGACTCTGGTCCACCAGTTGGATCTCTTTTCATCTCCTGTAACTAATTCCTGTCTTCTAATAACTAATTGCTGATTTGAAAAGCTCTATTCTTAGTCCTCTTATCTCCAACCTAACTCTGGGTGACCTCATGCATTACCAAGAGCTCCCAACTGAGGTGTGACAAAGCATTCAAGTTGAAGCTGGGCTTCCATCTCCAGCACTCCCTCTGTCCTCAACCTGCCCGACTTCTGCTCTCCACACCTCAGTCAACAGCAATTGATTCAGGCATTTTCCTGAGATTTCATAGAGCCTTCTGGCCTCTGAGCTTTTGCATGACTATTTCCTTTCTGGTAACCCTTACTACTCTGGCTGCTGAATTCCTACACATTCCCAAATATTCTACCCACGCCACTACTTCTGGGAAGCCACCCTAAGCCAGAAGAAGAAAGAAAGAGGACAAAGAGGAAGAAATAATCACCAAAATGCCAGGTGCCCTTCCTCTGTTCTCCTGTAGCTCCCTTTCCACTAAAATTGTGACTTGCTTTTGTCTATTTCACTAGACCAAGAGCAACTGGAGGAGAGGAAGTGCACTGAACTATTCTGTGAATCTCCAGCACTTAGAACCAGTCCTGGAAAATGAAGTCCTCAAAATATGTTTGTTCAGTTGAATAAAATATTTCCTCTTCCAACTCCTCCAAACCTCAGGCTCAGCTTTCATCACCTCTACCATTCCCTCCTATAGGGCCTTTACAGAGGTGATGAAGTTAAAACGTGGCTGTTAGGGTCGGCCCTAACCCAAGCTCAAGGTGAGAGGTGAAGCCAGTTGGACTTCCTGGGTCAAGTGGGGACATGGAGAACTTTTCTGTCTAGCTAGAGGATTGTAAGCACACCAATCAGCACTCTGTGTCTAGCTAAAGGATTGTAAATGCACCAATCAGCACTCTGTGCCCAGCTAAAGGATTATAAATGCACCAATTAGCACTCTGTAAAAACACACCAATCAGCACTCCGTGTCTAGCTAAAGGATTGTAAATGTACCAATCAGCACTCTGTAAAAACGTACCAATCAGCATGCTGTGTCTAGCTACAGGATTGTAAATGCACCAATCAGCACTCTGTAAAATGGACCAATTAGCAGGACATGGGCGGGGCCAAATAAGGGAATAAAAGCTGGCCACCCGAGCCAGCAGCAGCAACCCGCTCGGGTCCCCTTGCACGCTGTGGAAGCTTTGTTCTTTCGCTCTTCACAGTAAATCTTACTGCTGCTCACTCTTTGGGTCCACACTGCCTTTATGAACTGTAACACCGCAAGGGTCTGCGGCTTCATTCCTGAAGTCAGTGAGATGACAAACCCACCAGGAGGAACAAACAACTCCGGATGTGCCACCTTTAAGAGCTGTAACACTCACTACGAAGGTCTGCGGCCTCACTCCTGAAGTCAGCGAGACCACGAACCCACCAGAGGGAAGAAACTCCAGGCACATCCGAACATCTGAAGGAACAAACTCTGGACACACCATCTTTAAGAGCTGTAACATGCATCGCGAAGGTCTGCGGCTTTATTCTTGAAGTCAGCGAGACCAAGAACCCACCAGAAGGAATAAATTCCGGACACAAAGGGTATCCTTATAAGAAGAAATGCGGACACAGAATGAGACACCAGGGATGTGCATGAGGTCACAGCCAAGGAGAGAAGCCTCAGGAGAAACCCACTCTCCTGGCACCATGATCTCAAATTTCTACCTTCCAGAACTGTGAGAAAATAAATTTCTGTTGTTCAAGCCACCTACTCTGTGGTGTTTTGTTATGGTGGCCCTGGCAAATTAATACAAAGAGCTGTATCAATTAAAATTTTAGACTAAAAAATGCCTATATAGAACTGTGCCCTTTAAAAAATACTAATACATTCTGAATACTCTGTTTCTGAATGTATACTGAACAAGACATTTGTAGTTGTATCACCCATTTCATCATTAATATTATTTATTTGTACCTTTTTTCTTGTCATATCTCGGCAGAAGTTTATCTTTTCCATTAGGCTTTTTGAAGACTGTTTTTCTTTCCCAGTTTTTAAATTTCTAAATTTTAGCATTTCTTTTCCTCAAGTTTATTCAAAGACTTTTCGTAACTTCTTAAATTGAACCTTTAGCTCATCAGTTTTCAGTCCTTTTCCTTTTCTAATACACATTTAACGTTACACATTTCCTTCTAAGTACTCCATTAAATGCATTCTACAAGTTTTGGCACGTATTCAGTTCCAAAAATCTTCCAATTCACTGGTCTTTGACCTTCGAGTTATTTAGAAGTATCTTTTTTAATTCTTCAAATGCTCTTTTTTGAGGTTTTCCTCTACTACTTATTGTATAATGCTCAGAGAACATTATCCTATTAATACAGAATTGTTGATATTTAAGATTGACTCTGAAGTTGTACATAATCAATTTTTATAAATGGTTCACATAAGCTTAGAAATGTGTGCTTATTGGGCATGGGGTTTTATACATATCCTTTAGGAACACATAACTCTTCCAGGTATAATTCCTTTATCATTATAAGTAACTTTCTTTACAACTGATGACATTTTCCGTTAAATTCTATTTGACTCTATTTTAAATTCTATTCTATTTGATACGGCCTTCTTTTTGCATTATTTTTCTAGTAACCTTTTTCTTACTTTCAGCATTTCTGGTAATTTTATTTTAGGTGTGGCTCTTATAAACAGTATGTAGTTGGATTTTGGTTTTTATATCCAAAGATTTTGTCCACTAACTATTAAATGGAAGTCATTTACATTTATAGAGATTACTGACCTATTGGATTAATTCACCCTTTTATTTTATGATTTCGATATACCATGCTTTTTATTTCCTTCTCATTTTTTAACCTCACTTCTGTTCTGCGTTTTCTTGCACTGAACTTTCTTCAGTGTTACTTCTGTTCTACTGGCTCAGAAGTTACATACGACTATCCCTGGTTGTCTGCAGTGTTAACTCGAGTTTAATGCCAATCAGCATCTCTAATCTCCTCCTATCCAATGCTAGAAATGCAAGTAAATGCACCCTCCAGCTCATCCTACATACTTTTTTATATTTTAGCTTCACCTTGCTTTCAGTCATCTCAGTTAATCATCCTCATATCATTGTTGTTACTGATTTTTAATGGCTATGCTTAATTTAGATTTATCTATGTGTTTATCGATTTCTTAGCAACTTTTCCTTCTCATTCCTCCCTTCTGAATTCAGCTTCCATCCTTCTGAAGTACATCCTTTTTATTTTTTTGAGATGAGGTCTTGCTCTGTCGCCCAGGCTGGAGTGCAGTGGTGCAATTACGGCTCACTGCAGCCTCCACCTCCTGGGCTGAAGCGATCATCCCACCACAGCCTCCCAAGTAGCTGGGACTACAGGCGTGCGCCACCACAAATGGCTTTTTTTGTAGAGACAAGGTCTCACCACATTGCCAGGGATGATCTCAAACTCCTGGTCTTAAGCAGTTCTCCTGCCTCAGCCTCCCAGAGTGCTGGGAATATAGCCTGGCCTGAAGTACATCCCTCATAGATGGCCCTTTAGTGGAGAGGTGGTGGCGATAAACACCCTTGGTTTTCTGCTCGTCTCAATATGGCTTTATTTTACCCTGTATGTTGAATAATCTGGTTGGGTGCAAGATTCTAACTTGATGTGAACAAGTTTTGTTTGAAATGTTTTTGAGACATTTAGAATTGTCGACTACTTGCTTCGCTTGAAATCCTCACTCCCTGTTTCCATTTGAATAATTTTCTCCTAGTTATTCCTCTACTTCTCCATACTTCTGAATTCTTTTGACATGGCTATCTTCCTCTGCTGAAGCCTTCAATGCACATCTTCTGCAAGGTTCCTCTTCTAAACTTGCATTTTTTCTTACTCATTTTATAATCTCCTTAAGCAGTTTCATCCACAACCTGATTCCAGGTTTAATAATGAGCCCATGTTTGTTTGTTTGTTTTAATGTCTCCTTAAAGACCTCTGAAATAAATGAATACCAAAAATAAGACAAAATTTTAAGCAACACTGGAAAATAAGAAGAGTTGCCATGAAATCAGAAGTCAAGAGTAATTTCAGAAAATGTGCAGCACGTGAGTTCTGGGCCACTTTTTTTCAAGTATTAGCCAACTTGGGCAGAGGTGGCTATCACCTACAATGATAAACAGAGATTGCATGGTGGTTACACAGGCATACTCTCTTTGTGATATTTACTGACCTTATGGTTTGTGTACTTTTCTAGACATGCTATACTTCAATACAAAAGTTTTTATAAAGAAAAATAAATTTTAAAACCTCCCAACAGCTTCTCAGGAGCTGTAGAAGGCCTCTCCTGCTTTTTTGCAAAGAATGACTACTACCTTTCATTACATTAACATGAATTAATACATAGAGCATGCATAAGGAGGTATCTCTAAGAAAAGTGAAAAAGCAGTAGACTCTATTATTAGCTAAATCTCTCCATTCTAGAAATCTCAGGAAAGCATAGGGTGGGTAGAGGTTGAGTATCACTCATCTGAAATGCTTGGGACCAGAAGTGTTTTGGATTCTGGAATATCTGCATATACTTAATGAGATATCTTGGGGATGGAACCAAAGTCTCATATACACCTTGTATGCACAGCCGGAAGGTGATTTTATTTTTCGCCTGCGGATGCTGAACAGACTGTATGCTGTGAGCCTGCATTCTCACTGTGACCCGTCTCATGCGGTCAGGTGTGAGATTTTCCACTTGTGGCATCATGCTGACATTCAGAAAGTTTCAGCTTCCAGAGCATGTTTGGATTTTAGATTTTTGGATTACGGATGCTCAACCTGTACTGAGAAAACCATGAAGAGATCCTAGAGTACAACGGCTGCTCTTACAAATCAGGAAACTAAGGCTCAGAGAAAGTGATTTTTGCCAAGGCTGCAGAATGGTATTTTTTGATACTAAATCTATTTTCTTTCTACCGCATGATGATTCCTCCATCACAGATCCTAACTCCTAACTACAATATTCACTGTACAGTGTATGTTCAATAAGTGTTATCAAAGGGGAAAAAGCCTGCAGTGTTAGTTAAGTCAATTAATCCAATGAGGTGTTAAAAACAGTTTAACTTGCAGGAGCTAGGAAGTCATCCTTCGTGATAACCAGTATTGGGGAAAGGTGATATTAATATGTATCTCCATCAGTGTTGTCTACTACATATGAAGACACCAAAATCTGAAACTGGAAAGCGTCAGACAGATGCAAAGGAAGTGACCAAACAGGTGTCACAAACATACAGGCGATAAAAATATCTAAGAGATTGGAAGTCAGTCAGGGAAAGAGAGACCAATACTTAATCTTCACATACACTAAGTAATCTGGAAAGCTGATTTTTCGAGGACCAATAGGAGAAATTTATTAATACAAAGTCCTACGGCCTTCTTCTATAGGGAACACAGGTCATACAGTTAACCTACCTCAGTTCCTGGCTTTCGGTGGTGAGGAGAGTAAGAAGCGCCCAGGCGAGGACCTGGCTGTCGTCCCCAGAGTGAAAATGACTGTGATGCCGGATGTTCTGCAGCAGCAGCTGGTCCAGGAACTCCAGGGCCTTCTCCTGCACAGTGCTCTCGCAGTCCATCACCACCGGGACCACCCCCCGCAACCAGGCTTTCTGGATCTGCACGCATCTAGGCTGAGCCTTAGGAGTGAAAGATTATGACATGAGAAGGTCTAAATACAAGTCAGGGAAGTTGTGATCAACATTTTGAGATGTTAAAAATAATCACACCTTCAACTGCAAATAGACCATAGAGTGAAAAAAGAAAAAAATTCAAAAAATATACAAAAGCAAAGCCAGCTTAATGTAAATCACTGCAAACCAAAATTTTAAACTCATACATTAAAGTCACTATTTTACTAGTAGCTACTAGTAAATCAGTACTTTTTTGGTCATTAAAAATCAAGAGCAAATAATAAATATCCCAAAGAGCAATTAGAACAGATGCTGACAGAAAAAGTCAAAATATGCATTGCTTAATGCCTTCTATTATGAAATAAAGAAATAAACATACTTCTAAAATTCTTTGACTAAAATGCTAACTAGTAAACAAAAGTAAATTAAATATAGTACTTGTGAGTCTGCTTTTTTGGCAATATCATCTATCTATGCCCTAATTGACTAAATTTAATCTAGGCCTCTAGCTTAACCAAATCAATTTTAAATTTTATTTTTCTGTGTGAGATTTAAAGTGAAGAAAAGGGCCGGGTGCAGTCACTCATGCCTGTAATCCCAGCACTTTGGGAGGCCAAGGCAGGCGGGTCACCTGAGGTCAGGAGTTCAAGACCAGCCTGGCCAACATAGTGAAACCCTGTCTCTACTAAAAATACAAAAATTAGCCAGGCATGGCAGCACCTGCCTGTAGTCCCAGCTACACAGGAGGCTGAGGCAGGAGAGTTGCTTGAACCTGAGAGGCAGAAGTTGCAGTGAGCTGAGATTGTGCCACTGCACTCTAAGCCTGAGAAACAGAGCAGGACTCTGTCTCAAAAATAATAATAATAACAATAAAGTGAAGAAAGGGCTAACAATTGGCATTCTCTAGCATTAGTTCCTAATTATGTTTAATAGGAAGCACAGTCTATCACACATAATTCAAAAATACCTCCTCCCTTACATTGTACAGTTCTACAGTGGACTTAGTAGAGTTTTTAAAGGTCAACTTAACGTTTAGCAGCAGGTAATTATTGTGTGGAATTACTTTTAATGTAAAATACCATGCATTACATATATAATGTCCTGCCTCTCACCATAAGGAGTTCAGTAAGAGACTGGAGGGCCTGCTTCCGGACAGACACTGCAGGGTCCCGACACTGGTCCTGCAGAATCCACAGGTCTTCCTTCATGCCTGAGACATCACAGTGTTTCAAAATACTCACTAATACCTAGAAGGCATAGACGCAACATGAACTGTTAACTGCATAGCATCAACTCACAAAGATAAACTGTTAACAAAGGAACACTTCCTTTAAGTTTGTGGTTCTTAACATTTTGGGGTCATGGATCCAACCTTCCTCCTCACAACATCCCATTTTTCAGAATCCAATTTGCTAAGGCCTCTCTCAGAGAAAAACAAATTTTATATAAACAAATATTTACAAACTATTTTATGAACCTATTAAAATCCACCCATGGTCCCTAGGTTAAGAATCCCTATTCTAAACAAATTCAGGATATAAATTTGTGGTTCTTAAAAAAATCAGAAACCCTGTAGGAAAGCTTAAAAATAAAAAATCTTCCAGTTCGTCTATGATTCATATACAACAGGATCAGGGTCAACTAACAGTTAGGCGAAAAGCAAATTAAGTAATGAATATGGCCTAAGAGTTTAAAAAATATTCCTTTGCATTTCCAAGTTTTTAGTGCTTAAAAAAAAAAATGTGCAGAGAAAACTCCCACCTGCAGTGCAGACTTCCTAACGTTGGTCTTCTCATCCCTGATCCTCCTTCTCAGCATTGCCATGACACATCTTTCTGTAGAGGGAATACCAAAGGGTCATCACAGCTGGAGAAAAGTCACACAGCAGCTAACATTTCACCACACAATACCCAGAAAATACACTCATCTTAAAGACTCATTAGCTTGTTTTAAATCCTAAGAAATGAGAGTGTGGAAAAAGAAGAAAATGTGAATAATTAGGTATTCACTGTAATGCATATAAACTTTGGAATATTAAAAATTTGGTTTTAAATCTCAGCCCCTACCTCTAAAATTGTGAATGAATTATTTATCTCTTCCATTTTGTTTAGCTACAAATAGGAGTATCTAACCCATAGGATTATTTTAAAGATTTGATGAGGTAATATATAACAGCAGCTTTAAAATGTTTGACTTGAAGACATTTTTTTATAAGAGACAGGGGTCTCATTCTGTCACCCAGGGTGGTGTACAGTGGTACAATCATAGCTCACCGCAATCTCAAATTCCTGGGCTCAAGTAATCCTCTCTCCTCAGCCTCCCAAGTAGCTAGGAATACAGGCATGAGCCACCATGCTAATTTTTTTTTATTTTTCTGTAGAGACAGGACCTTGCTGTGTTGCTCAGGCTGGTCTCGAACTCCTAGCCTCAAGTGATCCTCCCAACTCAGCCTCCCAAAGCAGTGAAATTATAGGAGTGAGCTACCACGCCCAGCCTTGAGGCTTCTTTATATTCTTAAAAATTACTGAGGACCCTAAAGAGATTATATCTTTTAATACTTAGAATCAGAAATTTAAACTGAGAATTGTAAAAATATTTATTAATTCATTTTAAAAGAGCAAGATATGTTACTGTTAGTACTTTTTCATAAAAAATAACTATATTTTCCAAAACAAATAAACTAAAAATAGTGAAAAGGCTGGATGTGGTGGAATGTGCCTATAATCCCAGCTACTGGGGAGACTGAGATCAGAGGATCAACTGAGCCCAGGAGTTCGAGTCCAGCCTGGGCAACACACCAAGACCCGATTTTAAAAAAAAAGAATGGCATTGTTTTAGAGTTTTGCAAACTTTAAAATGTCTGGCTTAATATAAGCCAGCTTATCTCTCATCTGGCTTATATTAAACAGGATTCTCATCTCTGTTTCTACCTGCAATCTGTTGCAATTTGATAAGTCATGGGACCACTGGAAAACTCCAATATACATTCGTGAGGAAATCAGAGTGTGGAAGGCAAATGAACACTGCACTCATTTTTACTTCAAGGACCCCTGAGGGTTCCCAAAACACACTTTGGGAACTGCTTATATATAAGAAGGCAGCTTAAAAAATAAAAGATGGAAAACAATAGAGAAAAATCAATGAAACTAAAAGTAGGTTCCTTGATAAGATCAACAAAACTAATACACCTTTAGCTAGACTGGCGAAGAAAATAAGAAAGAAAATTGAAATTGCTAAAATCAAGAAAGGAGGGACATTACTACTATTAGCCTTACATAAATAAAAAGGATTACAAAGGAATACTATGAACAATTTTATGCCAACAAATTAAGTAGCCTACATAAAAGAAACAAATTTTTAGAACGACAAGTTTTAGAAAGACACAAACTACAGAAACTGACTCAAACAGAAATAGAAAATCTGAATATACCTGTAACGAGTAAAGAAACTAAATTAGTGGCCAGGCGCGGTGGCTCACGCCTGTAATGCCAGCTCTTTGGGAGGCCGAGGTGGGTGGATCACCTGAGGTCAGGAGTTCAAGACCAGCCTGACCAACATGGTGAAACCCTATCTCTACAAAAAATACAAAAAAATTTGCCGGGTGTGGGGGCGGGTGCTTGTAGTCCCAGATACTCAGGAGGCTGAGGCAGGAGATTTGCTTGAGCTGGGAGGCAGAGGTTGCAGTGAGCCAAGACTGTGCCATTGCACTCCAGCCTGGACAACAACAGCGAAACTCCATCTCAAAAAAAAAAAAAAAAAGAAAAGAAAAGAAAGAAAAAGAAACTAAATTAGTAATCAAAAATACTTTACACACACACATACACACACACCCCTTCCTAAGGACCAGACACTTAGTGGAGAATTCTAACAAATGTTAAAGCAAAAATGAACAACAATCCTTCATGAACTCTTTCAAAAAATAGAAAAGAATACACTTTCCAGCTCATCTTAGGTGAGTACTACCCTGATAGCAAAACCAAAACATCTCAAGAAAACAACGGATATAGTTTGAGTATTTGTCCCCACCCAAACCTCATGTTGAACTGTAACACCCAGTGCTGGAGGCGGGGCCTGGTAGGGGTGTTTGGATCACTGTGGCAGATCCCTCGCAGCTTGGTGCTGTCTTCAGGACAGCAATACTGAGTGAGTTCTTGTGAGATCTGGTCATTTAAAAGTGTGTGGCACCTTCCCCCTGACTCTTTCTCCTGCTCCCACCATGTGAAACGCCTGTTCCCTTTTGGCTTTCTGCTATGATTCTAAGCTTCCTAAAGCCTCCCCAGAAACAGATGCCAGTGCTATACTTTCTGTACAGCCTGCAGAACCATGAACCAATTAAATCTCTTTTCTGATAAATTACCCAGTCTCACATCTTTTTTTTTTTTTTTTTTTTTGAGACAGAGTCTCACTCTGCTGCCCAGGATGGAGTGCAGTCGCATGATATTGGCTCACTGCAACCTCTACCTCCCAGGTTCAAGTGATTCTCCTGCCTCAGCCTCCTAAGTAGCTGAGATTACAGGCACCTGCCACCATGCCCAGCTAATTTTTGTATTTTTGGTAGAGATGGGGTTTCACCATGTTGGCCAGACTGGTCTCGAACTCCTGACCTCAAGTAATCCATCCGCCTTGGCCTCCCAAAGTGCTGGGATTACAAGCATGAGCCACCACGCCTGGCCACGTATTTCTTTATAGCAATGCAAGAATGGCTTAATACAACAGACCAATATTCCTTATGAATATGACACCAAAATTCTCAACAAAATACCAGCAAACCAAATCCAGCAAGATACAACCATGCTTGGGATTTATCCCAGGAATGAAATGTCAACCTGTGAAAAATCAATCAATGTAAATTACAGCATGGTAACAGAACAAAGAAAACCACACAATCATCTCAAAATAGATGCAGAGAAAGCATTTGCAAATTCCAACACCTTTCCATGATAAAAACTCAGCAAGCTTGAAATGGAAGGAAACTTCCTCATATTGATGAAAGTCATACTAAAAACCTCACAGCTAACGTCGTACTCAGCGGTGAAGACCAAAAGCTTTCCCCCTAAGTAAAGAAAAAAGACAAAGAAGTCTACTCTTTGACTTCTTTTCAACATCATTCCACAGACTGTAAACCAAAAATAAAATTCTAAGGCTCTCCAACCATCTGAATGGACTTCCTCCTCAGCCAGGGCACTCTAAAATTTAACCTGAAGACTGGTTCAGACCATGACGGGATGTGGGGGTCAGACATGCCTCATTATACCCTCCAGCATTAACATCAACACAGTCTTTAAGTCTGATAAGAAACGTTTACAATCTATTCTCTCTGAAGCCTACTATCTGAAGGCTTCCTCTGCAGTAATGAACTTTAGTCTCCACCACCCTTTATCTTAACCCAGACATTCCTTCCTATTGAACCCAGTTCTTTAGACAAACTCAGCCAATTTTCAACAAGAAAAATTTAAAATCTACCTATAAGCTGGAACCCTCCCCACCTTGTCCCTGCCTTTTGGGACCAAACCAATGTATCTATTAAACGTATCTGATTGATGTCTGATGCCTCCCTAAAGTGTATAAAACCAAGCTGCACCCAACCACCTTGGGCACATGTTCTCAGGACCTCCTGAGGGCTGTGTCACGGGCCATGGTCACTCACATTTGGCTCAGAATAAATGTCTTCAAATATTTTACAGAGCTTGACTCTTTCTGTCAACAAATAGGTAAGAAAAAGAAATGAAAGATATCCAGATTGGAGAGGAAGAAGTAGAACTACCTCTATTTACAGATGACTTGTTCTTATATCAAGAAAATCCTAAGGAATCCACAAAACAATCATTAGAGCTCGTAATGAGTTTGGCAAGGTTGCAGGACAGAAGATCAATTATCAAAAATAATTTGTAAAAACTAGCAATGAACAATTCAGAAATGAAATTAAGAGAGCAATTTAATTTGCAATACTATTGAAAAGAATAAAAACACTCAGGACAAAATTTAAAGAGCAACAATGGTTCACTGAAAACTACAAAACATCACTGATACAAATTAAAGACCGAAAGAAATAAAAAGACATCTGGTGTTCATGGATTAGAGGAATTAACAAACGAACATGGCAACACTCCCCAAACTGATGTACAGATCAATCCCTATCAAAATCCAAGATGGCTTTTTTTTTCTTGCAGAAATTGGCAATTAATCTTAAAATTCATATGGAAATACAAGGGACCCAGAATAGCCAAACTAATTTTAAAAAAGAACAAAGGGACAGGAGGAGAACTCATACTTCCTGATTTAAAATTGACTATCACAGGATACTATGTTAACACCAAAATATGACTCTGACATAAAAATTATTTCTGGGAAGACAGTTAAAGCAGACAATTAACAAGCAGCAGCAAACAGAGAAAAAGCTCTGTCTATCCTTTCCCTTTTCTTTATTTATATGGGCAGTATATAAATTCTCCTTTACACACGGGGTCTCTGGACCCTTATCAGCCCAGAGCAATTCACAAAACTCACTCCATTGTTTTCCTCCCACATACAGGCAGTCCCTGACTTAGGATTTTCTGATTTTGCAATAATGTGACAGCAATGCACATTCAAACCATACTTTGAGTTTTGAATTCTGCTCACTTCCTAGCTAGTGACATGCAGAATGATACACTCTCACGATGCTGGGCAGCAAGAGTAGCTCCCCGTCAGCCACCCCATCAAAAGGGGACAACAGAGAGTCTCCAGTGTACTGTACTGCCAGCATTTTTTGGATATGGTGTTTTGTGTTACGTAAGTGGAGTTCTAAGCCCTCAGTTACTTTGCATTGAGATCTCTCCCGCATAACACGCACTAGACATGTTAATAAACTTGTTTGTCTTGTTATGGGGATCCATCCCGAGGAAGAACTCATGAGGACTGAAGAAAAAATTATTTCCCCTCTCCTACGCTAGAACGCAACGGCAATCAACACAATGTGGTACATAAAGACAGATATATAGATTAATGAAATAAAATTCCATTAATATAGAATATAGAGCACACAAATAAGCTCATGAGCTTATACAAGTCAGTCAAGTGATTTTTTTACAAGGGTGCCAAGACACTCACAGGTGAAGGAACAGGCTGAAAGAAACAGTGCTATGTCAACTGGATAGTCACATGCAAAGGAGTGAAGGTGGACCCCCTATATCACACCATATTCAAAAATTAACTGAAAATTGATCAAAGACCTAAATGTGAGAGCTAAAACTATAAAACCCTTAGAAGAAAACACAGGAGTAAATCTTTGTGACTTTGGATTACACAACGATTTCTTAGCTATGTGATACCAAAAGCATGAGTAAAAAAAGAAAAAGATAAATTGGACTTCATCAAAATTAAAATGTTTTGTGCCTCATAGAATACCATTTGAAAAGACAACCCACAGACTGGGACAAGTCTTTAAAAATCATATATCTGATAAGGTATATATATAAAAATAACTCTTTCAACTCAAAAATAAAAGATAACCCAATTAAAAAATGGGCAAAGAGCTTGAATAGACATTTCTCCAAAGAAAACGTATGTATATGGCCAATAAGCCTATGAAAATTTACTCAACATCATTAGCCATTAGGGAAATGTAAATCAAAACCACAAGCAGATACCACCTCATACCCACAAAGATGGCTAAAATAAAAAAGACAGACATGGCAAGTGTTGGTAGGAATGCAGAGAAATAGGATTATCATACGTTGCTAGCAGGATTGTAAAATGGTGTGGCCACTTTGAAAAAGTGTGGTGGTTCCTCAAAATGTTGAATATAGAGTTACCATACGACCCAGCAGTTCTCCTCCTAGGTATACACTCAGAGGGAATGAAACCACACATCTATACAAAAACTCATACAAGAATACTTACAGCAGCATTAGTCACAATAGCCAAAAAGTGAAAACAACCCAAATGTTCATCAACTGATGAATGCATAAACAAAATGTGGTGTATCCTTATAACTGACTATTACTCAGCACAAAAAGGAATGAAGTACTGATAGATGCTATAACATGAATGAGCCTTGAAAACACGCTATAGGTGAAAGAAGTCAGACACAAAAGACAACACAGTACATGACTGCATTTATGCGGAATGTCCAGAATAGGCAATTTTTTTTTTTTTTTTTTGGACAGAGTCTCGCTCTGTCAACAGGCTGGAGTGCGGTGGCGCAATCTCGGCTCACTGCAACCTCCACCTCCTGGGTTCAAGCGATTCTCCTGCCTCTGCCTCCTCATAGCTGGGACTACAGGTGTGTGCCACCACGCCCAGCTAATTTTTTGTATTTTAGTAGAGACGGGGTTTCACCATGTTGGCCAGGATGGTCTCGATCTCCTGACCTCGTGATCCTCCTCCCGTCTCGGCCTCCCAATGTGCCAGGATTACCGGTGTGAGCCACCACGCCTGGCCCAGAATAGGCAATTTTATAAGGAAAGAAAATTACTGGTTGCCAGTGTTAGGAGGAAAGGGGCATGGGGAGTGACTGCTAATGGCTATGGGGTTTATTTTTCAGCTGATGGAATGTTCTGGAATTAGTCTGTACAATCTTGTGACTATACTAAAACAACTACATTATACACTTTCCATGGTGAACTTTATGGTGTGTGAACTCTGCCTTAATAAGAAAAAGCAAAGAGAGCAAAGTGCATCTAAGTGACTATACAAAATTTTTAATGTACAATTAATGCCAACAATATATGTCCTTTCAGCTTATGAACAATGCACTGGAAACATGGGCTCTTTGCGTCCCCGAACTTTCATAATTTTTAAGCATCATTAAATCACCTCAACTTGATATTGCTTGAAAAAGTCTGTGCCACCGTAAATCCGTAACCTGTTTAGACGAAGTCTGGAGCCAACACAAACATTCAGCATTTTTCCAGAGTACATTTTCCTACCACATTTAGAAAACCTGTTTATTATAAATGTAGTTATCGCTCTGAATTGGAGTAATACATGCTAATATCTAGCCTCCTGAACCCAATTTCACGCTGACCTTCTAGGCTGAATAATAAAAGCAGTAATGTAATCATCCTCAGGGCGCTTTCTGTGCATCTCGGCACCTATCTCAGTGTTCCGCATACATGTGTGCACAATTGTATATATGAGAACACTTGTGTGCACAAGCACCTGTCTCTCCACTGATCCTTAAGAGATGGAGCTCTGTCTCACAGACTTGTGCATCTCCAATGCCTGGAACGCATCGGGAAGGACCAGATCAAGGTTTATTGAATAAATTAATAAACCCAATTATGTAATTAATCCTCTACGTACATGCTCTTTCTCTCTCTTATCTGTGTCTCTCTCTCTTTAAATCACTTTCTTAAATGTTGTTTCTACAGACTTTCCCAACAGTCGTCTGGGAAAGATGGGAGGGTGTTACAACCGGAAAACGACAGGTATACCCCTAGATCATGCAGCTATTTAGTAACTAAGCTGGTACAAAAAAGCAGACTGCCCTGCAGTGTTATTTTCATTTTTTAATTTTTTAAACAGACTGTCGCCCAGGCTGGAGTACAGTGGTATGATCAGAGCTCACTGTAGCCTGGAACTCCTGGGCTCAAGCCATCCTCCCACCTCAGCCTCCTGAGTAGCTGGGACCACAGGGGCACACCACCACGCCCAGCTGATTTTTATATATATTTTTTAAGAGATGGGGTCTTGATGTGTTGCCCAGGCTGGTCTTGAACTCCTGGGCTCAAGTGATCTGCAGGCCTCAGCCTCCCAAAGTGCTGGGATTATGGGATTACAGGCATGAGTCACCACGCCCAGCCAGCTGTTTCAACTCTTAGGGGTGAATAAATCAGAAAAAAAAAAAAAAATCCAAGGTTTTAGACTCTACTTACGGTTGTCTGAAATCCAGCAGTATTACCTATCTGACAGTGATAAAATCTGACATACCTCCAGATCCAACTGTTTCACCACTGCTGTCTATGTTGATCTCCCCTGAGGGTTCGGAACGGTTAGATGTCTGCCTTTGGTAGGAAAAAGCTTTAAAAAAAAAATTACAGTCATTAAGCTAAAAATGTGTTATACTTTTAATAACATTAGCAGGGCATGTTACTCATTTAAGTTACAACATTATTACTGAAATGAATTTCAACCTCTCTCATGAAAAAAGTACAATGTTAAAGCAGGTAAATAAGGAGGTAAGAAAAACATTTTAAATATTCCACAAATTTTTAAAAGATAATCATTCAATATTTGAAAATGTATTGATCCATTACCTGATGAATTTCTCAGTAAGGTACCAGGGTGACTCTCTATTACAGAAAACGTAGGACCTAAAAACAAGAAGAAAGATAAGAAGGAAGAAGTCAGTATCATAAACTGAGTAATTATCCACGGAGGAATCAAAATCAAGATAATTAGGCTCAAAGACAAGGCAGACAGATTCTAAATTGCTGACAACTGATAACGTTCTCCTTGGGTATGCATTGAAACGGAGATTCATCCTAATACGACCAATGCCCACCAATGCAAAGCAACAGTAAAGGTAGCCACCAATGTCACCTCTCAGATATGAACATCTGAAATACTTTTAAAAGGCCTTGCAAATGTATCAGGCTTGCCTATTTAAAAAGTTATTTGGCAAGAAAATATACTAAAAATGGTTTTGAGAGTAAAAATAGATCATGCCATACCTATTACTTTTGCCACAGAAAAGAACGATTCCCTTGCAGTCTATTTCTCAATGAGCACAAGACCGGTTTACTGTCCCAATAGTCGCCATACTCACTGTTAATCAGGAGCTCCAGGATACTCTCCGACGCACTGGTAACAGTCAACTCCAGACAGTGTGCAAAGCTGGACAGTGCCTTGCTGCGGACAGTAGGCGCCTTGTCTAAGCAACGATCAAACATAATTTCCTGCACCAGGAACTTATGCTTTAAGAACTTCTGATGCTCCAAGGAGAGGGTGTTATCCACCTCTCTTTCAGGCAGTTCTAACAGAGCTAAGACAACATCAAGAGTAAAAACCCGGTGTGGGATCTGGTAAAGCAAGATCATAAGAATTGCCATCAGATAGGAGTAAGAACCAAAGAACCCTCCTCATTCAGACCTAGAAAAAGAGACCCTTTTAAAAAGAGTTTAAAAAGGACCCAAGGTTTTATGCAGAGCTATCTCCTACCTTGGAACTTCGGGAGTATTTGTAAAGCCAGGCAATGAACATAGCGTATTCCCCACAAGGAAGTTTACTGAGCAGCTGGACTAGGGACTGGGCTGCAAAAGTACGATACTCTGATTTATCTACCACCTGAAAAGCAAAAAGAGAAGTTGACCAACCAATATCCACCCGCAGGATGGCTGAAACATATTCTGTAATATAAGTTGAAAGTCAGTGAGTACAACTAGTTCAATGACCTTTAAATGTTACGTAAATGACTAATAAATTTTAGGTTTTAGAACACTTCAAAACTAATCTAAAGGAAATCTATAAACCATCTCTCCAGAAAAATGCACATACAAATTTAGTATACAATTTCAGAGAGTTTTTAGATCCCCAGGTTTCATAAGGTTCAAATTAAGAATCATTTGTCTAAATGGTTATAAAAATGTAGAGATCATCATGGAAATTTGAACACTGGATGTTTGATAATATTAAGGAATTACCGTGAAAGGATATGATGGAATTTGCTTCAAAACACAATCCAGTATACACATGTTGGGGGATGTGGGGTAGGGGTTTAAGTGACACAAAACTGTGGAACTCGGTGATGGGTATGTGGTGGTTCACCAGCCTATTTTCCCTGTTTCTGTGTGTATGTTCAACATTTTTCCAAAACAAAGTTTTTTTGTTTTTTTGTTTTTTATAGAACACTTTTGTCTAGGGGACCATCTAGTGAACATTAAATAAAACCACTTTAAGTAACAATGCACACTCATTCCCAAGAACAAATACCCACACTCACACACACACACACACATTTATCTTCACACACGATATACTTCCATGTTATTAATATTACTAAGGCAAACAGTACCTTGGCACAGATGTGCTGCAGTAAGATACGGACGACTGGGAATATACTCTCCTTTAATTCATCCACAAGGGCGCTTTGTAAAAGAAAAACACATCTACTGTTCACAATACAGTCAGCGACTGTCCCCAAAAACCACTACTCCTATATTTAGAAATCCTAGTTATTAAAACACTCTACCTCACGCTATAAGAGTGGTTTCAGTAGAATGAAGAGTGAAGACATAAAATGTCATCGTAGAAAACTGTGAAGTAGTTCCCGTGCAGTTTTGAGAGCTGCTGCAGAGTAGCTAAGTCATCAGGTAAGAACAAAAATGTAATCTTCATACAATTCTTTTGACTACTTACTAAATTTCATATGAAGATGTAAAATATATCCTTTGGGGATAAATATAAAAATTGACTAAGACACAGTACCACCTCATGGTAGCTCAGTGAAATGCATTAGTAACATTACTTCTCCAAACTTTAACCCAATAAGAAATTTCTTTTTTTTTTTTTTGTAGATGGAGTTTTGCTCTTGTCGCTCAGGCTGGAGCGCAATGGTGTGATCTCGGCTCACTGCAACTTCCCCCACCGGGTTCAAGAGTTTCTCCTGCCTCAGCCTCCCGAGTAGCTGGGATTACAGGTGCCCGCCACCACGCCTAGTTTCTGTATTTTTTAGTAGAGACAGGGTTTCACCATGTTGGCCAGGCTCGTCTTCAACTCCTGACCTCAGGTGATCCGCCCGCCTCGGCCTCCCAAAGTGCTGGGATTACAGGCATGTGCCACCGCGCCCCGCCTCAAGAAGAAATTTCTACAATGCCCAGACTTGATCCATTTTTAGTGATGTTTATCTGTAACATTACATGAAGACTATTGCGACTGGCATATGAGAAACTCTCATGGAAAAAACGAAACGATCGTGTTTTCACTTAAAACATTTTAGTTACTTAATGTTTTAAAAAGTCCTTAGTGAGAGACATTTGCTCAGTCACAAGATGACGTCATACACACCCCATGTCTCCAACTACCCTGCACACTGTGCACACCCAAGGCATGCACACACTTGCACATGCACACCATGTCTCGGCACCACCTCCACACTGCACGCCAAAAATCAGTGAAGGAGGGAAGGAAAAGCCAACAACGCAGCAAACATGTCCTTGCCAGTGAAACTAAGGCATGAGAGTTTTTAAGTGAAGCTGAGTGACCCATGAGAGGAAAAGTAGTCTAACACTTATTGCTACGGAGGTAAAAAGCAACTCAATCCTTTCCTTCAAGTCATTTCTACAGAGGGAAAGGAATAGAAAAGTGCAAAGAAACAAGAAGAAAGTGGCAAAGAACAAAAGCAAAGAGCTGCAAAGTAGAGAGCAACAGAAAAGGGAAAGAGGTGAACTGGCTGCAATGAAGCAGACAAGGGAAAGGAGGAGAGGCCACCATCCTCTCTCTGAGGCTGACCCACATATTGAGCGCAAACAAGCTGGAGGCTGGCGCTGGCCCGTGTTCTGCAGATTCCTATCTCTTTAACAGTGCCCCAGCTGGGAGCCTACCAACAGAGACCCAGACACATAAAGCACATTAGCTACGAAGTGCTTGGTTTTCACCCCCAAAACCACCATCAGGCCAGAAATTTTAAGTCTACATGTATCAGAAATCTTAGTGCAGGGCCCAGAGTACTGAGGGAGACTGACAGGGTGAAAATTCACGATTTGTGTGCTTCACCTGATAAACTGGACCGCCTGGTTTCTACAGTTGATGACTTGGGAGGTAACAGCAAGGGGGGCACGATGGGATCCTTCACCAACTTCTAACATTAATATTACACTGAGCATTTGATGGAAAACACAACTGATGACCTAGAAGAGAAAAGAAAATTCAATTTAAGATCGGATGGAGAACACAAGGGTCTCAGACATAGTGATGCAGACTGTAGTAAACCATTTCAAGCCATCTGAAGGTAGGTCAGGCTGGCATAATTGCTGGCTGAACACTAGGGATATATTTCTTAAACAATGAGCAGGGATACAATAAATGCACAATGTAAACAGTGTGAAAGAATGGCTGACAGATGATATGTCTGATAAAAACAATACCTAGTTTCTCTCCCCACCCTTTGCATATCATAACCCAGAATTTAGGACAAATAGGGAATTAACTGTCATTTACATAGGGCAAAGAATGCTACTAATGTTCCCTTATTCAAAAGGGGAAAGAACGATACTTTACACCTGCTTTTTGCCTCCAGTTTACAAAGCACTTTCCAACATATTATCTCATATAACATAGTCACTAATTAATTTATTCATCCAATAAATAAAACATTTACTGAAAACCAAGTAAGTGGTAGGTATTGCATTAAGCACTTTCATCTACATAGCTAGATTTTACTATATATATATAAAATATACATTTAATTTTAAACCTTACAACAATTCCATAATGTAAGCAGGACATGTATAATTTCCACTTCACAGATAATTAAAAAAAGCTCCAAAGGTGAGCTGTCCAAGATCAAATAATTAAAAATAAGGCTAAAAACCAACATTGCCTGACATCAAGTCAGTACTTTCACAATTAAAAAAAAATACCGACTGGGCGCAGTGGCTCACGCCTGTAATTCCAGCACTTTGGGAAACCAAGGAGGGTGGATCACGAGGTCAAGAGATCAAGACCATCCTGGCCAACATGGTGAAACCCCATCTCTAAAAATACAAAAATTAGCTGGGCATGGTGGCGCGCACCTGTAGTCCCAGCCACTAGGGGGTGCTGAGGCAGGAGAATCACTTGAACCTGGGAGGCTGAGGTTGCAGTGAGCCGAGATCATGCCACTGCACTCCAGCCTGGTGTCAGAGCGAGACTGCGTCTCAAAAAAAAAAAAAAAAAAAAAAAAACCATCTTTAGAGACACAGTAGACCTAAAGGGATGAATTTTCCCACCTATGTTATTGTTTAAAATATTTAAAAGGGCATGCGAATTAAAAACATTACTGTAAATGTTATCACATTCATATTTCAAGCACACAGAAGTGATAAAGATACTAAACTTATAAAATACCGAATGTTTCTAAACAACAGGCATTGTGCTCGGTAGGCGGCCTGCTCAACTTCATTTAATCCTGTGACAAATCGATAAAGAAGGTAGACTTTGGTCCTTTTTGTCCATAAGTGAAATCTAACGCTTTAGCCAGGGTGAATGGCTCATTCAAGGACCCACAGCTAGTAAGTGGTGAAGTCAGAAAGCAAACACAGATGTGCGGAACCCCCCAAGCATCCCCAAAAATATCTTCGTAACCAGGTTACTGCCTCTGCAAGGTAACGCGTCGCAGATACCAAAAGCCACATGACCTTGGTCCAACACATTTTTTTGCAAAATCTTATTGTTTCATTTAAGACATCTAAGTTTAGTAACAGCATCATGCGCAACTAACTCTAACTGCAAAGTTTCTAGTAGTAGTGGCGTTCAGGTAACCTGGAGGCAAAACCCAGGTATCCATGCTGACCACGGGTGACAACCTACAAAATTTCCATAGCATATCAACACAAATAATACAACTACCAATAGAAATACTGAAGCGCACATGAATTGCCAAGGGAAACTTGAAAATTCTCTGACTATTCTACTTTTTAGAATGATTTGGGAAATATTCCTATAGAAGTAAGTGTTCAGCAGCTCATCTGTTCCTATAGAAGTAACTGTTCAGCAGTTTATCTGTTCCTCCTATTTCATTCACAGCAGAACCATTTTTTCTAACTGGAGCCTAACAATAATTTGCTGCAGCCACCAAGTATTCAGATATAAAGTTGGCAATAAAGAACAGAGAGCAAATAGAAATAGTGATACTTTTTATTATGCAAATAATATAAGGTCATGAAAATGAGCTAGTAAATTGAAATGGCATTATATCAAATGCTTTTAACATATTTCCATCATATGGTTCATGTGCCTTCGATTCAACTAGTAACCAAATTAGGTTCTCATCTCCTTTACCTTATCTCCTTCTCCATGAATGGGAGAGCACAGCAAATACAATCCATAATAAGCCAGTTCTGGTATGTATTTTGCTTGGTTAAGAGCTCTAAAAAAAAAAGACGAAATATTAGTTAATGGATATGATTTTACTTGGAATATTTCTTAGTCCTACAAGCCATGTTTAAATGAATAAATTCTACCTGTGTGCCAATTGGGATAAAATGGTATTTCCATTTCTGCTGGAGCAAAAATTGGTACACTATACTTAAATTGTAGCACTGGAAGATTTAATGGCTCACCTGGCTTGTGTAACATGACATTCATGAAGAACTGGCTCAAAATTAGTTAATGAAACAAAGACCTAGAAAACAGATATGAAGAAAAGGCCTGATTTTTTCTACTGATCAGGTATTAGCCATAGTCTAATCCTTTGAAGTTGCCCTAAGGTTCCTGGAATTTTCACTTACCTCTATACAATTCTGTACACATTGTGGCTTTTCTTTCAAGGAAAACTTTGGCAGAAGCCTTAAAAAATTCTTTAAAAGGTGAAAGATGGCATTTCGAATTTGAGAAAGGTCCCGGGCAGAAAAACAAATATTCTCATCTTCTTGTTCTTCTATAATTTCATCCATCTAGATTATGAAGAAATGTACAGGTGACTGTAATAAATGCCAAACACTTTGTCCCATGGTTTTCAATTTACCCAAACCAAGCCCAGATAAACTCCAGGCAGGAGCTGATGTTGAGGTGATATGACTTTGACCAGGTCGCATGACTGTTCTAGGTCTCCTTGGCCACAACAGTAAATCACTGGACTAGATGACCGCTACAGTAGTTTCTAGTTTTGTGTCAATGAGGAATCCTTTTTTTCAGAATTTTTGCTGTCTATGAAATTCTGTCATTCTACCGTGTCACATAAGAATATGGAATTAGGCTGGGTGTTGTGGCTCATGCCTGTAACCCCAGCGGGAGGCCAAGGTGAGTGGATCACCTGAGGCCAGGAGTTCGAGACCAGCCTGGCCAACATGGTGAAACCCCATCTCTACAAAAAAATGCAAAAATTGGCTGAGTGTGGTGGCGCATGCCTGTAGCCCCAGCTACTCGGAAGGCTGCAGCAGGAGAATCACTTGAACCCATGAGGTGGAGGTTGCAGTGAGCTGAGACTGCACCACTGCACTCCAACCTGGGCGACACAGCAAGACTCTGTCTCAAAAAGAAAAAGAAAAAGAAAAAAGGAAGAAAGTAAGAAAGAAAGAAAAATTATATGAAGCCGAAGACACAAAGCAGTATTGGATAGCTTATGATGGTTTAGGACCATTTGCCTATAATCATGATGCCTGAAACCATGTTTAGTATAAAGTCAATCCTTAAATAAAGCAAATCGTGTGTTGGTATATATGTTTTATACTCAACTTACTTCTTACCTCAATATCTTCTCTCCTGGGTGGCTTTCCCCTTTTTCTATGCCTCCCGGGGTTAGCCTGAGAGCTCTTAGGCTGTTCTTTCTTTCTTTTCCGATTCAAGTTAGATTCCTGGGGCCAGCTCTTCTTTAGAGTCTGAATGCATTTGTCAAACATCACTGGGTGGAATACTTGATTGGCTACACTGCCTATTCATGAGGAATAAAGAGTAAGCAAGTTAGATTTAATTGTCTTGAAATATATCTATAACATCAGATGAAAAGTTACAAAGCAAAACACAGGCTTTTCATGACTGTGAATAACAATGAACCTGTAGCAAGAGTACCATTTGCAACGTCAGCCTTAGTAGAGGAGACAGCGCTGCATCAGAGGTAAGTAACAAGATTTCCAAATCTGGCCAGGACAGAGGAACTGGCTTTACACTTGTTAACGACTAGAAAACTGGGCAAAAATTTATAAAGTAACAATTTAAGACACTGGGCACCAGGCAGCATAAGAAGGGCAATCCCTGAAAAAAGGGAAACAGAGGTAAACCCTCAAGTTGCCCCAGTATTGTATCCAGAGGGAATTTCTGGACAACGGCAGAGAAATGGTAAATCCACACAAATTATAATGGTCTTACTATGTTGAAAAAGCAGAGTCAGAAAGACAGGGTAGATGGAATTTATAGAACAGAAGAACCTACACAGAAAAAGAGTTCTAGAAATCGGCCCAGGGCTGAACATAAGCTACACATGCACAGGGTAAAATTCTAAGACAGAGAGCAAAGAAGTATTTCCAAGGAGCAAGAAGATGAATTATTTTCACAACTCACACAAGGCTCAGATACATTTGAGTTGTGGCCAGCCAGAGTGGAGTGATCTTGTTAAACACCTAGAGCATTCAGTAGAGACCTCAGAACAAACACACCTTAACAGTAGGGCTAAACCCGATATAGCATAAAGGCTACTTTACATCAGCTCTAATAAAGCTTTAAAACAAGCCTCAAAAGGATCAAGTTAATCCACCAATAGCTGCCTATCAAAACATACTTCAATAGTATTTAAAGGAAAACAACAAAATCCAGACACTCAACAACATTCCAAATGCCCAACATCCTGGCTAAGGGCAGTGGCTCATGCCTGTAATTCCAACACTTTGGGAGGCTGAGGTGGGCAGATCACTTGAGTCCAGGAGTTTGAGACCAGTCTGAGCAACACAGCAAAACCCTGTCTTTACAAAAAATACAGGGGGAAAAAAAACAACACAAAATGTCCAGCATCCAGTAAAAAAATTACAGGGAGTGCTAAAAAGCAGGAAAATGTGCCCCATAAGAAAAATCAGTCAATAAAAACAGCCCAGGAAATGACAGAGATAATGGAACCAGCTGACAACAACCTTAAAGCAGCTCAAGAATTAAAAGTAAAACATTATCATGAGGAGAGAAATGAAAAAAAAAAATTTTAAAGAAGCAAACAGAACTTCCTTGATCTGAAAAAGAAACATTCACTAGATGGGCTTAATAGTGGCTTGGTTATTACTGAAACAAAGATAAGTGAACTTGAAGATACAGCAGGAGCGTAGAAACCAAAAAGCTAATAAAGACTCAGTGACCCATGGGAGAACATCGTGCAGTCTAACACAGGAGTGACTGAAGTCCCAAAAAAGGGGAAGGAAGACAACATTTGGAGAAAAAGTCACTAAAAAATTTCCAAGTTTGTTGAAACTATAAGTCCACAGATCCAAGAAGCTCAATGAACCCAATCGCAATAAGCACAGAGGCAATCACAACAAAGCATAGATAATCCCACCAAAAAGCAAAAAAAAGTTAACTCAGAATTTTATATTCAGCAAAAAGATTCTTGAAGGTGAAATAAAGATATTTCACACAATCAAAACCTGAGAGGGTTTATGGCTTGCAGACCTGCACTAAATGTTTAAAAATAAAAAGTTCTTCAGGCAGAAGGAAAATTATAGGAGATTAATCTTTCAAATATAAAAGCTGTTTATCTTGTTTCTAAAAAATTCTATAAAAGATAAATAAGCATTAATGAAATGTAGGCTTTATAACATGTAGAAAAAATAACACACAAGAGGAGAGGAGAAAGGAAAATATACTTTTTGTTGTTTTGTGTGTGTGTGTGTGTGTGTGTGTGTGTGTGTGTTCCACTGGAGTCTGGATCTGTTGCCCAGGCTGAAGTACAGTGGCGTGGATCTCGGCTCACTGCAACCTCTACCTCCTGGGTTCAAGTGGTTCTCCTGCCTCAGCCTCCTGAGTAGCATGCGTTACCACATTGGGCTAATTTTCATTTTTTGTTTTCTTTTTTGGTAGAGATGGGTTTCACCATGTTGGCCAGGCTGGTCTAGAACTCCTGACGTCAAGTGACCTGCCGGCAGCAGCCTCCCAAAGTGCTGGGATTACAGGCATGAGCCACCTCACCCAACCTAGGAAAATACACTGTTTTAAGGTTGTTCTTACATCATATATAAATTGGGAGAATATTATCTGAAGATAAACTGTGAGAAGTGCCTACTGCATACACAAAGCAAGCACATAAAACATACACATACATGCAAAAGAGTATAGCTAATACACCAAAAGAGACAAGGGATACTAAAATCCAAAACAAGGCAGGAAGAGGAAAAAATTGAGCAAAAAACAGGTTTAAAGAAATAGAAAATAAATAGAAAAATGGCAGAAACCCAGCTACATTGATAATTACTCTAAATGTAATCAGCTAAACAATTTAAACATTCTGATACAAAAGCAAACATTGTCAGAAAGAAGCATGACCAAATGGGCTGGGTGTGAGGGCTCATGCTTACAATCCCAGCCCTTTGGGAGGCTGAAGCAGGAGGATCACTTGAGGCCAAGAGATTGCGACCAGCCTGGGCAACAACATAGCGAGACCCTGTCTCTACAAAAATAAAATAAAGTAATAATAATTAGCTTGTCATGGTGACTCACACTTGTAGTTCCAGCTATTCTGGAGGCTGAGGAGCCCAGGAGTTCAAGGTTAAAGTGAGCTATGATTGCCACTGCACTCCAGCCTGGGTGACAGACTGAGACCCTGGACCTCTCTTTTTTTTTTCTGAGACAGAGTCTCACTGTCACCCAGGCTGGAGTGCAGTGGCACGATCTCAACTCACTGCAACCTCTACTGCCTGGGTTCAAGCGATTCTCCTGCCTCAGCCTCCCGAGTAACTGGGATTACAGACGTGTTACCATATCCGGCTAATTTTTGTATTTTTAGTAGAGACGGGGTTTCACCATGTTGGCCAGGCTGGTCTTAAATGCCTGACTTCAAGTGATCCGCCCGCCTCAGCCTCCCAAAGTGCTGGGACTACAGGTGTGAGCCACCGTGTGTGGCCTCGTCTCTCTTAAAAAAAAAAAAAAGAAAAAGAAAAGCCATGACCACGTGACAGGCAGTCTACAAGAAAACCTTTAAATATAAACATATGGATAGGTTACAAATAAAAGCATGAGAAATGATGTACCAACCAAGGACAAATCTTAAGATAACTATAGTGGCTATCTTAGTATTAGACAAAGTAGACTTCAAGACAAGGAATATAACCAGACAAACAAGGACATAACATAATACTAAAAGGACCAATCCATCAGGAAGACATGACAATCATAAATACATCTGTATCCGTCAGACTTTCACAATATCTTAAGTTAAAAGAACTGAGAGGAGAAATAGATAAACTGATAATTATTCTTAGAGATTCCAACATTCCTCTCTCAACAACAGATAGAACAAATAAACAGAACATCAGGAAGCATATGTAAGTCTTGAATAACATTTGTAACCAACTTGACCTAACTGACATTTACAGAATACTAGATCCAACAAAGGCAAGGTACACATTCTGTTAAAGTGCAAATGGAAGATTCACCAAATTAGACTCTAAGTCCATTAAAAAAAAAGGCACAACTAAATAATTTAAAAGTATCATAATCATATGAAGTATGTTCTCTGATCCCACCAATTAAAACTCAATTACAGTAAGATTTCAGGAAAGTTCAAATATTTGGAAAATAAACTCAATTTACTAAACAACTCAGAGATGTAAGTAATGACAAGAAAAATTTGAAAATCACTTTGGCCTGCACAACAGTAAAAACATATCATCGAAATTTGTGGGATGCAGATGAAGCTGTACCTGGAGGGACATTTATAGTATTAAATACTTGTATTAGAAACAAAGAAATGCATGTGAGAACAAAGATCTAAGCATCTACCTTAAAAAGTCAGAATAAGAGCAAATTAAACCCAAAGTAAGAAGAAAGGAAATCGTAGACATAAGACCAGAAATCAATGAAACAAGAAAGGGACAAACAACAGAATTTAATTAATGACATCAAAAGGGGGCCCTCCAAAATGAACAGTAAAATGAATAAATCTCGATCTAGATTGATCAAGAAAAAACAAAATACAAATCACCAACATCAGGCATGAGAGGAGATCACTAGAAATTCTACAAACATAAACTTCTTTCAAAAAACTCCAGGCCCAGATGACTTCACTAGTGGGTTCTACCAAACATCTGAAGAAAAAAGAAAACCCAAAATCTTCCAAAATACAGAAGAGAAGGGAATACTATGTAACTTATTCTATGAAAATGGTATTACCAAGATACCCAGATACTCAAACCAGACAAAAATATCTCAAAAAAAGAATATCCCTTATGAATATAGACAAAAAACCTTCAACAAAATATTAGCAAACACTCTGACAACATATAAAAAGGATTATACACCATGACCAAGGTCATACAAAATTGGTTTAATATGTGAAAATCAACCAATGTAATATACTATATTAGAATAAGAAACAAAAACCACATGAGCACTTCACAAGTGCAGAAAAGCGAATGACAAAATCCAACAGCCTTTCATAATGAAGCACTCAGTAAACTAGGAATAATAACTTAATAAGGGCCATCCTGAGAAACCCACAGGTAACATCATACCTAAAGGCAAGACTGGATGCTTTCCCCTTAAGATCAGGAATAGACAAGGATCCCCACGCTCCCCTTCTATTCAACACTGTACTGGAGGTTCTAGCCAGGGCAAATAGGTAAGAAAAATAAATAGAAAGAACCCAGACTAGAAAGAAAGAAGTAAACCTGTGTCTATTCACAGATGACATGATCTTACACAAAGAAAACCCTGTTGGAACCAACAAATGAGTTTGGCAAGGTTCTAGGATAGAAGATCAATAATCAAAATCAATTTTGCTTCTATACAGTACTAATAAACCAAAATAAAATTAAGAAAACAATTTCATTTACACTAGCATTGAAAATAACACTTAAGAATAAATTTTAAAGGGGAGATGCAAGAGTTGCGCACCAAAAATTATAGAGCATTATTGAAACAAATTAAAGAAGATCTACAATAAATGGAAAGACATCCTGCGGCTAGGGATTAGAAGACCTAATGTTGTTAAATTGGCAATACTTCACAAACTCATCTACAGTTTCAATGCAATCCCTGTCAAAACCGCAGCTGGCTTTTTTATTGTTGCAGAAATTCACGTACAGATCCTAAAATTCACATGGAAATGCAAGGGAGGCAGAACAACCAAAACGATCCTGAAAAAGAATATACTGTGATCGAATGTTAAGTATCGACAGCATCCCAATCATAAACCCGAAACATTTAAAAACAGAAGGTAACTGGCAGGAATACGGCTTGCTGGAAAGCTGCAAGTGGCCCACGCAATTAGTAACAGCCACCTCTTTGCTCTGGCATAAATCTCAACCTTAATCAGAAGAAACTGCATCTGGCAAGAGGAGAGTGAAACTGGGTTTCTAAAACCACTACTTTTTTGAGAGAGGGCCTAGTTACAACCGAGACACTGCTTAGCAACAAAATCCTTTAGGAACTTACTCATTTCCAAAGTCATGATGGGAGCATTAACAACAACACAAATCAATGTTCAGGGCTTTAAATATAAGACCTTTTTGCCCATTCCCAGATCACATGGAATAAATCCTTTGCTAAACATTTGTAATTAAACAAAGATAAGCAGCAAGGTGACTGATCTTGCCATTCTCTTTTCCATATGAACTTCAGGTTATCTGACTCAATCTCTATGTTCCACTCTCTCTCACCCTGTGTTTGGAGTAGGGAAGAGAATGGATTTCACTGTCATAGGAGGAACAGCCTCCTCAGTGCTCTGACAATCAAGTAAAACAGTGCTCGAAAACAGACTCCTGGTCAGTGCTCTCCTTCAAGTATTACTAGCTGCTTTCCTGCTTTCTTGATTAGAATGGTTTTAATCTATTTTTCAATACCAACATCGGAGAGGTAAAAAGCAATGACTCCCCACAGCAGTATTTCTCAGTCTAGACAAGGAATCATGAGAAGAAAGGGCAATATCAGAATTTTAGACGGCCGTGGTGGAGGGTGGGCGTGGAACTCTTGCACTCCTTCTCAGACTATTTTTATTAGTTTATAGATAGCATAACTTCGGATGAAAAAAAAAAGGGGGAAGGTTTTCCAAGACCTATAACATGCCATGTACTTTAGAGACTTGCTCCTCGCAACAACTCTCTGCCATGGGTTAGCACTGCCCCATTTATAAGTGAAGAAACAAGAAACAAAGTATAAGAATTGAAAACTGTAGAAAGAAAAAAATGACAGAAGATTTATCCTATCATATCAGGTCTACATACCTGGTACTTCTAGTAGCAAAAAGTAAAGCCCAGCGGCATGAAGGCCATATTCTCGATACTGTACACTGACATTCTTCTTATGAACTATTTGAACAAAATGATAGAACAATGCCACCAGTGTACTATGGGAAACATTGTTCTCAATGAAGAAGGTCCAGATACTCTGTGGGGAGACCGCAAATCACAAAAGCCAGTCATTAGAGAAATGGAAACATTTCCTATTATTTGATTTTTGTAAGTTCTTGGTGCCTTACAAAAAGAGGAATAGAGTAGCCTGGCTCCTACTGCTAAATGTTTACCATCTTCAAAGGGACTGAAACAAAATATCAAAATTAAAGGTATATTATTCAAAATTACCAAGATAAATATGTATATAACATATTTAAATAATTAAACTTTCAAAAGAATTTTTTGTTAAGTTTGTAGCATATATACTTCAGAAATTATAGCTTAAAACTACACTAAGACTTTTGGGACACCATATATTAGTGATTATTCAGGAAAGTTATCCCTCTATTTATATTAAAAGGAACTCAAATTCCTTTACCAATAATTACTAACTGAGGAAATCAGAGCCCTTTATTTAAATGTTCTGCAGATTGCAGGCAATGGGAGCAGGAAATGAAAGAGATCTCGGAAATGGCCCAGGTAAAGGAGATAAACCCTAGAAAAGAAACCACAATTGTATTAATTCTATCTTCATTCCATGTCTTCTCCTACTAAACACATGAAGAAGAAATGGGTTATTTTAATAACCTAAACATAGCAGGAACTAAATATGGTTTATCCTTGAGTATCGTAACAAAAAAAGGCCCACAAAATTCAAGTGAGCAGAGCACTCTCCTTTCCTTAACTAAAAAACTTACGGGAGAAATCATCTCCACTGGGCACAATGGCTCATGCCTGTAATCCCAGCACTTTGAGAGGCCAGGGCAGGAGGACTGCTTGAGCCCAGGAGTTTGAGAACAGCCAGGGCAACAAAGCAAGACCTTGTCTCCACAAAAAATAAAAAATTAGCTGGGCGTGGTGGCACACACCTGTAGTCCCAGCTACTCAGGAGGGTGAGGTGGGAGGCTCATGTGAGCCCAATAAGTTGAGGCTGCAGTAAGCTTTGACTGTGCCACTGCATTCCAGCCTGGGTGACAGAGCAAGACCCTGGTCTCAAAAAAAAAAAAGGGGGGGGGGGGAAGAAATCATCTCCTAACTTTACAGTGTCACATCCTCATTCCTAATGCCACCTGCACCTCCACTTCACACACGAGGGTGATCGATCACCCTAAACCATCTGCTCACCAGGGCTCTGCATATGGGGTCACCTTGGCCCCATGTGATCCCATGGCTGCTGTCTAGTCTGGGCGTCAGTGACCCTGCACTCCCTACATGTGACTGCTCCTCTGCAGACCCCGTCCAATCAGCTCTCCATTTCTGTCCTGGCTGCTTCTCACCCTCGGTGATCTCATGCATCACTGTGCTTCAACCCATACCTCAATTTAAAGAACTCTCTTCTCTCTCCTGGTCTCACATTTCTACTACCTGTTAAACTTCCCAAGGATCTCCTGACAGAATCTCAAGTTCAGAAGTCTAAACAGAACTGTTTCTCCATTTGACCTTGCTCTTTTTCCCTTATTCCCCACCTTGGTTAACAATATCATCATCTTCCTAGTTTTGAAACCCTGGGGATCACTGACTTCTTTCTTTTTCTAATTCCCTATGCCCAGTCAGTTTAGCACTTCACACCATGTTTTTAAGATATCTCAAAAGGGCTTCCTAGTTCACAAGGCCCTATTAATTCTAATTCCAAAAATGTCCCTAGTTTTTAGTCTTCCTTTCCAGTTCCCAAAATTGTAACTCCGGATCATGCCATTATTACTCATAACACCTGGATCACCAATACAGTCTCCCAAGGGCTCTCCCTGCACACAATTTTTCCCACTTCAGTCCACCTACTGTCAAGAACGTCTGCTTAAAACAGATCTATTCATGTTACCTATCTATTGCCCACTGTAACCTCTTTCACACAGGCTGCTTGAGGATTAAATGAGTTAATACATGCAGGACGCTTAGAACAAAACCTCATACACACTCTACCAAACATGTTCAAACTCCACTGCTGAACCTCACGTAAAGCTACCCGTGACCTACCCTTACTCTACCTTACCATCCCGTTCCACCACACTTTTTCTGTATGCCTCTTGACACTTCCTGCGTGTTCCCATTGGGTGGCTCCTTCACTAGGACTGCCTTACAACCCAAGCTTCTGCTAGTCATCTGTGAAGATTCGCTGCTGGCCACTTTCTTTCTGGAACTTTCCCAACCCTACCATGCTCCCTTTTTCACACCCTATGCAACAAATCCGCACCTCTCTTGGAGCATTTTTCACAGTGTGGTTCGTAGAATATTTCCAGGCGCCCAAATGCACAGTGGCACTGAACTCTCCACCCCCTGCAACTGCATGTGGCTGCTAGACCTACTTTGGCTAGTGTTCAAATGTCCACTCTTCCTCCCTGAGGTCCCTGGGGAGGACCTCAACCTAGGGAGATTGTATCGTAATCCCCACTCTGTCAACTCAGGTACTTAAGGCAGTGCTTAGTGTTATGCTGAAGGAATGTTTAATTAGATGATTTAATTTTGTGATGTGAAACTTGGAAGTGAATTTTTTTTTGTTCATTTAAATGTTTCAGAGATGTTAATATCCAATTAGCTTTTGTTCTGTTTCCCAACCCTTTGGTTTTTTTTGAAAACTAACAACCTAAATATTAATAATAATTTATATTTCTATGCATTGGATAGAACTCAATATTTACAGGAACTGTTTGGACAAACCTGTTAATTCAACTAGTCATTCCTCAGTTTAATAATATCAGATTTTCTTTTTTTGTGAGACAGAGTCTTGCTCTGTCGCCCAGGCTGGAGTGCAGTGGCGTGATCTCGGCTCACTGTAACCTCCGCCTCCTGGGTTCAAGCAATTATCTGCCCCAGCCTCTCGAGTAGCTGGGATTACAGAAGCCCGCCACCACAACCGGCTAATTTTTGTATTTTTAGTAGAGATGGGGTTTCACCATCTTGGTCAGGCTGGTCTTGAACTCCTGACTTCGTGATCCACCCACCTCGGCCTCCCAAAGTACTGGGATTACAGGCATGAGCCACCATGCCTGGTCGCAGATTTTCTTAAAGTTAAGGTTAAGGCATGTCTGAATTGTTATTTGCATTTTCCTTGGTCTAGTTTTCTTGTTTTTGCCTTTATATTTTTCCTTTTTTTTTTTCCTTCTGAGATGGGGTTTTGCCATGTTGCCCAGGCTAGTCTCAAACTCCTGAGCTCAAGCAACTGGCCAGCCTCAGCCTCTCAAAGTGCTGGGATTACAGACGTAAGACACCACACCCGGCCTTATACTTTTCCTTTAATTTGCTATTGTAAAAAACAGTCGTGTCTTAAAAAAAAAAAATCAGACAAGTACCTTGAAGCTTTTGGAGGAAAGCTCTTAGGATATTCCAATAAATTAACCACATTCTTTATGTTACTCATATTGTACTCCCTGTGAACTGTACACCAAGAAAGCTAAGCTTCAGATTATAATAATGACTTTCATCTTCTACTTCTAACACCAAACTTTGGCTAGTTTGTTTTTATATTTTTACCTCCATAGATCCATGTTCTCCAGTAGCAAAGGGTAAAAGGCTTTCATAGAGTTTTGTGAATGCAGCCAATCCAGTCTCTATGATCTCTGCTTCTATGCTGGGATCCAAAGGCTCAGTCTCTGTGAAATCCAGTTCCCACACTGTGTCAACCCATTCTAGGGGAAAATGCAATGAAATGTGTAAGTACTCTGTAACAAGTAAAAAAACTAGTCACCTTTAGATTCCAGGTGTGTTCAAGAGGAGAAAAGTTTACTAGTCACGATTCACATTTAACTTGTTTTAATAACATAGGTGTAGCATAATAAAAGAAAACCAGAAAAGGTTAAGAGAATCTTAAATCACAACTGACACTGACTATTAAGCTAATCATCTTCTAAAAATATAAAGGAGGAAATACTTTTCAGATACAAGAGTTTTGGGAAAGGACACTTCAAAACATTCAGTGATCAGGCTTTCCCACATGTTCAATCTAGAGAAGAAACAGAGGTTAATCAGATTGCCCACGAGGTTCCTTTGTGAAAATATCATAACCAAGTTAATAAGTGGAAATAAAATATAGAGCACTTTATTGGGCCCTTGGACAATCATGTAGCATTTAAAAAACATATATAATTTCTCCAGGAAGTTTAAAATAGAAGAGGCAACCCAGATTCAGACTCCCAGGAATACTTGGTGACTTTAAAACACACTGATTGAAAGAATGTACATTGAGAGGAGGGGTATTAAGACAGCACGCTGGCTGGATTCCACCAATCTCTCTTAACTCTAAATCTTCCCATTCTTTTCTTTTTCTTTTTTTTTTGGATAAACTTTTTTTTTTAACTTAAAGTTTTTGGGTACATGTGCACAACATGCAGGTTTGTTACATAGGTATACACGTACCATGGTGGTTTGCTGTACCCATCAACCCGTCATCTACATTAGGTATTTCTCCTAATGGTATCCCTCCCCTATCCCTCCATCCCCCCTTCCCATTCTTTTCTAATACACTATATTTCTTCAGTGTTGTCATTGTCACTTTCCCAAACTAAAATTAGGACTAGATGGAAATGTGGACATCTCAAATTATTAATCAGGTGTTCCTTCAAATTAATATTAAAAGTATTTGTTCACCACTGATTTAGAGAAGTTGGGCAAGGTATAAATAAGGAAAAAACAGAGATGGGAGCATTACACTGCACTCGGCAAATGAAAATGAAAGGCCTTACACTCAACTAGTTCCATCCTTAGAATACAATCTGGTCATCATCTTTTGTCACTTGAACTTGACCCTGAAGGAGGGGGTCTCTGTACCCTAAGTGGCTATGCACAGCATTCCTTCCAAAGACATGGAATATGCTGCCTGAAAGAAGATCTGAAAAATACAATTGTTTCTTTCCAAATTTCCAGTAATGTTTTAAAGGTCATTATAGACCACAGCAAAAGTTATCTCACTCCTTCTTTTGGTTTTGCTTATGACAGTTCCCTACTGTAAATACCATCAAATCTAATTTGGATGGCAGTAACTGGCCCTGTTATCTACCATTTGGTCACAGAAGTCTTCAGTGTTGATTGTTGAGTGAGAGTATAGGAGACACTGAGTTAGTCTTTTTCCCTCAGTATCTTTACACTATTCAAATCTCTCACTACCTATTTTCTCAGCTGTCGAATGCAGGTAACTTCTGCTCTGCTACTTCACTTAGGATGGAAGAAGAGGAAGAAATACATCACCTATTCACTCAACAAACACTTTGAGAAAATACTAGGGAAGCCACTTATACTTCTAGGGATATAAAGATGAATACTAGAGGGTTCTTGTCCACAAAGATCTCAACATTTCACACTTAGGATACCAAAAAAAGCAGCCTATGATAGAAGAGAGGCCACTGAATTTTGAGTCAGAACGAGGCAAATATCCTGACTTGATCACTTACACATAATTAGTCTCTCCTTCATCATTGGAAATACAGGATTTTTGTGAAACATAATGTGTATAAAGGCCCTAACAATGTGCTAGCCACATAAAAAACAGTCAATAGATGGTATTTATTATTTTTGCTATGGATGAGTGTTAAAATAATAGATATGTAAAATGTAAAATGCTACAGAGCTTAATAGGGAATAGTACTGGGGGAGGAGGGAGAGGAATAAGATGATTCTTCAATTGGACCTGAATGTAAGAGTTTTGCCAGGCAAATAAATGCAGAAAAGTGCCTCCCAGCAAGCACAGTGTAACAAAGCACACAAAGGGAAAGAAATTAAAGTGTTTCTAAATGAACAAAATTGTTACAGTGTTTGCTTGTGGGTATTAGTATCTGTTCAGCAGTTATTATGTGGCAAGTACAAATTTATCTTTACAAAAACCCCTGTGAGGTAGATATTGTACTCCCCATTTGACAGATCAGAAAACAGGGGTTTAGCAAGGATAAACAACCTGCACGGTAATACATGGATGCTATGGGGTAGAGCCAAGGGAACAATCCAAGTGTGTCCGACTCCAAAGGTTATGCTCTTGGAAAATCAAACTGGAGAGAATGGCAGCTCTTATAAAGCATGCCAAGGATGTGGTCATTTATTTAGGAAACAAAGGGGAAACATTAAAGGTGTACAGGCTTGACACATTCAAAGCTGTGTTTTCAAAAGTCGTTCTGCAAAAGTGTGGGGGATGGGCTGGCACAGTTAACATCAGAAAGCAGCTAAAATACTCCTGCAATTGCTCGAGGCTATGATGAAGGCAGCAGCATCAGGAATGGAGCGGGGCTGCCCTGAGACACCTCAGAGGCAGGACAGTGGTAGTGGGCATGAAAGGGGAAGCAGAAATGCCATGACTCCTGGGTTGGTGGCTTGGATGGTGCCATTAGCAGGCTTTGGGAATCCCATTTTCACTCATGTGACGTTTGATGATGTCTGCATGTGAGACATCCAGTGGAACCTATGAACATGAAGTTCAAGAAATAAGTCTGGCGGAAGAAAGAGATTTGCAATTTAAAACCATCTTAATAGGTAAGAATAGATAGGTGCACGAAGACACGCACAGGAAGAAGGGGAAGGCCGAGAAAACAGATGCACAGGCGCTAGAAGAGACTGGCCAACATTCGCTTATTCTAAGGGTGGCCTGGCCGGCTTGAGCCCCCACGGGAAACCTGGCTAGCCGCAATCCTGGCGTGGCACGGCCCTGGGGACCCCAGGCACCGCCGACAGCCGGGCGCCCCCACCCCGCCCCCACCGGCACCCCGGCCCGGGCTTAGGCATCGTCGGGGACGCATAGGACCCTCGCCCTGGCCCCCGGGCCTCCCGGCTGCATCTGCTCACCGAGTCTAAGATCCAGCGGACACCAGGGCTGCAGGCCGCTACCAAGGCCCCGCAACGCCACCATGATCCCAGGGCACCGGCTCGCCGCCGCCGTGCTCAACTTTCAAAGCTCGCTCCCGCGCGCGCGCCGAGTCGTTCCTGTGGACCAATCACAACGTACAGAATTTCCCACTGGCCAACCACCGCGCCGAGCCGTTTCCATTCGCTCAACCAATCACCGGCGTCGTCCGCCGCACGCTCAGAGAACTGGGCGGGCCGAAAAGTGGAAGCCAAACAAGGCTCCTGCGGGTGTTCCGCTAATTCGTTCGAGAAGGAGCCAGGGCCTGAGTTAAACCCTAACAGCGTTTTTCCCGCCTCGTTTTTCTTCAATGGGGGAAAATCTAAAGGGTATCTGAGATAGGGTACTTCCGGTAGTAACTGTCACCTTTGCCCTCGTCAGGCGACATTTCGCGTGCGTGTCAAAGGGCTGCCTTTCCCGTCAGCACTCGAACAGCGTAATATCCGAATGTGAAAGGCAGCCCAACGTGTATCGAGCTAAAGTAATAAGGGAAAAGTAGCCGAAAGCACTCCGAGAAGACAAGACAACTGCAGTTCTGTAGGGACTGCGCGGCACGCGTGGGCCCAGAGCCTGTCCCAGCGAGGTAGCAGCTGCCATGCCGACCGCTGGAGCGCCGGCCGCGCTCTCCCTGCGCATGCGCAGCGAGCTCTCCTCCGGGCTGCCGGGAGTCCCAGGAGCGTTAGGGGGTGCGCCTGCGCGCCGCTGCTCCAGCGCATCCGGGCTGGAGCTCGCCCGCCCCCTCCCCCGCCCGGAGCCGCCGAAGCGCCTCGGTGCGTTGCACCGCCGGAGGCTGGGCAGCTCGCAGCGCTGCTCGGCGCTGGACCCCACCCGGCAGGCGCAGGCCACCCACACCCGGCTCTGTGCGGCTGCCCCCCGCAGCATTGCACGGCCGACCCTCGCCCGCCCACTGCCACCGGCCGCGGGACTGGCTGGGACTGGCTCGGCCGAGGGCACTGCTCCTCGGTGCATTGCTGCTCGGGCGCCGCAGCCCGCAGCCGCCAGCCTCCCCCGGCCGTGCCCCTCCCCCGTGGAGCCGGCTGTCCGTCGGCGCCCACTGCCCGGCGGCAGCGGCGGAGCCAGGCAGCCCCGCGGCGGCCGAGCGCGCTCGCGCATCGGGCCCTCTGGCCTTCTTTACCTAGGGCAGCCCGCGCCCCGGTGCGAGGGAGCGGTCCTTACCGAGACCCGCCCGGCCCGGCGGTGCGATGAGCTTCTTCGGCTTCGGGCAGAGCGTGGAGGTGGAAATCCTTCTGAACGATGCAGAGAGTAGGAAGCGGGCCGAGCACAAGACGGAGGACGGGAAGAAGGAGAAATATTTCCTCTTCTACGACGGGGAGACGGTCTCCGGGAAGGTGAGCCTTGCCCTCAAGAACCCCAACAAGCGGCTGGAGCACCAGGGCATCAAGATCGAGTTCATCGGGCAGATCGGTGAGTCGACCCCCGGGACCCCCTCCCCCAGCGCCGACAGCCGGCCGGGGAGCAGGGTGATTCAGGGCCCAGCTCCTCCGGCGAGGCCTGTCACAGTCGCTTGTCAACTGCAGTCTGAGGCCTGGGGTTCAGCTACAAGTCCCGCCCGTGGGCGACTCCCCCTGCGTTACTGTCCTCCCTGCCAAAAGTGACAGCGCGCTGCCAGGGAGATGGGGACGGCGAGGGCGGGAGGAAGCGCCCTGCTGTGCCTCGTGGGATGGGCACCTTGCCTATGGGTTCTCCCCATTGTCTCCGGCATGCACTCGGCTTTGCTTCTTGTCCCCAGGATTTCTGGGTGAGGTGCTCTGGCCATAGCCTGCAGGTGGGTTTGTTAGGGGGAGACCGCTCTGCCAATACTGGCTTTCCCATCGCCCGGCCATCTGCAACTGCCAGACGCAAAGTGAGGCTCGTCCACCGAGCCCCACTTCCCAGAGCCCGCACCAACCCGTTTTTCTCTTTAGATGTGGTGTGAGAGAGCTAACCAGTTCTCTCTTACCTCACCTCAGCCCTGAACTACCTATGCTTGTACATGTTTCCAGAAAGAAGACCCATAATCTTCAGTCTAAATCTGACTACCTAGGCTGCGTTTCTTAGACTTCTTTATTAGAATGCAAGTTTTCAGTTACCACATTTTCTGTTTAAAGACAAAGAAATGGTGTTTCTAAAAACCACAATTAAGTGATCAGAGTTTCTCAATGCTTTAAACATGATTATTAATCATTGGAACTAGACAGCGCCAGGCACAGTGGCTGATGCCTACAATCCCAGCACTTTGAGAGGCTGAAGTGGGAGGATTGCTTGAGGCCAGGAGTTGGAGACCAGCCTGGGCAATATAGCAAGACCTGCCTCTACCCCCAAAAATTTTTTTGTAATTAGCTGGTCGTGGTGGTGCTTGCCGGTAGTCCTAGCTCCTCGGGGGGCTAAGATGGGAGGATTGTTTGAACCCAGGAGTTCCAGGCAGCAGTGAGCTGTGATAACACCACAGCACTCCAGCCTGGGTGACAACCAGCAAGACCCTGTCTCAAAAAAATAAACAAATAAACAAATAAGAACTAGACAGTAAAAGGCAGTAATGGTAAAGTGATTTGGGGAGCTCCCAGTCAAGACTGGGTCGTCTCCAATTCTAAGCCTTATTTAGACTCTTGTGTATTATTAAAATGCTTGGGTACTTTTAAAATAAGTTGTTTTTGTCGTTAGGTTAGGAGTAGAATCACAGTAAATACCCTGTGAGCTACACACCTCTGGTAGAGAATCCATACCGATACCACACACTGCATACATAACTCTGTTTTTAGAGACTTCCTTGGGGAATCTTTGTTAAACTCTCTTATCCTGAGAGTTTAGCAAAGAATTTGCCGTCTTTTTTTCACAGAGGCAGGAAACACGGAGACACAGGTAGGAGAAACCCTGGGAAAAGGAGGCCTTGTGGCCTGGCTCTTGGGTTCACTGCTCAGCCTCAAGCATTTTGCCTCTGGTATTTAAGAACATGAAATCAGGTTGAAGACTGGCTGATCTTACAGGAAGCTCTTTGTTGTTATTTTAAAGCCAGAATATGAAAGGTCTTAGTGTACCAGAAAAGGGGCCGAAGAGTGAGTTCCATGCCTTCTGCTTTCCTGCTTCTGGGTTCAATGGTGGGGTAGATGGCAAGGTTCCTCAGTAGCAGCACTGTGATGTCTGGCATCGTTTGGCATGTTGTCATGGGATGTTTAGCAGCATTCCCAGCCTCTACTGACCAGACAACAGTAGCATCCCCCACTTGCGACCACAAAAATGTCTTCAGATATTGCTGTATATCCTCTGGAGGGTAAAATCATCTCTAGCAAAGAACCCCAGGATAAACAGGATGAGTCCAAAGCATATTATGCTACGCATAGTAAATAGTCGAGAAATCCTTGCCTATTGAGCAAGGTATTTTTTAGTAGCAGTTTTAAAGTTATTGCATTGATTCTTTGGCTCCATAATAATAATTAGTGTTGGCAGGCATGTTTAGTCTGTGTCTATACCATCACTCCCAGATGGTGGTACCTTACCAGTATGTGAAAGATAACCCAGAATGTCTTCTGCCCCAGACAGTGTGAAATTAGCTGTTCTAGGAACCGTGTCAAGGCCTTCCTCTGGTCTAAATGAAAGGGAGTTGAAGAAACTGCTTGCTGTTCCTGCCCCACCTGATTTCTTGTCTATCTCCTTACTCCTGAGACATCCATCATCCCTGCTGAATTTTCTCAGAACCTTTTGTTGCTTCCACTAGTAACTCTTCCCGGGCCCTTGGCCACCCTGCACTGAGTTGACCATGAGACTGGGGGAATTTAGCCACTCTCTGGGCCTCGGCTTTCTCAGCTACCAAGCAAGGAAAATAACATCACTTGGTGAGAATGTTGGGCATGCCAGGGGATCATGCATGACCCTTATAGAGGGTTCCTTTATAAAATTATGGTAGTTGTAGTAAAATGTTTCCATTTCACAAATTGAGTTATCACCCACTGGCTTGCTGCTCTTCCTCCTGTACCTGTTTTACCTGAAGAAGATCGCCCTGTCTACTGATAAGGAGTGCATGTTTCAACCCTTTGCCTTAAATTTCTTACTTTGGCCACATGGGCCAGTCTCAGTTGGTGTTGTAGATGGAGCCAGTCCCAGCTTTGTGCTGAAGTATATTGTTCACGCTCAATTATCCATGGTTACGTGAGGACATGGAAGTAGAATAACACAGAATGATGGACAATATGTTTCTGATTATTTGGCTTTGGGATGTATTTCTTGATCAAGAACAAGGCATTAGAATAACCTTTGTAGTTCTATTTGATGTAAAAGGGAGTTTGTGTTCCTGAAATACACACATGGACAGGGAGTAAAGATGTACTATTTGGAAGTCTATTTGGAGGCACAGAGTGACTTTTCTTAGACAACATGTTTCTTATTATTTGGCTTTGGGATGTATTTCTTGATCAAGAACAAGGCATTAGAATAACCTTTGTAGTTCTATTCGATGTAAAAGGGAGTTTGTGTTCCTGAAATACACACATGGACAGGGAGTAAAGATGTACTATTTGGAAGTCTATTTGGAGGCACAGAGTGACTTTTCTTAGACAATATGTTTCTTATTATTTGGCTTTGGGATGTATTTCTTGATCAAGAACAAGGCATTAGAATAACCTTTGTAGTTCTATTCGATGTAAAAGGGAGTTTGTGTTCCTGAAATACACACATTGACAGGGAGTGAAGATGTACTATTTGGAAGTCTATTTGGAGGCACAGAGTGACTTTTCTTAAACTCTTATATTCCTCCTATTTTATCTTCCTGGTTCCCCGAAAGAAGCATGTTGTGAAGTATTTGTGTCATACACCTGTGTCAGTCATTGTAAACTGAGCTTGGGGCACCAGAGCGAGGCTAGTGAGTGAGTTTGCTGAAGCTGCGGTCGTGTGGTTTTCTCCTTCATTGCATTCTTTGACTATGTGTGAGATGGGTGGAACTTCAGTCTGTTCTGAGGTCTGGCTGACGGGGTGGCATATGGCAGTAATCAAGTTGATAGCACTGAGCTCTGTCCCTCTTCCTTGTTAATTTGGAGGCAGGCAGGCAGAGGTGTCACTTTTATCCTGTCACTTGCTGTGGCAATCTCATCTGCACCGATGACTTATTTTCTTTGTTTTTTATTTAAAAAATTTTTTGAGACATGGTCTCACTCCGTCACCCAGGCTAGAGTGCAGTGCCACGATCACAGCTCACTGCAGCCTCAACCCCCTGGGCTCAAGCAATCCTCCCATCTCTGCCTCCCAAGTAGCTGAGACTACAGGTGCATGCCACCATACCCAGCTAATTTTTTAAATTTTATGTAGAGACAGGGTCTGTCTTTATTGCCCAGGCTGGTCTGGAACTCAAGCGATCCTCCTGCCTTGGCCTCCCAGAGTGCTGGGATTACATACATGAGTCACTGTGCTGAGCCCCATGAATTATATTCTGATGACTCCCAGACTGTTTCTTTGTTCTGACCCGACCTCTCTTCTGAGTTTCACACGTCTTTGAAGCTGTCTGCTAGACATGTCCACCGGGATACCCTACAGGTGCCTCAGTAATGCATGCAAACACAAACCCCTCTCTCTGTCTCTGCTTCAGCCACAGCCCCACTGCGTCTCCTTTTTTCCCCATTTCGGCCTATGTCAGCTGGGATCATTTAGCCTCAGAAATCTAGAAGTCATTTTGAAGTCTTGGCTCCTCCTCCCACACATGCAGTTGGCTGCTAAGTTTTGGCCTTCTCTGCTGGTTCTGCAGTATATCTCAAACCAGTGTCTCCTCTCTCTTCTCAATGCCACTGCCTTTTATTTTCTGTTTGTAGCAGCTTCCTAAGTGGTCTTCCTGCCTTTGTCTTCCTCCCCTTTCAGGTCATTTTCTGTGAGGATGAAGTTTCTTAAAGGCAGTTCTATCATTGTCAGTCCTTTCTTAAAATTCTCGCCTCCCTATTGGTTAATGGGGGAAAGTATATCCAAATCCCTCCTGCTCTGGCCCTCCCTCTCTTTCCAGCCTCGTCTCCCCTAACCCTTCACTCTCACCGCTTGTGGGTTCCACAAACTATCCTTTTCTTCTGGAATCTTGGTATTTTCCCTTTGTATAGTAACATCTTTCTGCAAGATATAACCTTCCACCCAAGCTCTTACTCCTTCAAAGCCTAGCTAACATCACATCCATCAGAAAGTCTTCTCTGACTTCCCCAGGCTGACTTAAGTGCTTCCTCCACTGTTCTTCCAGAGGCCTCATTAATACCTCTTTTCAAGCCGGGTATGACAAGCTTGTGACTTTTTTAAAAAACTTGTCTGTCTTTCTTACTAATTTCTGAGCACCTGAGATCCAGGGACTGCCTTCAGCCCATCATTAGTGCAGTGGCTAGCACATAGAAGGTGCCTAGTAAATATTTGTTGAATGGATATATTGGTCAAATCTAAGAATTTACAGAAACTATTCTTTGTTGTTGTTTTGTTTCATTTTGTTTTCTTTCCTTTTCCCACATCTCCTCCCAGATAAGCAAGAGTTGTTTTAATGAAAGAAAGACAGAAATCAGGTTTGTTTTGGTGGTTGAGCAGCTGAGCTTCCTGCCTTTGTTGTGGAGGAGGCATTGATGAGCAACATGTGGTTGTCCATCAAGGCCACTGACAACTCGGTGACTCTCCAGCTGGTGTGCCCCCACTGGGGCTGCGTCCTCACTGGGGGAACTGGGATAAGGAAGTATTAAAGCTGATGTCAGTTTACCTGCCTTTACATCTTTCTTTCCTCACACTCTTCTGTGCCAAGTTGAAACTGATATCCCCTTGTGTGTAAGAACGTAAGAGTTGTCAAACCTCTGGCCCGTTTGGTCCTGCACCACTGCTCAGATGTGGCAGTTTGAACGTTGCCTCCTGAGACTATAATATCTTATTTATTCACTTATGTGGTGGACGTTTTTCTGTTATCCTCTGCAAGTTTTCGAGCCACACTGGGATCCTTCCTGTACCTAGGATACTTTTCCAGTGGCTTGGTCTGTGTTCTAACAATGCCAACACATGTGGTGAGGGCATCTCTTGGGTCAGGCCCATGGGACAGAAAGGTCTAAGACCTAGTCATCCTACTGGCCCACGTCTTTAGGAAGATGCAGTAGTCTGTAAGGAGCACTGCAAGGAAAAACTGTAACTGTGAGAAGAAGAGACCGTTGTTGAGCTGGAATCCTTTGGGGAACACCAGTGAAGTTTAGAAAGCAGACCTGGGCCGCCTTGGAGACTAATGGGTTAAATAAACCAAACGTAATTAGAAGGTCAGACATGCGGAGGAGGGCAGACAGGAACATCCCTGCACTCCAAAGCCAACAGACATTATCTGGATTTTTTTTTTTTTTTAGGTTTTAATAAGCCCATTAATACCAATCAAGCCCATACTTTTAAAAACTCCAGGGGCTTTCTGTATTTTAATTCATTAGCCCTTGAAACACTAAGTAAAAGGCACATTAAGATGAGGTGGATTGATTCTGGCCTACTTAACAAGCTGCTGGTGGGACTGGAGCAGAGCTGCGCCTGGTGAGGCGTGGGCCGCTCAGAGGTGCCAGTGCTTCTGGGTTTCACAGGGTTGGCAGACAGGAGTAGGGTGTGGTAAGCACGAATCCTGACAGTGGCCAGCCAGCAGACAGTGGCTGGGAGGGTCAGATGAAGAGGAGGCTCTTTGGAGGGCTTTTTTTTTTTTTTGAGACGGAGTCTTGCTCTGTCGCCCAGGATAGAGTGCAATGGCACAATCTCAGCTCACTGCAACCTCTGCCTCCCGGATTCAAGCAATTCTCCTGCCTCAGCCTCCCGAGTAGCTGGGATTACAGATGCCCACCACCTCGTCTGGCTAATCTGTGTATTTTTAGTAGTGACAGGGTTTCACCGTCTTGGCCAGGCTGGTCTCAAACTCCTGACCTCGTGATCCACCCGCCTTGGCCTCCCAAAGTGCTGGGATTACAGGCATGAACCACTACGCCTGGCCTTTGGAGGTCTTTTTATGCTTTGCTGACTTAGGTTTCTTCCAAAACTGCACGAGGCCTAGACTAAACATGGCCTTAGCCAAGCAGCAAAGCTCAGGGCGGCTGTCATGGGTGACCTGTGATGCAAAGCTGGCTCAGTTTCCTTCCAGAATGGCAAATTCACTTCTCAACTGTTGGTGGCAAGTTTCACCATGAAAACATCCTGAGTACAAAAGTTATTTCCTCCTGTTGGACTGAGAAGGAAACCAAAGACAGGATAGTTACCTTAACCAAAAACTTACTCAGTTCCTACTTCTAGCCTGACACGTCTGGTCCCTGAGGACTGGTGATTGGGAAGAATGAAAGATGACGCGTGGTTGCTTCTTTGGGACGGAATAGAGGCTATTTACAATCTCTTTAGGGCCCAGACCTCTCGTGAGAACAGCCTTGGATTTTTGTTTTAATTTATGCAAGAGGAAACCAAACTTTCTGGCAAATAGGAAGCATCGCTGTGTCTGCCCCTTTGCCCCACAGTGTTTGCAGAAGTATTGCAGATGGCTTATAAAGGATAGATTAAAAAGGCCAGGCCAGCCCTGCTGTGACTGCACACTGGCCACTCTTCCATGACATTTGATGTCAGAGCTGATATTAACATGTGTGCAGGAGGAAAGGCACTAGGGAGAACGTGATGCTATGCAGGGAATGACTTCTCCTGCTCCAGGTGCCCTGCTGGGGCAGGCCGAACCTTCTGCACTGTTGCTAGGCTCCACAATGCTGGCAGCCTGAGCGCTCTCTGTGCCTTCTCTGTTTTGTTTATTCCTGATGTTGCCTTTGGGCTGTGTGATCGCATTTCTGTATTTTTCCATCCTTTTCTTCTCCTCTTCCTCTTGACTCTGGACCATTGATTCTGGACACTGGGGCCTTGCTCTGCCTGCTTCTGTCCCCTGAAACTATGGCCAGAATCTAGTGCTTAGAAACTGAGGTACCAGGTTCCCAAGTCAAGGTTTCGGCTTCCACACGAAAGCCAACACCATCGACCAGGACTCATGCAACAAGAGTAAGCCGAGGAGTCCCTGTCCCCGGGGCTGGCCGCGGCTCCGCTTCTGCCTGTCATATACTTCTGACTTTTATTGGGGGGGCACAATTACTGGATTGCTCACTTTCCACCCATAATTTGGAGCTGCCACCTCCCACTCTGAGGCTTTGTGGATTATCACTCACTAACCAGAATGCTGCCTACTATTGAAACCACTGAGTGTTTGGAAAGGAAGGTCATTGTTTGTAATAAAAGATTGTGGCTGATTGTAGTTACACGGGAAATCAGCCACAAGCCACAGCCACACAATACACTGTGAATTCATACAGAAGTGGCATCACTAGTGTGGGATCCCAGAGACTCCAGTCTGTGGACTCGCCTCTTCCTCCCCAAGCAGCAAACAACAGAGGCAATGAGTGTGCTCCGCCTGCTCTGTGTTCCCAATTCATCTGCCCCGCTGCAAGTTGCAGTCTAGCACGGGACTTGAACACAGAATCCTTGAGGGGTGGTGGCTTGAACTGTAATGTGGCCATGCATAGCCACAGTCAGTATTAAGAGCTTACCTCGGCCGGGCACGGTGGCTCGCGCCTGTAATCCCAGCACTTTGGGAGGCCAAGGCGGTTAGATCACGAGGTCAGGAGATCGAGACCATCCTGGCTAACATGGTGAAACCCCATCTCTACTAAAAATACAAAAACAATTAGCTGGGCGTGGTGGCAGATGCCTGTAGTCTCAGCTTCTTGGGAGGCTGAGGCAGAAGAATTGCTTGAACCCAGGAGGCGGAGGTTGCAGTGAGTCGAGATCACACTACTGCACTCCAGCCTGGGCGACAGAGCGAGACTCTGTCTCAAAAAACAAACAAAAAAAGCTCACTTGTGCAGGGCCAGGTTCTAGGAAGCACCAGGGAGCTGGGGATGTGGGCCTTATCTTTAAAGGGCCTGCAGTCCACAGTGGGAGCGGGGGAGACCAGGTATGTAGCAAAACTTATACTTAAATAGAATATAAGCAAACATAAAATAATATAGGACAAATGGGTGGCATGAACTTATCATCAAAAAATACCAGAACTATTTCCTGAAGAGGATAAATTTAGAGCAATGCTTCTTAAAGCGTGGAAGTGTGGTAGCAGCCGTCCTGGGGAGCTTATCAGAAGGGCCAGTTCTCAGGCCCCATCCCAGACTCCTGAATCAGAAACACTAGGGTGGAGTCCAGCCATCTGTGTGTTAACCAGCTCTCTCAGTGACTCTGGTGCACACTAAAGTTCGACACCCCCTGATTTCAGTGGAGGGAATAACATGAAAATGTCCATGTTCGATTGGCCACATGCCTTCCTTTTGGAGTAATAACAGCAGCTACTAACGATGTTTTTGAGTATTTGCTGTGTACTAGATACTGTTCTAAGTCTTTTACCTACATCACCCCTGCTACTTCACACAGAGCCTTGTGAAGTAGGTTGTGTCATGACCTGCATTATACCAGCTGATAGAAATAGACGCAGTCTAGAAGGAGACCTGCTCTAGTCTCAGCTCTGCAGCCAGCTCTGCGACTCCAGGCCAGTCAGTTAAGCATGCTGTGCCTGGGTTTCCATCGTCTTTTAAACGGGGTGATAAGACCTGTCTTAGCTGTGTCAGAAGATTATTATTATAAGGATGATATGATTAAATAGCTATATCCTTTCGGAAGTTGGAAGTGTTAAATGCTGTTTAAAGAAGTGTGGCATTTCTTATATTGGCTCCCATGACTTACCCTTATTAAAAGATGGTGTCCGAGTGTCTTGGAGCAGGATTATTTTGGGTTCCTTTTCTGCCACGGGATTTCACTATATAAGACAGAAAAGCCTTTGGAGAAGAAGGAGGGAGTGAAAGAGCAGAGGTCAAGAAAACAAGGCTAGAAGGGGTCTGTTCTGCAGGGAGGTCCTTCCAGAAAGCAGTCCCTCCAGCCTACAGCCTCCAGCCCCCTACTCGGCCCGGTGTAGCTCAGGGTCTGATAAAGGAGGGCGTCGCATCGCTGTCTCTCACCAGAACTCTACTACGATCGCGGGAACCACCATGAGTTTGTGTCCCTGGTGAAGGACCTGGCCCGGCCTGGAGAGATCACCCAGTCGCAGGCCTTCGACTTTGAGTTTACCCACGTGGAGAAGCCGTATGAGTCCTACACAGGGCAGAATGTGAAGCTACGGTAAGTGATGTCTGCTGGTTCCCCACTGTACCCTAGAACCTGCCCCATGTGGACAAGGACCTGAGGCCGTCCCCACTTTGAGAATCTTCACAGGGATCCCGAGAAGGAAGAGTGTCGCGAGCTGTGGCGTGCTGGTAAACCATTAACCGTGGGCCTTCTAGGAGGAAAGTGGCCCTAGGTTGTAGCATGTGTCAATTTCTGTAGTGTACATAGCCCCGCCATGGCCAATTTCAAGCTACCTAATGTTCCTAAATGTAGAGGTGGGAGAGATGTGCTATTACCATCATATGGAGACACATTCCCTCAAGAGCAGAGAGCATTGTAAAGGGCCGGAAAATAGGAAGTGATGAGATTTTCGCATGTCTTACCTTTGTTTTTAACATGATTCATTTAATTGTGAGTTTATATAATTTAACTTTAAATAATTGCTGTGTTTAACAGCCAGGTCATAAAATTCCTGAAAGTTCAACGTCAGCCACCCCCAGCACACTCCTGCTGGCTGGGTGTCAGGAGATCCTGACCTGCTGTCCGGCTCTGCCACACAGCTGCAGTGTGACCTTGAGCTCTGTAACTCAGCTTTCTCACTTCAAAGTGGGTAATGGACTTGGATTCTAATTCTAGATGTCCTCTTCTTTTGGGGGTGATAAGAAAATAAAGTTCTTAAAATGTGAACACATAGGTACATGGATTGTTTTTACTGTTATAGTGTTGGAAACTCTGAGAATAGAGACTGATGCCAAGGTCTTTTGGGTGAAAAAAAATCTACAGCAGATATAGACTGTTAGGTGTAAACTTGAGGTTATGTGATGCTACTGGGATAAAGCAGTCTCCCCTGTGACTCTGAACACCTGATTCCAGGTCTTGATACCATCTCATAAGATCGGTTTATCTCCTCACCTGAGGACCTGAGTTTAGGATGGTACACACCACAAGACCTTTAACTTCTTTTCTTTCTCTGTCCTCCCTTCTTCCATCAGAAGAGTGAAGGCTCTTTTTAAATCTTTGCAGAGGTGGTGGTTCACGCCTGTGATCCTGGCACCTTGGCCAGGAATTCGACACCAGCCTGGGCAACATATTGAGACCCTATCTCTACGAAAAAAAAAAATTTTTTTAATTTTTTTAAAAGAAAAAAAACAAATCTTTGCAGAGAGGTCTAAGACTGACATTACACCCAGTAAAGACAGTGTCTCATAATCGCACCCAGAGAATGCAGCAACCGCGAGGATCATCTAGTCATCACTTCAGTTTGACCGAGGGATTTATTATTTAATTTTTTTTTCTTTTGCAGTGGATTTGTCTTAAGCGTTTGTACGGCAGAAAGAAAGGTGTTGAAACCAGTATAGCAGTGCCTCAAAAAATTAAACAGAATTACCATATGATCTAGCAATTCCTCTTTTGGATCCAGAAGCGGATCCAAAAGAATGGAAAACAGGATCTCGAACGGATATCTGTACACCCATATTCACAGCAGCATTATTCGCAATAACCAAAAGGTAGAAGCAACCCAAGTGTCCATCAGTGGGTAAATGGACACAGGAAATGTGTTTTGTCCGTACAGTGGACTGTTATACAGCCTTCAAAAGGAAGGACATTCTGTCCTATGCTACAACATGGGTGAACCTAAAGGACATTGTGCTACGTGAAAGAAGCCTGTCACAAAAGGACAAATACTGTCTGATTCCATATATATGAGGTACCCAGAGCAGTCAAATTCATAGAGACAGAAAATAGAATGGTAGAGGCCCAGGGCTGAGGGAAGGAGGAAATGGGGGTTGGTGTTTAATGAGTAGAGTTTCAGTGGCGGAAGGTGGAAAAGTTCTGGAGACTGATGGTGATGTTTGCACAATACGAATATCATTAATGCCACTGAACTGTATAATTAAAAATTGTTAAAGTGGTAAATTTTATGTTATACGTATTTTGCCACAATAAAAGAAAAGTGTTAATGTCCAAATCACATGAAGACTTTAGGATTCATGTTGCGAAAGAGAGGAGGTAGAGATAGGAAAATTAGTTGAGGACAGTTTAAAGATGTAACTTCCAGATTAAAAGCTTTTTCTTATTACACAGGCAGAGGGAAAACATGAAAAGATTATTGTGGACTTTTCTTTTGTCTTTAGGCAGAGAAAAGGTTATTTTGGAAGATTGGAGTCCATATGTAGCATTTGGTGGATGGGAAGAGTGTAGAGACAAAACTATCAGAAGGCTATTGTGAGGTCCTCCGAGTATGATTTTGGTGGCTGTAATGGGAACAAAGAGAAAGTGAGGAATGTAACAGACACCAGCAGAGATTACCAGTGAGTGCAGGCATGCAGCCGTGGAGATGGAGACAGAGGGCTATCAGGAGGAAGAAATGATCTGGAGATAAGGTGATTCATCCAGCTCTAGAGGGCAGGCTGAAATACTGGCAAAATAGAGAAAGCATAAAAGTTTAGCAGACAATTGGAAGCGCAGACCTGGCACTAAGGACAGAGGGGACACTTAGAAATGTGCAGTCAGGACTGATCTGCTCAGAGGTCATAACTGATACGTTTTTGAAGAAAGGGAGCACAAGGAGAGGAGAGCCAGGACCCACCAGGGCATGGCAGGAGGAGGAGAGGGGGGTGAATCAGGGCAGCGCCTCTGTGGAACCGCGGGAAGAGTGTTTCAAGGAAGAAGTGTTTCACGGGACGCAGAATCAAGGGCTGCTGGATTTGGCAGCTGGGAGGCCATGGGTTACTGACCTCGAGGCGAGCGGTTTCTGTTGGGTGGTGGAGACAGAAGCAAGGGGTTGGGAGGAGTGGTTCGTGGAGAAGCCTCAGCTGTTGGTGCAGAACCCGCCTTGTGACAGTTGTCTCTGAAGAAAGGAAAAGAAAGTATGGTAGGTCAAGAGGGTAAGGCCTGGAGAGGGTTCTTGGGATTGGTGACTTTGGAAACCAATTTTTTAATAAGCTCAGAGGAAAAGGCCTTTAGCTAGAGGGAGATTGATGATCTTGGGGAAATCAGAATATGTAGAAGGATCCAGATGCCGGACCAAGGCTTCCACATTAGAATCATGTGGGAAGCTTTTTAAAATGCGAATGCCTGTGTCCCTTTCCAGACAATCACATATCAGGTGTGCCCAGGCAGCAGGATTCTTAAGGGCTCTCCTCTCCTGGTGATTTCATTGTGCATCCATATGGAGAGTTCTTGGGCCGGAGTGGGGAGGAGAGGTCTTGAGAGGGAGAGGTGCTGTTGGAGACAGGATGGGTGAAAATGCAGAGACATGTTTAGGCCTTAAGTAAGGAACAAAGCAGAGGAAGGAGCACATTGTAAGTCTTGACTGGGAAGGCCTTCATCTTCTTAGTGGAGTAAAAGTCAGTGTCTTCCCAGACAGCGGGGTGGGGAGACTTGGGAGGCTGAGCAGTTAGAAGAGGGCTAGGGACAGGTGTCTTGGGCAGTGTGATGGTTACTGAGGTGAACCGAAAGGATCCCCAAGAAGCAGCCAGTGCCACACAGAGGATAGTAGCCGAAATGTGTAGTTGGTATGGCTAGCATATCTTTATGTATTTATTTATTTATTTTTATTTGATTTTATTTTTTAGACGGAGTCTCGCTCTGTTGCCCAGGCTGGAGTGCAGTGGCTTGATCTCGGCTCACCGCAAGCTCCGCCTCCTGGGTTCACGCCATTCTCCTGCCTCAGCCTCCCGAGTAGCTGGGACTACAGGCGCCCGCCACCACGCCCGGCTAATTTTTTGTATTTTTAGTAGAGACGGGGTTTCACTGTGTTAGCCAGGATGGTCTCGATCTCCTGACCTCGTGATCCGCCCGCCTCTGCCTCCCAAAGTGCTGGGATTACAGGCGTGAACCACCGCGCCTGGCCATATCTTTATAACTTCATCTGGTAATGCTTGACAGATGGTGGGGATTATCTAAGTTTTATTTAAAAGAAAATACAATTTATTATATTACATTAGATTATATTAAAATAATGTTTTATGGAGAAGGAAATACAATTAAAGAGCTCCTCCTCATTGAGTGTTAGCACAGTGCTAAGTGCCGGGGATGACAGTGCTGCACTGGCGGGCCACAGAGGGCAGCTTGTTAAACCCTTCAGGGCTGTGTCTCTGTCTTCTCTCTCATCCCCTCCACAGCAGCGTCCTCCCCAGGGATCCTAGGTTCAGCCAGAGACTTGTTATTCAACAGACCAGGTCCTGTCTGCCCCTGTGGCATATAAGGTTTGCTCTCCTGGAATGCCCTTTTCTCCCTCCACACAGCACTGGATCGCAGCATCTCAATTAGCCCTTTCCGTGTGTTCCCATTTCTCTATTTGCCCATCTCCCCCGGTGAACTGTGAGCTTCCCATGAGACTGTATCTTATTCATCCTGTGCTTAGCCCAGTGCTTAGCTCAGTAAATGTTTGTGGAATGAATAGCTGACTTAATTTCTCTCTTTCCTAGTCCCCTCTTTTAACTTAAGAAAGGTTTATTGGGACACTTTAAAAAGGTTTATTGATTGAATATTGTTCGGTGAACAAACATGCAAAGATAAAACTACGAGACGGACTCCTTTGCCCCAAAAGCCAGGAGTTAGCTGATGAAATAAAACCTGTACACAAATACATGGTCAGTAGTGGTAAGGGCCGTGAAAGGCCCAAGAATAACATGTGATTGGGGTACAAGGCAGAGAAATCACTTTCCCTTACAGCAGGATTCTTGACCCGGGGGCATGGGCTCCCTAGAGGGATTTGGGGGAAGGGTCTTTGAACTCCCTAGAATTGTGGTTGAAAAGGTCTCTGTATAGGTACATATGTGCATCTTTCCCTGGAAGAGGGTCTGTAACTTCTTAAAAGGATACAAAGCCCTCAAGGGTTAAGAACCTTTGTACAGGCTTCTCTCAAGTGGGCCAATTTGGTACCTATATCTAGGTAGCATCTGGAGACTGGGAGTGTTTATTCATGACAGTTCCGTCTCCTACAGCTATTTCCTTCGTGCTACCATCAGCCGCCGCCTCAATGATGTTGTCAAAGAGATGGACATTGTAGTTCACACACTCAGCACATACCCAGAGCTGAACTCTTCCATCAAGATGGAGGTTGGGATTGAGGACTGTCTGCACATTGAATTTGAGTACAATAAATCCAAGTAAGTGTCTCAGTGCCAAGGTTGTGAAATGATTATTTAAGGAGGTTAAGATGGGACTTGATGCAGATGCAAACTGATGACCCTCTGTGACTCGACTGCTTTGTGGTGGCATGCGGTGGGGGAAGACCGTGGGAGCAATCCAGTGAGTGTCTATGGCAGGCCAGCTGCAGCTGGACCGACCACGACGTAAACACTTCATTTACCTAAACTAAACCATATTCAACTAAGGTGGTGTCTTTAAGTTAAACATCCTATGATGCCTCTCAGTCAAGCTAAACTAACTTGAGGTTATTTGTTTTGGAATTCCAGCTTCAGCTGTTTCCCGCTACTGCTAAGAACAATCTCAGAATACCATTCCATTATCATGTGCTCCCTCCATCTGTGTCTTCAGAAATCAAAGCGACGAAACCAAATATTGGCCATGATTTGCTGCTTCCTCCCTGAACTAAAATGAATTATAGCAAAGAATATTGGATTTTTTTTTCAAGATGGGGTACAGTGGCCCAGTCATGGCTTACTACAGCCTTGACCTCCTAGACTCAAGCATTTCTCTCACCTCCGCCCCTACAAGTAGCTAGGAGCACAGGCATGCACCGCCACACCCAGCTAATTTGTGTCCGTGTGTGTGTGTGTGTGTCCGTGTGTGTGTGTGTGTGTGTGTGTGTGTGTGTGTAGCCAAGGTTTCATAATGTTGCCCAGGCTGGTCTTGAACTACTGAGCTCGTGATCTGCCTGCCTTGGCTTCCCACAGCGCTGGGACTACAGGCATGAGCCACCATGCCCAGCCCTGATGTATTTTTTATAAAAGTCTTAAAATGACTTTATTTTAACTGGCAAGTTGGGAAGATGTATATCTTTTAAACTGTGTTTACTGTTAGAACATCAAAATAATTAGCCAGTTATAAATAAATCACAAAACTTTCTGACAGGGTATTTCAAAAGCATCTTTCTTTTGAATATGATATTCCTGAGAATGTTTGGAACTCAAATATCCAAAAGTAGAAAGGGTATTCTATTCACAGAGAGCTATACAAAGAAGCCACAAAGTCTCTAAGTAGGATTTTCATTGTGGCACCCCCTGGACCACTGTCATCCAGAGGCTGGGAGCAGTGGGAGCTGCACCAGATGGCTCACCTTTGAAGGGTCAGGAACAGAACTTTTTAAAACTAGGAACATATATGGTTCTTGGAACAGGGTTGGAGGAATGGTGTGTTTTTTCCCCTGGCAGGCCTGGAACCTAGAGGGCCCCAGGAAAATGACCAGTGTGACCCAGAATTGGCTCTGCCTCGCCTAAGCCCACCAGTGAACAGAGAGTGAGGCAAGGTGGGAGGGAGGCTGATCTGGGCCTGGCATGGGAACAGGTTCTCCCCCTTTCTCCTTATAGCCTCAGGGCTCTGCGGTCCTGCCCAGAAAGGAGCCATCCAGAGTGCCTACCCACTACTGTCCTGACCATCTGGTGAAGGCAGAGGCCAGCAGCTGTGCCACCCGTAGGAGCTCAAAGCAGCCACTGGTCATCAGTGCATGCCAGACCAAAGCTAGTGTGGAAAAGGTGCTCTAGAGAGGCAGGGACGGGACACTTTCAGACCACACCTCTCCTTGCACAGCGAGCTGCTCTGTGTGAGTGCCTGATTTATATGCCAGAGAACTCCAGACTTGGAACCAGGTCCTGCTCTTACACTAAGAAGTTGGGCGGTCAGCAGATACTAACATTTTGTATCTCGGCTTCTCATCTGTAAAACGAGGAGCTTGGACCAGATCAGTGGGTTTCAAACACACAGAAAGTGTGAGGTGGCAGCGGAGCTGAGATCCTTAGACCCTCTGGCCTTCCGCTTTTCTTCCATCCACAAGCAACGTTTTTGTTGGGTTTTTGTTTTTTGTTTTTTAACTCTCCCCGCTTACACCTAGAGCAGCTTTTGCTTCTGTATAACATTTAGAATACAGGAATGTGTGATTTGTAGGAGTTTGAAAACATCTCGAATCCATGGTCTCTAAGCATCCCCTGTAAGATGGCGCAGGTGGTCTCCTGCTGCTTTTGCAAATTTGCTGAGGCTGTTTGCTCAGGTGTCTGCAGTCTTCCTGTAGCCTGTGCACAGAAGGGTGGTGTGAAACAGTGGGGAACACTCCAGCCTGGGGACTAGGATCCTGGGTTTACCACCTTTCTCTACCCCCTACTCACATCCTGGTTATCCAAGAGAACATTATCTCTTTTCTTCCAACTGCCTTTTCTTCACCTGTAATATAAGGAGGCTGAATTCTGATGTCCATGCCAGCATTCTTATCCTGTGAGCTGAGCATCAGGTTTTAAGATTTTACTCGTTCTCTCATGCCTGATACGGGCTGTGCACATGTAGACTATTGACTGACCCAGAGAAAAAACCCTGAGGGTCAGGAAGTGTTACCCAATGTGGCTCACTTCGTAACAACTCACAAGGCCAGGCCAGCGGAGCCCAGAAAGCAGGCGCTGATGCCGAGAGTGATTTGCTCTTCTCACTCTACTGCTGCTGCCTGGCCTGTCGGCCTAGAGCGGACAGAACTGTGTGCTTTGAGCCATCCAGGTCCAGTTCTCTAAAGACATTGTGTGGAGATCAGAGGAAGGGAGAGACTGGTCCCTGCGCTTGTGGGACTAGCCTCTCATACATTAGGATATCTTTCAAAAACACAAATATAAAAGGTACTAAAGCAGCTGCATGCTGGGGAGATAGAGCAGATGAACAAACATGAATGGGTACCATGCAGGAGAGACGTCCTTTGCGTGGGATGTGGAAGGGACAGAAGCTACTTTAATCCAAGTAAAGACCGCACTGGGAAACAGTTCAGCCACAGCCATGTGGGCAGTGATGGGTGAGTGTGTCCTGCAACTGGACGTTTAACCAGCACGCTTGGCCGTGGCGTGTGCGCTCTACTGAAACAGAAAGGTCTGGCCACAGTACCAACATCTTACTTTCTGTACTTTCTGTTCCCCAGATACCACTTGAAAGATGTCATTGTAGGGAAGATATACTTCCTGCTGGTGAGAATCAAAATCAAGCACATGGAGATAGACATCATCAAGCGAGAAACGACGGGTACAGGCCCCAACGTGTACCATGAGAATGACACGATAGCCAAGTACGAGATCATGGACGGGGCACCAGTGCGAGGTGAGACTCCAGGCCCAGGCCTCGGCTACCACAGCTTTTCTCCCATGTCCTGCACAGAATTCTGGAGGGGCTTGAGGGATTACACTGTCAAAATAAGATGTCCTCTTAACCTGTAACTTCTTAATCTCTCAGTTTACACCGTGGGTGGCCATAAGGAAGAAAAGGAAGGCTGAGTGTGTAGAACTTGAGGCTACTATCCCATCTTCACCCTGAAAAGTTGCACTTAGACTTGGATTATATATCGGGCTTGTACTGAAGATTGAACCTCAAGCGTCACTTTGGAAGGTCCAGGTTTAGCAGATGTGGTTTGAAAACGTTTCTGCTTCTTCCTGTTGACATTCTGGCATTCTCTGCTGCTCAGGAGCAAGGGATGCATGCACAGCAGCCTGTCTGTGACTTGGCTCTAGCTCCGATTTATTTTCTGAATTCACTTGTCAGGTAGAAAGAGCACTACTAGATACTTCAGCCAACACCACCAGGTACCCAGATAGCCCTGGAATTTGCTGGAAGCATCCTCTCCCAGCCCCAGGGAGCTAACATTACATCTGGGTTAGTAGAGCTGGAAGCCCTTTGTCATTTGGGGACCGTGATTATCTGGAAGAAGCAATCATTTACATTCTTCATTGGCTCTTTAGCCATCCCTCAGGAATGGCGAAGACTCTTCATTTTGAAGTGCATGGTGCTTCCAGGGTTTTATTGGCTTATTCCTTTTACTCCCACAGGCTGTTCCATGTGGAAGGAGGAGCGCCACAGATTTAGCTGCCTGCAGCTCTGGGGACACGCGGGTGTTACCATGCCAGGCCCTTGGAGGGTTGGGACCAAGCTCTCCTGACACTCTCTGATGTCCCATTTTGTCACTGGCTGTGCAAATAGAGCCAGCTGTCATTTTTCCTGTACAAATGAAATGGGTCACTGAGAATGCATGTAAAAGAGCAGATAATGATAAGATGGCTTATATTTAGCTTTAGACCACATTATAGGTTTGGCCTTTCTTGGTAGAATTACTGCCCTAATTTTGTTCCACTGATACTAGAAACGGTCTGATGTTAGAGCTGGAAGGGATCTGTAGTATCACGCAGTCCGATTCTCTAATTTTCCACATGAGAAAATGAAGGTCCAGAGGAAGCAGAGACTTAACTCACAAATCAGAAAAGCGGTTCTTGCAGAACTGAGGCCATAGTGAGGACTTTCTGCTTTCCACCATACCACCTTGCCAGTCCACACAAGAGGGAGGATGTATTTTGGGGGGCATACACTGAGGATGGAGAAAGATGGCATCAGAACTGCTGGGTGAAGTGGTGGCTTAACTGGACTTTGACAGCTGCCTTTTGAAAACCCCAAAACTAAACACACTGCATGTAATCAAAAGATGCTTATACTAATAATGACCTGTGCTGTTCCCACTCAGTTGCTCTCTGTTTTCGAGAAGACATGAGAAGCTGCAACATGACCTGGAGTGGAACTGGAGAGTCACATTTTTGTTTCAGCCACCTGCTGGGCAGCAGAGCGACTGCACCTTCCCAGAAGGCTGAAGTGCTCGTGTGCTGCACTCCAGTGGCATCTCTGCAGTGGTCAGAGTGACCTGGTATAAGGGAGAGGGCATCACCTTGCCCCCTGTGCTGACTCCTGCCCTCCCCCTACAGGAGAGTCCATCCCGATCCGGCTCTTCCTGGCCGGGTATGAGCTCACGCCCACCATGCGGGACATCAACAAGAAGTTCTCTGTGCGCTATTACCTCAACCTGGTGCTGATAGACGAGGAGGAGCGGCGCTACTTCAAGCAGCAGGTGAGGGCCAGGCTCCTCCAGGCCCCGATGCCCTTGGGACAGAACAGGAGGCTCTCTTTCCTATGGAAGGTCAGACTCCATTTTTGCCAAGAGGTGGGAACATTAGGTCGCCCACAATTGCACAACAAGAATGAGGATTCTCACCTGGCCTTAGAGTCTGCTTCCTCGGGCCTTCTCCTGCAACCACCTGCCCTTTTGGCCCACACCAGGGACAGGGAGGTGCTGGCAGCTGCTGCCTTTGGTGAGAGAGAAGCAGAGGAGGTCCTTGCCCGAGATTCCCCACGTCAAAGTTGGGAGCCTCTAGGAAACCTGTCCCCATGCCTCCCTCTAAGGTGTCACATTGCCCCCCTTTCAATTCTGCAGGAAGTGGTGTTGTGGCGGAAGGGTGACATCGTACGGAAGAGCATGTCCCACCAGGCGGCCATCGCCTCACAGCGCTTTGAGGGCACCACCTCCCTGGGTGAGGTGCGGACCCCCAGCCAGCTGTCTGACAACAACTGCAGGCAGTAGGCCCCCAGGGCCGAGAAGATGCTGGGCACCCACCCAGCACCCCCATCTACCAACACCAGCGGCTGGGGGCGGGGGCGGACCTTGTGAGGCTCAGTTGACCCGTTACTTGCAACCTGAAAACAAATCATGTTTTTGACTTAAATTCTTTTCTCTGGAGAACCCAAGGGGCTTGGGGTGGGAAGCAGTCTCTCCTTGGGATTCTGCGGCCGATGTGGGATAGAAGAGGTAGCATCCTGGAAGCCAGCCTCTCTGGGGAACATGAGCCCCCTTCCTCGGGGGGCTGCCTTGCGTCTTAGAGGAGGGAGAGCAGAGAGCACGCATCCTTGGCTCCTGGCTCTCTGAGCTTCCTGATACAGGATCTGAGCATGTCCCTGGGATTCTGAGCTGCCAACAGGGCCCTGGGTAGTCACATCTTGTACTCCCCTTTGCTGTCCCGGAGGTAGTGGCAGGAGTTGGGCCAGCCCCCACTAAGTGGCAGGGGAAGACTCACGATTGGGAAGCTACCTCTTTGGGAATCTTGGATGTGGTGATCTCAAGTTCCCACAGGCCACCTCCTTCTGGCCACTCACTGCTGGGACCCAGGCACCTCCCTTCTCCATCCTCTCTGGATTGTCAGTAATGTCCTGGAACAGAAGCCTGTGGGATGGCCTTGGGCACGGAGAAGCCCTGGGGTCAGTGTCGTGCACGGATGGCGGCAGTGTTGAACCCAGGAGGCTGAACCCGGCCCACCACGGAAGATGAGTGCATGGCAACCGCCTGCCTTCACGTCGCTCCACTTGGTAACCCCAAGGTCTGGGCTGTTCTAGGTATTGCTTCACGTGCCCCAGCAAGCCCTTAACAAGAGGGCCTGGTTCCCTGAAGAACCAATCCCAGGAAGGGGCCTTGATCCCTCCGCCTTGCTGAGAGTGAACCCTCGTCTCTCCTCACCCTCCATTTCATTTCTGGGAATTGGGGCTTAGTTTCGAACCTTTGGCAAGGCTGTTCTTACTAATGCCCAAGCCCCTTTACCCCTCTCCCTATAGGTTACACAGGGGAGACCAGGGCCTCGGCAGAAGACTGCTGCCACACTTCCGAATCATTCTGCTTGCCAAATAGGTCATCTTCACCAGTTGACTGACCCAAGTTTAGGACCATTGGTATCGTGTGTTTAAAAAACACATATAAAAAAACTCTTGTGAATATTCTTGTTATGCTAGAGAGGAAGGTACTTCTCCCTCTACGGCTCTGCGCTGGGGCCTATGGTAGTAAAGTTGTTTACTGTCCTTTTTCTGCTTCCCCTGGAAATGACAGGCATTACTCTCCCATTGGCCTCCCTTCCCTTTATAGAAAGACCAAGCAGGCCCCACTGGCCAAGAGGTACGGTATTTGGCAGTCTGAGTTCTCAGTAATTTGGAAAGTTAAGGAGTTGGTTCCTGTGTCACCTTTCAGTTAGTGTGGGAAAGGAAGACTTCTGTTTTCCTGAGATCAGTGCAGTCTCAGGCCTTTGGCAGGGCTCATGGATCAGAGCTGAGACTGGAGGGAGAGGCATTTTGGGTAGCCTAGGAGGGCGACTGGCGGCAGCAGAACCGAGGAAGGCAAGGTTGTTTCCCCCACGCTGTGTCCTGTGTTCAGGTGCGACACACAATCCTCATGGGAACAGGATCACCCATGCGCTGCCCTTGATGATCAAGGTTGGGGCTTAAGTGGATAAGGGAGGCAAGTTCTGGGTTCCTTGCCTTTTCAGAGCATGAGGTCAGGCTCTGTATCCCTCCTTTTCCTAGCTGATATTCTAACTAGAAGCATTTGTCAATTCCTTTGCCTCCCAACTGACAACACACGTTCATTTTCCAACCTTCCTAACATCTTAAACCTTTCTTCTGGGAGAACTAGAAGACAGAATTTGCTTTGATTCTCTCAGGCGCTGTGCACAAGCCAGGTCTTCTGTTTTCTCTTTCTTACTCTACCCACATTCTTGCCTTCTCTATCCAACTGTGAAAGTGAGGGGAGGCTCCTGTCCCCCTCTCTTAAGGTCCCCAAACCTGGGAGTGCATAGGTACTAAATCAAGCAGTGCAACTTGTAATTAAGCAGCTGCAGTGTTTACATGTTTCTTAATGTGTCATCTTTTCAATGGCTGTATTAAAAGAAGAACGTTTGTTTTAATGGTCTTTCTGATTAAAGAAAGCCCCTGTGGCTTTGGAGGCATTGTGCCCACGGTCCACCAAGTTCTGTGGTCTCTTCCGTCTTACATGGTCCCAACTCCGACACTCAGGGAAAGACAGATCCCTGCCCTGATTTCCCTACATAGTGCCTGTGCTCTCACTGTATAGCCCCGGGTGAAAAATGATGAATACTTTATTAGCCACCTGTTTGAGACAAGCACATGGCTGAGAAATGAATTCAGTTCTTATCCCTATCTGGCAGTTTATCCAGAACTGCTCATGGGATGGTTTAAACCTCTGTGGGACCCAGAAGATGAAAGGGGCAGGTGAGCAAGGCTGGTGTAGAAAGAAGAGTTCATTCCAGTGGGTGTTACCAGACTGAGGATCTCAGCCCTACGTCATGCAATTTGCTACAGAACTACTAGTGATCGTAAAGAAAGAAGGTGGAGGCAGCTCTGCATCTGGGAGCGGCCAAAGGAGCCCGCCTGGAGGTAAGAGGTCTGCAGTGGGGAGTATCCCACTGCACTCAGTGTGGTTTTAGAAGAAAAGTTCTTCAACTTTGATATTTTATTGAAAAAAGTACACAAAAACCACTGAGGTACACAAGCCCAGGTAAGCATACCAAGCAAGCCCCCTCACACCTTTTGTCTGAAAAAAGCTTGACTTCTTTGCAGCAATGTCTCGCCCATTCCAGCAGCAGTATCTCAGTTAACTTGGTTCCTTTTCCTCCAGGCTCAAAACAAAATCAAACTCTTCTACAAAAAAAAAAGGGAAAAAGGAAGGATTAGTTTTTAATGTCCCCTCTTGAACAGGAAAGTTGTGCCAGGCACAGGTACATCTTACATGGTACTAAGGCGAGCAGTCATTCGTTCAAAACTATTTACCAGGTGCCAAGCACTATAGAGTACTGGGTAATAGTAACAGGTAACTCTGGCCACATTCCCTCCCTCATGGGTGTTACAGGTGAGGATGCTGACTGAGAAAGGTGAAGTACCATGCCCAAGTTTAATCAGCTAGTAAGTGGGAATTCATGAGGTCATTCTGGTATATGGACAATAAAGGAGAGGGCCCACTCTTACCCTGGGTCAGGGGCTGGATTGATAATCTCTGGCGAGTGAAGAGAACCATATTTTTTAAGGGGCCACCAGTAGCTTTGTGAGCTTGATGATAGGATTTGAGCTCAGCCAGGGGAATGAAACGTTTCATCATCCGAACAAACTGTACATCCACCTATGTGACAACAGTGTACATGACAGAAAGACGTGTCTAGGCTGACTGTGCCCACTGTATTTTTAACCGCCCACAGGAAGCTCCTATCTCAGTATCACCTCATCTGAGTAAGTGCTGGGCCGTGTACCTTGACCTACAGTCACCCCAACCGTCTTCTTCCCCTGGTTCATCCTTCCCCTGTCATGAAATAGAAAGCATAGTCTTTACCATGGACCACTTAGGGTTGTCCTCTTTGCTAGATGGGTCATAATGGGGATTGTTTTTCTCAAACTGTGTGTGGTCTGGGTAAGCCTCTTTCACGATCTGAAACCAAAACAAAAGCTTTGAATCATCTGCCTGCAGTCAGCTCCACAGCCAATCTTTTAATCCATATCCAACTTTCATTTCTTCCCTGCACATTCTTAACCCATCTGCCTTGCTGTACAGCCAATGGGGGCTCAGATATTTGGAAACAATATATAGTCTAATATATAGACTAGGAAATCAACTCTGTTTTTACAAAAGTCTTAAAAACATGCTCTAAAAACAAATGGCAAAGGTTATTACTGGTACCACTGTTTTTTTCCCCTCTGCACAGTTAATAATTTTATCCTGATAAGCTTGGAGGAGCTATCATCAGGCCTGTTTTCGAGTGAGATCAAGACTTAGAGGTGGAGTGAAGTCTGTGCTAGTCGGACCTGAATGAAGGCCTGCTTTGAGTTATCAGATAGGAAGGGGCCAGGGCAGTTTTTCCCTATTCCTGTAAAAGGGGGATGGGGTGGGGGGGAGTGTACTTTTTTGTTGCCTAATTAAGGTATATCCCTTTATATCTACTTAAGTTAGTCTCCCTGGAGGAAAAGGGATTCACACCAAAACCTGCCCAACTAACCTTCATGAGTCCTGCGATGCCTGGCTCTTTGCAGTTGCTATGGTAGAAGAAGGCTTCTTCTCCCAGCTTCATGGCTCTAAGGAAGTTCCGAGCCTGTCCCGGGAGAAGAAAGAGTAACTATCCTCCCACCAGCTGGAAAGTACTAGCTTTTAGCAGAAATCAAGTCTGCTTTTAATAGATGGGTGATTCTTGTCTGCAACTCCTCAATTCATTAGAAAGTCCTTCCCCTTTGCCAGGACACCCAGACTTTTACCAGGACATTGGCCAGAACACAGGCCAATTGAAAATTTCATGCAGAGTACTTAAGGCATTTTTTAATACATTATCAGGTTTGCTTCTGAGAAAAAGCAACCTTGGCCAAGAGGTTCTGCTACTGAGTACGTCATGAGGAGGAGGCAGGCATTCATCCCACCTGGGTCTCAGGCGACCTCCTCCTTACCCTCTTACCTGGTAGTTACGAACACCATCCCAGCATGTTGTCTGTTTGGGCTGTGCTTTGAGATCCTCAATGCTGAACTAGGCAAGAGGAAATAAATTCAATCATTAAACAATCCTTGGCCAGTTAGTAAGCACATATGGAAGCAGACAGTTCCTTCCCCTAAAATGAGAGGGGCCACTGGCTATAGAGGAAGTATGTAGTTCACCGGGAAGTGGCTCCACAGAGACACTTTTGCTGGGTGAATGTAAGTAAGCCTTGTGTTACCTTGTTATCCTTGCTAATTATGAGGATTAGCTGAATGAATAATCTAGGTGATAAAGTAATCTGCTAGTTACTTGCATTTTACTTTATATTTATAATAGTTCTGCTTATATTTTTCCCAGGCTATATTAAATTCCCTGAAATATACATCAACTGTTGGCAGGGAGACACCTAGGAGCATGGCAGGTGTTCAGAGAAAGGTAACCTAAGATTGAGGTTGGCAGACTATAGCCTTCAGGACAAATCTAACCCCATGCTGGATTTTGTGAATAAAGTTGAACTTGAACACAGCCACAGCTGTTTACTTATTATCTGTGGCCACTCTCTTGCTACAAGGGCAGGGTTGCAACAGAGACTGTAACACGCACAAGCCTACAAAATTTACTATCTGGCCCTTTGTGGCAAAGGTTAGCCAACCCCTGCCCTAGATACACAGGTTCACAAACCAGCTGATGATAATAAACCCTGCCGATTTTATTCATTTTTACCTTTTTCCTTCCCTTCAAAGATAAGAAGCTGGGGATGGAACCCTATGGTGTCCCATATTCACTTCTCATTTAAAAAACACCATGAAGGGACTGGAGACAGGTCAAGGGTCTCACCTTCACATCTACACCTTTCTCTAGGCGGCTCTCTGGCTCTGACTTCATCAGCCAGTGGCTGCTTAGATTCTTCAAACAGTTTTTAGTGGCTGAAGTCTTCTGAGGGTTGGAGTCCTCCACTTTAGCTAATGCCTCACCTGAGTTCTCAGTTTTGGTGCGTTTTCCTGATAGTCCCTTGTCTGCAATAGGAGAAGCAAAAAGAAAAGATCATGCTTGTTAAAGGCAATGTTTCATAATGGAAAAAGCTTAGCTTTGGAGTCAGACCTGGATTCAAATCATGGATCCATTACCAGCTGTAGGAACTTAATCTTACTGTTAAGAAGCTTTCCTTATCTATAAAAATTAGACAAGAATACCTACCTTACAGGGTATCTTCTGGATTATCTATTCAATAGGGTAAGAACACCTTACAGGGTTGTTCAGGATTAAAGGTCCGGACAGTAGTCAATACATGTTTTCCTTTCCTCACTCTCTCTTCTATGCCTTTGCATAGGAAAGAGGAAACTGAGCACCTACTTGCAACTATTTTGAAGCTTAAATGAGGTAATACAAAGGGCCTAGACAATGCCTGGCATTACAATAAGTGCATAATAAAAGCATTATTATTCTCATCTCATACGTCTTTCCTTCTTGCTCACTGTGGCTCCTGGCCCATCTCCTTTCTGCTCCTTGAAGGTGCCAATAAAAGTTGAAAGAAACAGTTCATTCAGGACATTGTAGAAAAATGGTGATGATTCGATTTCATCCCAAGACAATCAGAATGTGCCTGGAACACAGTAGGCATTCAGTAGCTAAGTTGTTAAATTACTATATGACAGGGCCCAAGGTCTATGTGTTACCCTAACCCTAACTCGGTTAATCTACATAACCTGTGAGATGTTCTACTCTTCATCTGGGAAGCATGCTCCAGATCACACATCCAGTAATGGTGGAATCAAGATATGAGGTCAGCACCTGTCACTGAGGTCTATCTGAAGCTACTTAATGACTATACTGCCTCTGAATTTAGTCAAAGTCCCTACATCAATTGTCATTAAATACCATTTATGGCTGTCTAATGCTCTGAACCCAGCATACCTTCCTAACCTAGTTTCCTAATGGCCCCTTAGGAGTTAACAGGCCCACTGCAAACACCACATATTGATAAATAACTGCAATGTGCTGTAGTATATCTGGAACCCCTGTCATTCCCAAAAGAGGTACTTTCTGTACCTTCCAATGTTCCTCCTCCTCCATCCACTTAGAATGCCATCCATCTTTGTGATTATAAAAACGACATCACGTTTTCTTAGTACTAAACTTTGCCCGTGGAAAGTCTCCCATTCTTCAAGGCTGGGCTCAAATTCCACATCCTTCTCGAGGCCTTCCCCGTGATTCCTCCCTCCATAAACTTAACAATCCATTTTCCTGAACCCCATCACATCTGTTTGCAGTTCACCCGCAAGCAGGCGCTTTATATTCTTTAGCACGCCACCTGGTATCTCAAAGAGTCTTTGTGCACAACAACCATTGCCTGAATAAACAAGAAAAAGGAACTGTAGGTAGGAGCTTGGTGAGACAAGTAAAGAAGATGGAGAGTGATTAAGGATAATGGAGTAAAAATATCACAAAGGGTTCTCAAAAAGCAGGGAGTGAAAAATGAGTACTAAACAGGCTCTTCGAGAAAAGTTTTTTCTTGGGCTGCCTTTGTGCAGCCTAGGGGCAGCTCACCTGAACCAGAAGTCCCAGCCAGCCTCTTCCGGGGTCTCGACATGGTCACGCTGCAGGGGACTTTAGTGCGGACGATTCTGGAATCAACGGAGATACAAGAAAGAATGCTAATGTCCTCCAAAACCCGCGCAGAGCGAGATGGAGGCAACGAGAGGCAGCCTAGAACGTCTCCAACTTTTGCGAAACACAGACGCCTACGTTTGAGCCCTCAAATCCTTCCCTCCGTTATCTGCGCCATTTCCATCTCGCATAACCTGCCCCTAAACTCTTCTCGGTTCTGTCCTTGGTCCTTCTCATCCAGGAACCCCTATCTCAGTATGTAGTTCACTGGGAAGTGGCTCCACAGAGACACTTTTGTTGGGTGAATATAAGTAAGCCTTGTGTTACCTTGTTATCCTTGCTAATTAGGATCAACTGAATGGATAATCTAGATGATGAAGTAATTTGCTGGCTACAGACCCAACACTCTGCAGACTCGACTGCGGTCCGCCTCCGCTGCGCCGCAGGCTGTGCAGCGCGACCCCCGCGGCGCTTGGTGGGCGGTGCATCTCTGCGGCGCCGAGGCCCCGAGGACTTCTGGGAATTGTAGTCCTGTCCCCTTGGGAGCCCGCCTGGCACCTGGGTTGTTAGGGCTCGTGGGAGGACTACAACCCCCAGGGTGCAGTGGGACAGGCGTTGCCGGGTCGCAGGTCCCGCCAGTGCGAGCGCAACGGAGGTCGAAGGCGTTCAGACTCTTAGCTGAACGCGGAGCTGCGGCGGCTATGCTGTGGAGCGGCTGCCGGCGTTTCGGGGCGCGCCTCGGCTGCCTGCCCGGCGGTCTCCGGGTCCTCGTCCAGACCGGCCACCGGAGCTTGACCTCCTGCATCGACCGTAAGGATCTCCTGGCGGGCAGTAGGACAGGTGTCCAGAACCCCGGCGGACATATGTCCGCGAGGGGCTGCAGTCTCCCCGTTCCATCCAGTCACCCCGGCGTCAGCTCCCCTTCCGGCCAGTCACCCCCCCGGCCTGGCTCCCTACTCCGGCCGGTCACCCCCGGCCTGGCTGCCCCCTCCGGTCGGTCACCACCATCCGGGTCCCCATCTGGCCCGTCACCCCTGCCCGGGTCCTCCTCCGGCCGGTCACCCCCGCCCCGGTCCTCCTCCGGCCGGTCACCCCCGCCCCGGTCCTCCTCCGGCCGGTCACCCCCCGCAGGTTCCCCTCCGGCCGGTCATCCCCCCGCAGGTTCCCCTCCGGCCCGGGTCCTCCTGCGGCCGGTCACCCTCGGATGCTTAGAGAAGTGAAGAAACTTGGGGCTTGGTTGTTGTTGGGTTGGTTGGTTTTTAATCATAACAGTAGGTCATAAAAGCAGTGAGAATATAAGAAGCTGGCTGGGTGCTGATGGTGACAACTGCACAAGAACTCCAGGTCATACAAGATTTGCTCACACACAAAGATTTGGTATCTTAACACCTCTGGCTATAAGACACTTTTAGTGTTGAAACTCATGCAGGAAAAATAATTATTATTGCCAGTGGGAAACTCTACCAGAGCTGACAAACTTGAGTGTCTTTAGGCTCTGAACAGTAATTTGAATGTAGCGAGGAGTGGTGGAGACCCGGCCAGTTTGTGACTTCTCTGCCAAGAATGTTTATAAACACTTTTTTCTTCTGAAATATTTTTAAATTTATTTTAAATAAATGGCAGTTTTCTTTACAACAGAATAAGTCCCTTAGATATCAGATCTATAAAGTACAGTAAGGCATAGAATACTGTTTTCTTCTGAATGTCCTAAAACTCATTCAAGAGGTGCTGCCCTGGCCTAGCGCTTAGAATTTGATAACCCAGATTACCCTGGTTGATACCGAAGCAGATAAGGAATTATTTAGAGGTGGGTTTTGTTATTGTTTGCATCTTGCTTACACTTGAGTGGCTCTGCAGTCAAAGGCTTTTCCCATTTCATTTGGAGTGTTTTTCTATTTAGCTTTACCTTTTTAGTGTATATGTATTGGCATCTTGAGCTCTGCTAGTAACTATGTATTGGCATCTTGAACTCTGCTAGTAACTGGCAAAGTTCATGAGTGGTGGTATTTGTTTTGTTTTTATACTGTATTTCCTTCTGGGAACTTGTGTTTACTTATGCATATGATTTGCATAAAACTATTTCCTTCCATTAGAATGCAACTCAGATTTATTTCTTAAGCCTGTGGTTCCTTGAACTATTTGTTTTAGGAAGTAGCCATTTACAGAAGAAGAAGATTTGTTAACATTTAATGAGCTCTTGCTAGGATTGAAATAGTCATCCTTTGTGTGAATGGATCTTATTTATTTATTTTTTTGAGATGGAGTCTCTTTCTGTTGCCCAGGCTGGAGTACAGTGGTGCGATCTCAACTCACCGCAACCTCTGCCCCACGGGTTCAAGCAATTCTTGTGCCTCAGCCTCCCAAGTAGCTGGGATTACAGCACATGCCACCATGCCCAGCTAATTTTTATATTTTTAGTAGAGACGGGGTTTCACCATGTTGGACAAGCTGGACTTGAACTCCTGACCTCAAGTGATCCACCTGCCTTGGCCTCCCCAAAGTCTGGGATTACAGGCATGAGCCACTGCGCCTGGCTGGATCATATTTATTTTTGTAACCCCAGCACTGCTACCTAGTAAACACCCAATAAACATTCTTTTGGAAATGATCTTTGAGCCATGGTCTACAGTAACAGCAACCCTTGTACAAAATTGTGTGAATAAATGGCCTGACCCCAGTCAGAGAACCATGAATTGTTTATCCCTAACTCTGTTCCTGAGGGTAATACCCAACATAGGTTTCTGCTCTGAGTTTCTCAAGGCAGCCTAATCGTTAATCCTCAGAACTCTTCATTTCTGACTTTCCCATTTTAATGAGAGTACTGATCACAGAAAGCAGTGCCCTCTCCAGGCTCGCATAGCCAGCCATTACTGATGCCCAGATTTGCCCCAAGGAACAGACTCTGGCACCTGCCCTTGTGTTCTTCTGTGAGGACTGCATCGCTTGTAGGCACTGAAGTAAATTATTGCCAAGTGTGGCGCCATAGTCTTCCCATAGTGCTCTTTTTTCTTTTTTTCTTCTTTTGAAACAGAGTCTTGCTCTGTCACCCAGGCTAGAGTGCAATGGCACAATCTCAGCTCACTGCAACCTCTGCCTCCTGGGTTCAAGCGATTCTCCTGTCTCACCCTCCCAAAGTAGCTGGGATTACAGGCATGCGCCACCACACCCAGCTAATTTTTGTATTTTTAGTAGAGGCGGGGTTTTTCCATGTTGGTCAGGCTGGTCTTGAGCTCCTGACCTCAGGTGATCTGCCCGCCTCGGCCTCCTGAAGTGCTGGGATTATAGGCGTGAACCATCACGCCCAGCCCATAGTGCTCTTCAGTGTCAGTTATAATGACCAAAGTTCTAGCACTGTGGCCTCAACCTCTAGGTCTACAACTGCATTTTACTAAGTGCTAGGATAAGAGATGTCTGGAAGTCCCCTATCCTGTTCTAGGTTGATCTGGATGTGTGCTAGAACTGTCCTTTCTCCATATGACAAGTGGAATAACGACAGAAGCTGCCATTCTCTAGCTGTTAAAGGCTATACCGTGTATGGGAAATACTACAGTAGATCCACTTTCACAACTTCGTGGTGCTTCTTGTTGGCAACACCTTGTTGGCAACACTGACCCTGTCCTAGAACAGTATATGCAATCCTGCCCACAGCTTCCATGGGACTTAATGAAGAGCAGAAAGAATTTCAAAAAGTGGCCTTTGACTTTGCTGCCCGAGAGATGGCTCCAAATATGGCAGAGTGGGACCAGAAGGTAGGCGTTTTTCTTGTGCTTAGACGTTCTAACAACAGATGTCTCAGGCAGACCTTTATCTTTGTCTCCTGATAATGTAATTGTTAAATGTCTCCTCCACTTACCAACTCTTACTGCAAGTGAGAATACCGGTAGTGGATGATTTTTCCTAGAAGGCATCCTGATCATCTTGTACATAACTTTTTTTTTGTTAGTTGAATAAAGATTTGGATATAAAACTAAGGCAGTTCTATAGATAATAAAAAGAAACTTCTTAATGCCAGAACAAGTTTTTACAGGACCCATGTTAACTGATAACCACTGTAAGATGACAAACAGGCATATTAAGAGAATTCATACGCTGTCGCATGTGCAAGCCTCCTAATCCCTCACTGTGCCCTCTAAAAGGAAGGCCGTCTCTGAATCAGCTGCTGATCACCCTGCTCTCTTTTGTACATAGGAGCTGTTCCCAGTGGATGTGATGCGGAAGGCAGCCCAGCTAGGCTTCGGAGGGGTCTACATACAAACAGATGTGGGCGGGTCTGGGCTGTCACGTCTTGATACCTCTGTCATTTTTGAAGCCTTGGCTACAGGCTGCACCAGCACCACAGCCTATATAAGCATCCACAAGTGAGTGCCCAAGCTTGGAAGGCACAATGAAGTGCTCACTCGGGCTGACTGTGAGAGTTCAGATTCGTAGGAAAAAGATTGATCTTTTGAAGCTGAGTGTCCTCAAGGAACTGGACTTAAAAGTACACTCTAGGGGCCGGGCGCAGTGGCTCGTGCCTGTAATCCCAGCACTTTGGGAGGCCAAGGCAGGCAGATCACGAGGTCAGGAGTTTGAGACCAGCCTGGCCAACGTGGTGAAACCCCGTCCCTGCTAAAAATACAAAAAATTAGCCGGGTGTGGTGGCTGGCGCCTGTAGTCCCAGCTACTCGGGAGGCTGAGGCAGGAGGATGGTGTGAACCCGGGAGGCGGAGCTTGCAGTGAGCCGAGATGGACCACTGCACTCCAGCCTGGGCGACAGAGCGAGACTCCATCTCAAAAAAAATAAATAAATAAAATAAGTACACGCTAGGTCTGTTGCTGCCTGTTGGACTTGATTCTGTCATCCTGTGTATTGCTTAGGGAATCAGGTCAGCCAGCTTTCTCAGAAATCTTATTTTGAGCTGGTACCAGGAGACTTCTCCAATAGAGTGATCAGGGTCCTCTCACCCTTTTATTTATTTATTTATTTTTAAGACAGAGTCTCGCTCTGTTGCCCAGGCTAGGGTGCAGTGGCATGACCTCGGCTCACTGCAACCTCCGTCTCCCCGGTTCAAGTGATTCTCCTGCCTCAGCCTCCTGAGTAGCTGGGATTACAGGCACGTGCCACCACACCTGGCTAATTTTTTTTCATATTTAGTAGAGATGGGGTTTCACCATGTTAGTCAGGCTGGTCTCAAACTCCTGACCTTGTGTTCTGCCTGCCTCGGCCTCCCATAGTGCTGGGATTACAGATGTGAGCCACCGCACCCGGCCCCTCTCACCCTTTTCCTCAATCCAAAGATGGAACTGCCAGTGATTTGAGGAAGTAATAGAAACTACTAATAGAAAGCACATATAACTCTGATTTTTAGAGGCTCGTGTAACCTAACTAGAAGTAGTACAAACGTGCTGGTGAGAAGTACCTCAGCCTGGTTATCTCTGGGTAGTCCTTATTCCAGGAATATGTTTTAATCCACCGTTTGCCTTTAAAGAGTCTTCCCAATTGTGACTCTCCCCTTCCCACTCTTCTGCTTTACTCCACTGCCCTGCCCTTTGTTCTCTTTCCCCTTCTCCCCCATTTTTTTTTCTTTTCCATCTTTATTTCTGTCATTGTCTTTTCTTCTTGGTGTACCTATCAGCATGTGTGCCTGGATGATTGATAGCTTCGGAAATGAGGAACAGAGGCACAAATTTTGCCCACCGCTCTGTACCATGGAGAAGTTTGCTTCCTACTGCCTCACTGAACCAGGTGAATTTGCCACACTGCACTGAGATATAGCAGGGAGAGATGCTTCCTGCTCAGATGGCATTACCGAGCACTCCTTCCAGCCTCTTGACATGTCGAGCCACTGTTTATCTAGCTGTTTGGTTGAGGAGTAATAGAGTCCTGTGACCTGATGTCACAAGGACCAAGAAGCCTATCTGGTGTGTTGGGAGGTAGGCAGTGGCCTGACTGGTATGAGCAGTTTCCACCAAGTACAGAGAGTTCCTTTGGCCACTTGGGTTTTGCAGTGACACACTCTGAGCAGGGTCTGTTTAGAGAAGATTTCCTAGAAGATAGAATTGTGCTGGGCTCCCTCGACCTCACTGACTTTCTCACCTTCTCTCTGCTGCCTTTTGATCCCTCCTCAGGAAGTGGGAGTGATGCTGCCTCTCTTCTGACCTCCGCTAAGAAACAGGGAGATCATTACATCCTCAATGGCTCCAAGGTACTAGCGTGCGTCCTCCCAGAGCACTTTGGAGATTGTTCCCAGCTTCCTCCTGACATCCTCTGGTTCCTTCACATCCGCGGGTTAATACTCCCATAGGATTTTTATGTGTTGGGAAGAGAACCTCTGACCCATTTCTCTTTCTTTATTCTCACTGTTTGTATCTCTCCTAATCTGATTCCAGATCATTTCGTTGACTTTTGTCTATCCTTTTTATACTCTCTTGGACTGCCTCTCTGATCTGCAGTCACTGCAGCGACCTTTTACCTCACCTCAGTCTCTGTGCCATTGGACCTTATTGTCAGTCTCTGTGCCATTGGACCTTATTGTCAGTCTCTGTGCCATTGGACCTTATTGTCAGTCTCTGTGCCATTGGACCTTATTGTCAGTCTCTGTGCCATTGGACCTTATTGTCAGTCTCTGTGCCATTGGACCTTATTGTCAGGAGGACCCAGTGGTGTTCCCAGACGCTGTGAGAACTCAAGCATTCCCTGGTCCTTTTGCACCCCTTTTACCCCCACAGGCCTTCATCAGTGGTGCTGGTGAGTCAGACATCTATGTGGTCATGTGCCGAACAGGAGGACCAGGCCCCAAGGGCATCTCATGCATAGTTGTTGAGAAGGGGACCCCTGGCCTCAGCTTTGGCAAGAAGGAGAAAAAGGTGAGTGGCTGTTGGACAGGAAACAATTCAGGTTATGAGACTCTGCCACCTGCCAGCCCAACTCCTGCTCTATTTCAGAAAACAGGTTTGCATACTTGCTAACCTACCTTTGAAGCAGTTGCTTCTATTAGGATTTTCAACAGGAGCATATGAAATACAACAGGGCATTATTAAACACTAGGCCTCTGGGGAAAGTGACAATGTTTGCCAGTAAATTCTTCAAGCCACCTGTGAGTGTTCTGACCTCTCCTGCCTCTGCTTTTGGCCTGTGTTCCTTATCCAGCTGCTTACGTTGGTGCACTTTGTTGCTCCAGGAAGAGACGCTTAGAGAAGACCTGGTGTTGGCCACAAGTCTCAGTAATGGAAGGCGTGTGGTCCCTTTTGCTTCTTTGATTAAAAATAAAGTAAAACTCATTGGAGATGATTGTGGGTATTTCAGCAACCCAAGAAGGACACTTAGGTACTGTAAGTAATTTGAAAAGTAAGATACTTCTAGGATTAAGAGCCGCCATGGCCAGGGCATGAACAGGAGACTTGTGATCATGTAACCGTAATTGGTAATAAGGGCTCAAGACCCATTCAGATTTTTTAGACCAGATGCTCAAAGCAGTCATCTCTCTCTAGTTTGTACTGTTATGGGGGGACTTTGTGAGAGAAGGCAGGTAATGAAATGACCCCTAAGTGTACCTCTTTCTCACAGCTCCTCGGGTTTCTGTATTTTCCTACAGGATCCTTCCTGATCCTCTGTAACTGTAAGGCATTATGCATTTTAGCATCCCCTTCTCTTTGGTAACACAGCAACCATTTCCTAGGCTTCTACTGTGTGTGAAGCCCATGCTAACTCCTGGGCAGGAAGACCTTCAGTAAAAGGCTTAGAAATGGAGTTTATCCTATCAACAAAAGAGAGCAAGGAAATGATGTAAAGGCAGTCTATTTTCAGAGCCAGAGAGGAACTGGGAGATTGTAGATAGTTTGTGGTTTTCAATTAGAGGCACTGAAATTGGGGGCAGTTGGTGTCACAATCCTAAAAGAAGTTGTGAGAAGTGTTTGTAGGTTAGTCAGGTAGAGTAGACATTAGTAGATTCTCTTAATAAGTTAGAAAATGTTTAGCTGAAACAGGTATCTTTCTGAGTGCTGACAGGCCTTTAAACCTGAACTTTTTCTTTTTCCTCATTTTAAGTTCTTGTGGGTCTAAGTCTTGGGTGCTGAAACCCATACCTCACAGGCTCCCGTCCCCAGGGAAGGCCGCCCTACCTGCTGGATTGTTGGGCAACCACGCAGTCCCTGATTTTTGCCAGGTGGGGTGGAACTCCCAGCCAACACGAGCTGTGATCTTCGAAGACTGTGCTGTCCCTGTGGCCAACAGAATTGGGAGCGAGGGGCAGGGCTTCCTCATTGCCGTGAGAGGACTGAACGGAGGGAGGATCAATATTGGTGAGATACGCAGGGGTGTGGCAGGGAGGTAGCGGTCCGGGACAGGCACTGCTGTTTTCCAGCTTGGTTGGAACGTCGGCGCTCTTCCCCTCTAGCTTCCTGCTCCCTGGGGGCTGCCCACGCCTCTGTCATCCTCACCCGAGACCACCTCAATGTCCGGAAGCAGTTTGGAGAGCCTCTGGCCAGTAACCAGGTAACCTCTGCCTTGCCTCCACATGGCTTTGCACTATTTGCAGCCCGGGACCTGCTCTAGGGCCCACATTTCCAGGAGAGAAGCCAGGAAATTCCTCTGTCAGTCCCACCACTGTCCTAGCCAGAGCTTGTGCTTTATTTCTGTCCATCTTTTCTTGGGATATCTTTAACGATATTAAAGTGTCGGGTGAGTGAAGTGGACTTAGCACTTAAAAGCAATAAATTTCCTCTATAGAAAAAGCAAGAGACTTTGAAGCTTTGGATCACTTAGAAAAGGCGCCTCCGAGATGTCTTACCGAGGCTCCTGCACCAGGTGCTGGTCTAAGCCCCTCAGTCTTGTCTGGTTCTCTGCTCCCTGTGCTGCAGTACTTGCAATTCACACTGGCTGATATGGCAACAAGGCTGGTGGCCGCGCGGCTGATGGTCCGCAATGCAGCAGTGGCTCTGCAGGAGGAGAGGAAGGATGCAGTGGCCTTGTGCTCCATGGCCAAGCTCTTTGCTACAGATGAATGCTTTGCCGTAAGTGATTCCTCTGGCTCTCCTGGGATGGACAGGGAACAGCTGCTAGGCCCAGGGGTCTTGAGAGACATGAGTCAGATTTGGAACCCAGCCCTCCTGGAATCCCACAAGGATCACCTTAAGCTTAAGGATATAAATGAACTCATGAGCGGCCTATGTGGGAGCTCTCATCGCTGGCTTTTAGGCCTGCTGCATGCCATTATACACTTCATTATGTCACTGTTGTTTGGTTGTGTTCTAGGCGAGAAACCACCTTTGGAAGGTTCACAGCAGCCCCAATTTAGCACTCTGCCATGTTTACATTGTCAGGCTGCATTGCCACTAGGGGGAACCATAGCTTTTTATCATCCCAGCCAGGGTGGCTGTGGGCAGCTTCTGCCTGGCAGGTAATAAGGGAGAGGGGCAGAGGGCTTTGAGTCGCCTGTCTGGGGGGAACTGACAAGTTTAGTAGGTGAACTTCCCTTGTCTCTAACCATACAGAATGTGGAGGCCCTCTTTGAGCTTGGCTGTTTGTGGTTCTTTCATGGGTTTATGGCGGGCTGCCAGATCGTGGGCTGGGGTAGGAAGGGAAGCTGCTTGCTCCACAGTCTTCCCAGAGTCCAAGACGTCTAGTCCCTGTCTCCCTGCAGATCTGCAACCAGGCCTTGCAGATGCACGGGGGCTACGGCTACCTGAAGGATTACGCTGTTCAGCAGTACGTGCGGGACTCCAGGGTCCACCAGATTCTAGAAGGTAAAAATTGCCAGAGGTTATTCTCTTCCCTTCAGAACGGGGGCGGGATCGCTGCTTTCCCCACTCTCTGTCCCCATGCCTCCTGGGCCTCAGGGTGCAGTCAAGCCCTGTCTGTCTCGAGGCTTCCTCCTCCCTCCCGTTCCGCAGAGCTGTTCTGGCAGGGGCCTGGAGTCCAGAGCCGCAGCTTCGTCCCTTTCGGGGGGCCTCAGATCGCTCTGCTGCTGCCCTTTTCCTCTGGAGATCTGCGAGAAGGGTGAACTGAGATAATGGATGAGAAAGCATGTTGAAAACCACAGCCGGGGCTTTTCTCTAAGGTTATCGAGTACGTGGTTCTCAGGGATCCAAGAACAGTGATGGACAAGGCAAATGTGAGCCAGTATGGTCATCAGTAGCTCTATATTGATTATCAGCCAGATGGCCTAAAAGATACCTGTCTCAATATTACTAGTGTATTTTTCAATAAAATAAACCATCACTATATGGGTATCTTCTTGGTAGTCACAGACATTCTATCGAGGAAACATGGAAGCCGTTGGGGTCGGGCTCGGAGCCTGGCTGTCTCCACTCTCTACAGCCAGTGCGGAAGTCTTGAAATGACACGACTCTTGGAAAAGCAGGAGGGGCAGAGGCTTCTTTGAGTGACTTCGGTGAAGCAACGTGAGGCTGCCTTGCTGGAAACATTATATAATGGGGCTTCCCTGCCCCTTTCACAGCACCCTTCTCAAACCTCAGCCTGTGCTGGAATCGCCTGGAGGGCATGGGAGCGCAGATTGCGGGCCTCAACCCCAGAGCTTCTGCTCCAGAGGGTCTAGTGTGGGCCTGGGAATTTGTATCTGCAACAAGTCTTCAAGTGAGGCTGCCACAGCTTGTCTGAGAACCACACTTTGAGACCCACCGCTCTGGTGTTAATGTCAGAGTCACAGGCTACCACAGGTTAGACCGCTGCTTTCTTCTGCAAACCTCATTCCAGAAAGATGTTTATGGGCTCAGTCGCCAGTGTTCAAACTGAATTCCCGAGAGTCGTTTTCCTTCCATTACTCTTGGAATTGCTTTCTCACTGAGCTTTATGTGCGTAGGAAACTTCGCCTTCATTCTAACTCTCTCTCCACCCTGCAATAATAAGCAGGAAAACATTTATTGTAGGCCACACCATCACCCACTTACAGAAGAATTGGGGCACTCATCACTGTATCACTTTGTTTCATCATGGACTTTACTGTTGGATAAATCTACAGTTTATGCTTTATTTGAGACGATGTGACTACTGATTCCTCGAGGGGGTTTATATTTCTTTTTGCATTAAAGGCCACTGCTAAAAATGAAGCAAATAATTGATACCCTCCTTTCAGGGAAAATGTTTTCATTCTTTTGTAAGTCAGTTTTCTGATTACCAAAGAAATGTGTATTTATTGTTGAAACCTTATAAAATTAGGAAAAGTAGGCTGGGTGCGGTAGCTTATGTCTATAATCGCCGCACTTTGGGAGGCTGAGGCGGGTGGATCGCGTGAGGCCAGGAGTTCGAGACCAGCTTGGCCAACCCGGTGAAGCCCCGACTGTCTAAAATTATAAAAAGTTAGCTGGGCGTGGTGGTGCATGCCTGGAATCCCAGCTACTCGAGAGGCTGAGGCAGGAAGATCGCTTGAACCCAGGAGGTGGAGGTTGCAGTGAGCTGAGATTGCACCATCGCACTCCAGCCTGGGTGACAGTGAGACTCCATCTAAAAACAATACAAAAAATTAGCCGGGCCTGGTGGGGCCTGGTGGCACATGCTTGTGGTCCCAGCTACTCAGGAGGCTGAGGCAAGAGAATTGCTTGAACCTGGGGGGCGGAGGTTGCAGTGAGCCAAGATCACACCACTGCACTCCAGCCTGGGCGACAGCAAGACTGTCTCAAAAGAAAAGTAAAAGAAAAAAAATCACTCATGTTTCTACATCCAGAATGTTATTTTGGTACATCTCCTTTTAGGCATTTTACTCTGCCTTTGTTGGTACATTTTTAATTTTAATTAGAATTATCCTGTATATACTGTTTTTATTCTGCCTTTTTAAACTTTATATAAGCATTTTTACCATCAGAAGAAGTTTTTAAAAAAGTATTATTTCCTGACATTTTTCAGTACTTTGTAGAGAAGTCTCTGATAATCTCATCTCTCCCAGGCTAAAAGCAATGATTGTAGTTTAAATCTGCAGCTACTCTGAACTAGGCCTGGAGCAGCCTGGTCAGAGCTTTACTAAACTCTCAGACTTTGCTGCTGTGAAATTCTTCCTCCTTCCTCCCTCTTACAGGTAGCAATGAAGTGATGAGGATACTGATCTCTAGAAGCCTGCTTCAGGAGTAGAACCCACACTTGTTCTGGCCTGGTGTTCAGTGCGACTGCAGTCAGTGTTGAGTGGTGCCATGTGGGCCGCTCTATTCCAAAGGAATCATGGATTAGACCCAAGGGCTGAGCTCCTCTAGGGCAGGACCTGCACCCTGTGTGTTGGCACCAGCATCGGGTCTTGGACTGGGGCAGAATCCCCAGTGGAACCGGAAGAGCTGGACTGATGAGAAACATCAGAAGAACACATACTACCTTGTTTTCCTAATGCCAGAAGGGTGACCAGTGAAGATTCACCGTCAAACCATGAAAGTCCTTTCTTGGATCCACTTTATCTTGATTAGTCTGCATTTTACTAGTTCACTGGATCCCTCCTCTAGGGGCCTGGGGACTTTCACTGATGCTCTTCCTGATTCTAGAGCAAAGGTGTGGGAAGGGGAAATGGAGGAATGCCCTCCTGTCTGTGTCGTTCTCTGTGCCACAGCTACAGATGCAGAAGGTTTCTCTGGATAGCACACCTCTGAATGTAAATCATGATAAAATGGATATTTGGAAACTTACTCCTAAGCTGTGATTTAGGGTGTATTTCTACTTCTGGACTGCCTCAATATCAAGGGCTGAGACTTTTGAATTTTGAATATTCGTTGGGTTTCATGTTAAGAAGCCTGTGGTCTAGGAGTGCTATTCAGTGTTTCTTTTCCTGATAAACACTTTGAATATTTTTTTTGTGTTTTTGTTTCCTTTTCTGAAGCTGTTCCTCCTTTTAAATATTTTTAATCACATTGATAAAATCTATCCTTCACCACCTCTGGTTCTACTATAGTTGATTTTTATTTTAAATGTTTAATTGTATTTGATTAAACACTTAACTGGATTTTGGAATAATAAAACTCTCGTCCAATTTGGCTTTTAAAAAGCAGGCTCCTTAAATTATTAATAACTTTGCAAACTAAGCATTGTTTATGATGTATGAAAGTAGAATTAAAGTGAGATTCACAGATGGGACTTCAGGAGACCTTGTTTTGTTTGTTTGTTTGCTGTTTTTTGTTGTTTTTGAGACAGAGTCTCGCTCTGTCGCCCAGGCAGGAGTGCAGTGGCACAATCTCAGCTCACTGCAACTTCTTCCTCTGGGGTTCAAGCGATTCTCCTGCCTCAGCCTCACAAGTAGCCGGGACTACAGGCGCAAGCCACCACGTCCGGCTACTTTTTGTATTTTTAGTAGAGACAGGGTTTCACCATGTTGGCCAGGCTGGTCTCAAACTCCTAGCCTCAAGTGATCTGCCCACCTCGGCCTCCCAAAGTGCTGGGATTACAAGTGTGAGCCACTGTGCCCAGCCAGGGGAGCTCTGTTATAACTTACTATGTTACTCCATCCCCTCATCCCTATTGAAAAGAATACGCAAGACATTAACTACAAGCCAATGTTTAGAGAGAAGAGAATATGTGTCTGTAACAACAACAAATACTGTCTTTTTTGAATGAAGGAAGTTTTGGGTGCTGCAGGAGGACAGGGTGTGGGCACACTACAAAGTTTAAAATGTATTCCTGCCGCCCAAGGCCTTATTTAAGAGGAGCTAAGAGCTGTATTGCAAGGCAATGATATAGATCTGTATAAAGCTGAGAAGGCGACAACCTATAAAAGTGATGAGGGAGGAAGGGATTCAAATTAAGCTTTTATGAGAATGTGGTCAGGCATGGTGGCTCACACCAGAAGTCCTAACTACTTGGGAGTCTAAGGTGGGAGGATTGCGTGAGCCCAGGAATTTGAGGCTGCAGTGAGCTACAGTCATACCGCTGCACTCCAGCCTTGGTGACAGAGTGAGACCCTTGTCTCTGAAGAAAAGAAGAAAAGATTTTATGAAAACGTCTAATTAGAATCAAGAAAGTCAATTTCAGACAGGAAGGAACCAGGAGCAGGAAAAGTACAGGATTTATGTAAAAGCTGTTTACACTTTGGTTTAATTGTGGTTTGGGGTTGGCATGAGACAGAAGGAAAATAGAAGTTGAATCCGGATGGAGAGTTATGAAAGCCAAGGGTGGGGCTTTATTTGGTAAGCAGTGGAGAGCCATGGAAGGTTTTTAATGCGGAAGATAGGAGATTGATTCATTCATAAGAGCACTCTGGAATGCACATGTGGGATGAATATGAGTGAGGCAAGACAGAAGACATACCAGTCAATGGGTTCTTGAAATAGTCAAGGAATGTGGCAATTCACGCTGGATGTGGAAGGTGGAAGGAAAGACAAGTGTTAGCAAATGCAGACCTGTCTGCTGTGGAACTTGAAGACCTTGCTAGTAGTCAGGCTGCTTCCTGGCATTCCAGGCCTGAGAGGCTTCTATTTTGACTCAAAGCAAAAACAAATGCTATGTTAATGTCTTCCTATGTGTCCCCTTCATAAGATTTTGGTGAAATCATATTAAAAGTGCATTTCTCAGTATCACTCTCAGTTATTTAGAGATTTCAGTTCCCCAGTACCCTGGCAAGGGATTTGACGAACGTAGCAAGAACGTCGTGAACTTTGAGCTAATTTATATCATTGTTCATTTGTCTGTTTAATAAATAAAAGCAAGAAAACCAGAGCAACAAATGTCTTAAGGAAAAGCCTGTGTGTCAGGGGCTGTATAGGTGCAGAACACATGCAGGTAACCAAATACAACTTCGCTGGACAGACCTAATGGACTGGGGGCTGGGAAACAGGAGACACAATTTCAGTAGGAGGCGGCAAGGACAAAGGCATACACCACGTGCTCTGAGGCATGAGAGGCCTTGCGGTCATAACACAATGACTTAGGTCAGAATTGGATTTCCACGTGGTTTTAATCCTAATAATTCCTCAAACTGCCTCCAATTATTACAGTTGTGAGGAAAATCTAACTGTATACCCACACACACACACACACACAAGAATATTTACAGGATCTTAAAATTTTCTCTTCCTCCTTTATAGATTTGATAAATTAGAAATGCCTTTTTTACTTTAGTGCTGATCCAATGATACTTTTACTTTAAAAACACTAAGATTCCTCCAAAGCATTTTCCATGTATCAATCTCTCGGTTTTTATGAGGGGTTCTTGCACAGAGGAGACAGTCAAGAAATCCTAGCGTGAAATTGACTTGAGGAAAACAGCAACTACCAGTGCTGGCAGCAGCCGCAGTTTGGGCCCCGGATCCAGACTCCTACATCTAGATGTGATTGCCTGCTCTGCCACTGACTAATTGTGTGGCTTTGTTACCGAAATGCCAGGGGTTCAGTCTAGGTCCTGCTGCTCACCGCACAGAAAGCCGATGACTGAGATGACAAGTATTGAGAGGAAGAAGCTTTAATCGGCTGCTGCAGCCGCGGAGATGGGAGCTCAGTCTCAAATCCATCTCCCTGAGGGACTAAAACTAGGGAGTCGTATACCAGGGAAGAAATGTACCAATGTGTTAAGAAAGCAGGAACTAGGAAGGGGCACGGAAGCAATTGTGATGAATGAGGGGTCTGGCATCTCGTCTGGATGTAGTGATCTGGTGAGTTCCAGTTCTTTGATACCTGTTTTGAGAGGCCTGAAGGTCTCTGAGGAAGGAACTCAGATAAAACAAATATAAGGTTCAAGCTTTAACACCAGAAGGTCAATTTCTATGTTTATCCAAAAAACTATCTATGGGACTGCTGGGTCACTGGGTCGCTTTCGGCTTTAAGCAAAATTACCACAACTCTCTTCAGCTTGTTTCCCCATGTATATTGGAGATCATAAAAGCTCCTACCTCATAGCATGGTTGGTGAATCAAGAGGAAGAATAAAGGGCTCAGAACAGAGCATATCAAGCAAAGCGTTATTAACCTCTTTCATAAACGAACATAGTGAGCCCTCCAGAGAATAAAGGGCTTTCTTAGACGTACACGGGTGGCAGGCTGAAGGTCTAAAGCACAACTCTTCCCAGGACCTTTAAGGTATTTAAGATTGTGTCTGGGAGTCTGTGGTGCTGAACACCTAATATTTCTGGTCTGCCTCTCTTCTGGGTAAATGACAGGAATGCATTTCCCTTTTGTCAATTTTACAAAAACATAAGCACATGAGCACATTGCTAAGATTTTTTCCCAGGGTCTTAGAAAGAAGGGGTCCATACAGGCCAGGCCTGTAATCTCAGTGCTTTGAGAGGCCTAGGCGGGAGTATCGCTTGAGCCCAGGAGTTTGAGGCCAGCCCTGGCAACATAGCAAGACCCCATCTCTATAAAAAATGTAAAAACTAGCTGGGTGTGTTGGTGCACACCTGCAGTCCTAGCTACTCAGGAGACTGAGGTGGGAGGTCATGGCTTGAACCCAGGAGTTTGAGGCTGCAGTGAGCTATGATTGTGCCACTGTACTCCAGCCTGAGTGACAGAGCAAGACCCTGTCTAATAAAGGAAAAAAAAAAAAAGGAGGGGGCCACATACAGGTTTCACAGGTTAGGAGCCCAGAAGCTTCAGCTTCATCAGCTTCACAGTGAATTTCCCACCGTCCATAAATTTGCATTGTCTAAATACAATTTTTTTTTTGAGATGGAGTCTTGCTCTATCGCCAGGCTGGAGTGCCGTGCCGCAATCTTGGCTCACTCCAACCTCCGCCTCCTGGGTTCAAGCGATTCTCCTGCCTTAGCCTCCCGAGTAGCTGGGATTACAGGCATGCGCCACCACACCCAGCTAATTTTTGTATTTTTAGTAGAGACAGGGTTTCACCATGTTGGCCAGGATGGTCTCGATCTCCTGACCTCGTGATCCACCTGCCTCGGTTTCTTAAAGTGCTGAGATTACAGGCGTGAGCCACCGAGCCTGGCCCTAAATACTTCCATATGCATTATTCTTACCACAAATTTGTTTCCTCTTTGGCACCCAGAAAGCCTTGCTATTCTAGGGCATTGTGGTCAGTAAAAGCCCCGTGTGGCTGGAAGCTCTCCGTGTCCATATGGACCCGGTAGGGGGACAAGGGGACTGCCGCGTGGACAGGGGGACTGCCGCAGTGGACGGGGGACTGCCACAGTGGTGCGGTAAACAGACTGGAGCAGCATGGCTCTGTGCATCTCCACCGCAGCAATTCCAGGTTAGTAACCCACACCAGAAGAAAGCGGAGAAGGACCCTCAGGGGCCAGAGAATGAAGTGGGATGCCCAACTGGCCAGTCCTTCCAACTGAAAATAAACCCCAGACACCAGGGGTGGATGAGGAGGGACACAATGAGCCAGGGTGAGAGAATGTCTTTCCATTGCTTGGAGTGGAGAAAAATGTGCCACTGCAACCTCCCTGTGAAAAGGCAGGGCCCTCAAAGCTTCTCCCACACTGCAGGCAGGACCCAGGTTCTTTGTCACCACGTGTGAGTGTCGAGTGTGGATGCACCAGCTCCTTGTCCCTGTCTTTCCCGGCTCCCTGCCCCTTTCACCCAGTCTCTGGATCTGGAACCAGAGCATCCTGGGGCTGGGGAGAGTGCGAAATCATGCACCTCCTATCACCACAAACAGAAAGCATGCACCTCCTATCACCACAAACGGAAAGCATGCACCTCCCATCACCACAAACAGAAAGCATGCACCTCCCATCACCACAAACAGAAAGCATGCACCTCCTGTCACCACAAACAGAAAGCATGCACCTCCTATCACCACAAACAGAAAGGAATCTCAGCTTTCCTCCACTAGGGGGTATTTAGTCCCACAGAAAAGAAAGGGATGCCCAATTCCCACCCCAGCTGAGAAGCAGGTGTCTCAAGTCTGAGGCAGCCATCACTGCCCAGGAAAGATGGGGCCTGGGGTTAATTTTCTAGTGTGCGCTCTTCGGCATGGTTCAGTTCTCTGCCTCCCCAACTTCAGTATGGGCATCACCATTGCCTCAAGTCTTTATATAAACAATGCTCCAAGACAGTCCACTGGTTACTTTCCCCAACCCCCACCTGGATGAAGATCCTGAGCCTCCCACACAGAAATTCTGGTCCTTCAACAGAAAATCTGGAAGTTTCTATTGAAACTTCCATTTTATCTGCAAACCAATGTGTGGGCATAAGAGTCTTCCACCAGACTTGAAGGTGATCAGAGTCTGAGAAGCATATTTGAATCATCTCTTCATCCTCAGTGCCTTCCTGGCACATAGTAGGGAACTCAATGTTTATTGAACAAATAGAAAAAGACTGGAAAAAAAGGATCATCAGCAATGATCGCTTCTTGCAGCTACTGGCAAATCTCACACAGTAACAGAGAAGATATCCCATCAAAAGTCAACTCATGGCTGGGCGCAGTGGCTCACGCCTGTAATCCCAGCACTTCGGGAGGCTGAGGCAGATGGATCACCTGAGGTCAGGAGTTTGAGACCAGCCTGGCTAACATGGCAAAACCCTGTCTCTACTAAAAATACAAAAATTAGCAGGGCATGGTGGCGGGCGTCCGTAGTCCCAGCTACTCAGGAGGCGGAGGCAGGAGAATCACTTGAACCCAGGAGGTGGAGGTTGCAGTGAGCCGAGATCACGCCACTGCACTCTAGCCTGGGCAACAGAGCGAGACTCTGTCTCATACAAACAAACAAGCAAAAAAACCAAAAAACAAAACAAAAGCAGCACAGGGAGTGAAAAGGCAAACTCAGAGGCAACACACTGTGTAATCCATTTACGTGGCATTCTGGAATCAATGCCATTATAGAGTTTGAAAACAGGTTAGTGCTGCCAGGGCTTAGAGTTAGTGATGGGAGGAGGAATATCCACACACGGGTGGCATGGGAGCCCTGTGGTGTCCAGGCAGGTCTGCAGACCGGCTGCACAGGGGCAGCCCAGTATTGCCTCCCTCCCTGCCCACAGTTCCGAGCTTGCTTAGGGGAGAGCGCAGGTGATCAAGGATTTGAGTCAAGGCAAGGTGGGAGAACAGGGCAGTGGCGAGACAGGTGGTTGGGTCTGGGCTTCAGTGTTTAAGTAAGGGGTTCTGTGCCTGAGATTCAGGCCCCAAGGGCAGGGTTCAGGAAGCCCCTGTGCTCCATGGCATTCCTCAGGGAGAAGCCTGACCAGAGGCAAGACTTTCTGAGGCCCAAAGCTCTGAGAAAGTGATTGTGCCCCCTCCCCATCCCCACAAACAATATTGAACTGTAAAGGGGTCTGGTATGCCAAGGAGTTGGATTTTATTCTGTAGTAACTGATACCCACATACAAAAGAATAAAATTGGCCAGGCGTGGTAGCTTATCCTTGTAATCCCAGTACTTTGAGAGATTGAGGAGGCAGGTCACTTGAGCCCAGGAGTTGGAGACCAACCTGGGCAACACTGTGAGACCCCATCTCTACAAAAAATACAAAAATTAGCCTGGCATGATGGTGTGCACCTCTGGTCTCCCAAAGCGCTGGGATTACAGGTGTGAGCCACCACGCCCAGCCGAAAAAACAGAAGAATTTTTAAGCCTTCTAATATTTGGATATAGTTTTCCATGTTCCCATAGTTTATTTTATAGACCTGATGGTTTAGAAGCATTTCACTTTCCGCTTTGCTAGCCACGTGGTTATACTTTAATTTTAAGTGCATTTGTGTGCTTTTCCTGAAGCATTTTCACCTAGGCCATCTCACTTAGTTTGAACAAGAGCAGTGCTTCGCACGCGGCTGCTTGCTGAGCAGAGTCCAGCGAACCGAATTGGGCAATATGAGACTGAATCTTTCCATTCCAGGGCCTTCAGATCCCAGCTGTCAACAGCCTGCTGTGTGACGTCACTGAAAGCCTCTGTGCTCTAGTTTCCTCACTGATAAAGGAGGGATACTAATGGTACCCGCTTTCTGGTGCTGTGAGAGTTAAGAGACAATAGACAGAAATGTCAAACATGCAGAACTGTGCCTGGCACACGAGTGCTTGGTAAATGTCAGCTATTCATAACAGAGGAAAAAACCTGATGAAAATAAATCACTTTTGGATAAGGATTTTAATATTCTTACAGACACTCCCCATCCAGCTCTTAGCTCAATGGATCAGGTTATCTGCAAGGACAGCAGCCTCTTGCTGGGTGCCCCATGGAGACAGCGATCTTCCCTCCTCTCTTACCTTCTCAAGGGTGGCCCTTTTCCATCACCAAGGCTGCACTCATGCAGAGAGGAAGCCTTCCCCCCCGACCTGATCAGGCTGATTAACTTCAACTCCCAGGGGAGAAGACTCTTGAGAACACACTTTAACCTTGGGTTCTCACCTGGAGCTCCGCATGATTTTCCATTTCCTTAACTAATGAATGCATCTAGCAGACTCAGTCCATAAAAAAGGCACATTTGAATGATAACAGCCAGAGCCCGGTGGCCGAGCTGGGCTGCCGCCTGCTGAGCAGCTCCTTTAGAAAGGCCTGCACTTGAGCGTTAGTTACCCTGTGGAGGGACAGGAGGCCGGCTGCTTCACTTCCCTCTGCTGGGAGTGGCCCTGCGTGATGGGGTGCATATCCACTTCATTTATTTTTTAATCTGTGGGAGACAGGTTATCAATTTACTTAAAGTTTGAATGTCTGTAAGGATGAAATTTAAAGCTAGGGCTCTGAAGATCTCTAGCAGGGATGTATCTGTCATCTACCTATCCCTCCATCTCAGCCTGTGAACTGCGTGTCATCATGGGTTAAATTAATTACTAAGAGACCACGGAGTCCATTTTATAGCTCAAATGAGCATTTTTCATTTCCTGTAGTAAACATGACTTAAGTAAACAAAGAGTTTCTCTAACAAGGATGGCTTACAAGTAGAAGTGGCTAAATTTTCACTTTTATAAATTTTGCTGCTTTTTATTAACTATCAATAAACCTAGAAAGATGATCTTACAAGTAAACAACAGATTTTGCATACTTTAACCTTAAAGATATCTCTGCCTCAACTCTTTGTTCACAGCTCTCTGACACTGGAATATTAATAGTTGATAATCTTTCCCTTTAATTTTTCACTGATAATATTAGTTCCTAACCCAGGTTTTTGGATCTCACAAGGGTTCTTATTATACAGTTGTCACATACATTTCTTTAAGAAGTTCAACCTAAGAAGAAATCAAGAATTGTCTTTTCTGGTTCATACATTAACTCCTATAGGGTTGTCCACTACTAAAGCAACAGAAAGTGCTGCCTTCTTTTTCTGGAAGCTGCTGTTCTTACAAGAGAGCAATTTAGGAGCAGGAATTGTGCTTTATTAACATCAAAGCACTGGCACAGGAAGTTTGCACACTCAGCTCTGGGAGCTTTTTGATGCTTTCTGCCTGCTTTGGGAAATTAGCTCTTTGTTTCATTATCAGTTATCTGGATGGAAACTGAAGGGAAAAATATTGATTTTTTTTTTTTTTTTTAATAAATTGTACCAGGATGCTGGGTCTGCGGCCCTAGTGGCTGGTCTTTCCTGTGCTTGGGATGTTGGCCTTGTAGAGTTACTTCTGTAATCTCAAGACAGAAACTGACAGCTTTGTTTGATCAAAATTGTTACTTCACCTTGCACATTTTCAAGAGTTCTACAGGTTTAATGAGCACAGAAATCTGGGGGAACTTTCACTCTCCAGGGCTCCTTCATAGAGGTTCTCAAATACTCCATCAGCAGAGGGGAGCCCCAGATGGCAAAAGGACACAGGATATGTCATCTTTCAAATGAACCAATAATCCATTATTTGATTCTTCTACCTTTGTCAAAATTCCTCCAGCAACGCCTGCAGAAAATCACAATTCTTGATACATAGCTTGTTCCAATAAAGCACCACAGCATTTCTAGTGACTGCAGGCCCAGCTGTCAAACTCTTTCAACTTGATAGAGAATATGTACACAAAACCTATAGCTGTCATCATACTTAATAGTGAAAAACAGAATGTTTTCCAGCTGACACTGGGGACAAGGTAACAGTGTCAGTTCCTGCCGCTCTTATTCAACACAGAAATTTTAGTCATCATACTAAGACACACAAAAAAAGGAATAAAAAGCCACGCAGACTGGAAAGGTAGAAATAAAACTCTCCATATTTGCAGATGACATGATTATCTACATGGAAAATGCCAAGTAATACACAAATAACCTCTTAAAATTAATAGGTGAGTTTGCCAAGGTCACAGGATATGAGATCAACATGAGAAACACAATCACATTTCTGTATGCTAACAACAAACATGTAAAAACTGAAATAAAAATAATAACAGTTTAAATCTCTTGAGAGCAAAGGAAATATTTAAGTATAAACCTAACAAAACGTGATAGGATCTGATGTTGAAAAAATCACACAATTCTGATGAAAGAAGTGAAAAAAAAAAAACTATTTAAATAGACAGACATACCATGTTCGTGGGTTGGAAGATTCAACATAATAAGGATACAATTCTCAATTTGATCCATAGGTTGATTGCAATTCCTCTCGAAATACCAACATGGCTTTTTGTAGAAACAGACAAGTTTATTCTAAATTTTATGTGGGAAGGCACAAGCCCTAGAATACTTTAAACTTGACAAAGAAGAATAAAGTGTGTGGCTGTAAAACCAAACTGTAAAAAATTAACAGTTCATTGCTTGCAGTCGAAAAAATGAGGAAAAGATGGACGATCTAGGAAACTTTCAGGGAGCTAAGGTGTCGGAGAGCAAAGTATCCTTGTAAGGAATGAGACAAGATAAACTCCCTCCCCCACACACAGTATTTTCAGAGAACTACATTCTTGGTTTCAACCTGATGTCATAGGCTGTGTTCTTTGCAACGGAAGAAGCAAAGACTTCAAAGGGAGAAATCGGAAGATTTCTTTTTTCATCGTAGGGACTTCACATCAGCGTTTCCAAAACCGAGTCCATCGCCTTTTCCCTCTGCGCAGCCTCTATCCCTTCCTGTGTTTCGCATCTCAATAAACGTCCCCGCCAAGTGACTTCAGCCTGAAACATGCGGCCTCCCGGACTCCTCTCTGTGTCACCGACCTCTTGCGCTCAGTTCTCCGGAGCTGCCGGTTTAACCTCGCAAGTCTTCCCGGAACCCGTGCCCTCCTCCTGGGCAGCGTTACCACCACGAGCGCCTACCTGAGAGGACGCCTGTTCTCATCCAGCCTCCACCCTGCAGCCGAGCAATCTCCGTAAAACGAACACCTGGCTTAGTTTCTGCTGGAAACCGTTGAATAGTCCCCACTGTCTTCTGGAAGGGTCTGGGCAGCTCGGCGTGGCGTCCACGGCCCCACCAGGCCTCTGCCTCCTGCAGGTCCCGCTACTTCGTCACCAAAGCGCCCGCCGCGCTCGCATCTGCTGTGAGGCTGTGCTCGGGCCGCTCCCGCCGAGGGAACGGCCCTCCCAAGGCTCTGCGCCCCAATTCTCGCTCGTTTGCCAAGAGGTAGCCGTGTCGGGGAGCTAGAGTTCTCCGGGGACTCTCTCCTGCCCCTCGTGGCCCTCTGTGGAACCCTCGTTTTAGGATCTGCACGCCGTTTCCAGTCGCGCGCGCGGCACGGAGACCGCCCGCTGTGCCCCGCGCTGCGCTCTCTCCGCCCCTCTCCCGCGCAGGCCTCCCTGTGCCAGCCGGCTGTCGACCCAGGTTAGGAAGCCCGAGGTCGGGGCGTTACCCCAAGGGCCCTCCCGCTTCCCCTCCGAGGGCAGAGAGGCGTCCGCGCCCGGACGCACTGCGGGAACACCTGGAGCGCCGGCGGAGCTCGGCTGTCCCCGCGGGAGGGAGCCCGACGCGCATCCTTGGGACCCGGACCCGGCGCCCGCGCCTCGGGACGGATTTCTGCCTCGGCTGCAGGCGCAGCGCGCAGACCTGAGCCTGCCCCGCGGAACCGGGGCTCGAGTCCCGGCCCGAGCGCGGCGTCGGGGCCAGCGGAGAGGGGCGGAAGCCGCAAGGGACCCTCGGCGCCTCGGCCTGGCCGCGATGAAGTCCCCGCCCCTCCTCAGGTGACGGATCGCCGCTGCCGTCCCGGGCTGCCCACCACCCCGGCGCGTGCCCGGGAGCCTCCACCCTCCCCGGGTTCTGTGGCCGGCCACGCGCCCCAGGCACGCGCCGCGCCGGGCCGCGCCACCAAGCCCGCTGTCCCCAGCTTTCCTCGGCAGATCCCCTGGCTACCCCCACCCTGCGGAGGGGCCGTTCACCAGATGCCAGAAAATCAGGGTGGGGCACGCAGGCCAGGGGCTCCAGCGGCTGGGCACCGTGTCCTTCCCGAACCTGGTGCTGGAAGTGCGCCCGCCTCCGCCTCTCCCAGGCACCCACCGGCACTGCCCAGCCCTGTCTGGAGGGTCTAGGACTGAACGTCTGTCCCCGGCCTTCATCCTGGCTGCAGAGGACTGGCCGGGTGATGCCGCGCTGTCCTGGCCCTGGGCCCGCCTGGAAGACCCGCCTGTGTCGCGGGCCCCCTCCCTGGCTCTGGCCTCTAAAGCGCCCCCGGCACAGCTTCCCGGCCCTTGCAGCCCGGTGGGGCCGGAACCTTCCCCTTGTCACTGTTGTCCTTTCTCCTTTCAGCCCGTGTCTCTCCTGGAAGAGAATGGCGGGCATCTTTTTCCTGCCATTTATCTCATCAGGTTTTGCTCCTCGGTTTAAGCAGGAAGAGAACTTCATGCTTGGAAGAGCGCATCCGTCCCAGCCTAGGTTTGCTTGAGAGCTACATCCCTGGGGAGGGAGGGGAGCGATCTCTCCTTTCTTGGAGAAAATAGTATCGCGAATATGCACAGAACACGTCCTACTAACATATGCACAGAACACGTCCTACTAACATATGCACAGAACACGTCCTACTAACAAAAACTTCTTTTCGCTAGGGTTTCAGCCGTGCCTCCGAGCCCTCTCCCGAATCCTCTCTCCCTTTCCACTTTCTTTCCCTCGCCCGCCCCCTCCAGGTTTAATTGGTCTCATCTGACCCCTCTGGAGCTGAAGAATCGATCTGTGGGACTTGGAACTGAAAGCACAGGTCGGGGTAAGCCCCACTTCACACTGGAGGGCCACAAGTTCCTGATCTTCGGGGGCTCCATCCACTATTTCCGGGTGCCCAGGGAGTACTGGAGGGACCGCCTGCTGAAGCTGAAGGCCTGTGGCTTCAATACTGTCACCACGTGAGTGCCGGCCCCTCACCTCCAGGATCTCGTTACCCTACAAGTGCATCCTGGCCGGGAACCTGAGCCTCCGATTTTGGGGGCCCAGCGTGAGGACTTACCTTCCGCACAGTCGTTTCCAGCACATACATTTAATGCTTAAGCGTCCAGCTGTCACTTAGTCTCATGCTGAGTTTGCTCTGTGATCAAAGACTTGGATAGGGGTTAGTGGGAGAATCTCAAGGGAGGAGGTTATTTCCTCAGGATTCTGTCTGTCTAATGAAGGAACACCAGGCGCCCTTGGGAGCACTCAGTTTAATGACATAAGCTTAAGGCACACTTACAGATAAATATGTACTTACAGATACATGCATGTTTTTAAAACAAAAAAAAATTTTTTTTTTTGAGACACAGTTTGTTGTTCTGTTTGTTGCTCAGGCTGGAGTGCAGTGGCCCGATCTTAGCTCACGGCAGCTTCTACTTCTCTGGCTCAGGTGATCCTCCTGCCTCAGCCTCCTGAACAGCTGGGGCCACAGGTGCATGCCACCACACCAGGCTAATTTTTTGAATTGTTTGTAGAGATGGAGTTTCGCCATGTTGCCTGGGCTGGTCTCAAACTCCTGGACTCAAGCAGTTCACCCTTTAAAAGGGAACACCACGGTCGTCCTCATGCCTGTATACAACTGACCAGCCACCCTGTATGACCACAAAAAAGCAAAACTGCTCCAGAATCAGAGGCCCTGTCCTCCTGAGGGCCTGCCACCACCATTTTGTGGCAAGCTTACCATCACACTCACTGTAAAGGAGAAGATGCTTAGAGGGCCCTGTGCCTTATTGCAGAGCTGGTATTGAAGGGTGAATTTGAAGCTGAGAGGCAGTAAACTGGTTCATTTAAAATGCAAAGAATTTAATCAGAAATAATCGTTGAGTTTTATTGAGAGCTGCTACTGCATGTATTGGGGGGACAATATAGTTTTTCTTCACTGTTCTTTTGAATTGCTGAATTACAACGGCAATTTTTCTGATAGTCAAGCAGCCATGTGGTACTGGTATAAACTCTGCTTGGCTCTGAGATAGGCACACATTACATACACACAGATTGCTAGACTTTATTTGCTAGTGTTTTATTTCAAATGTGTTTATGATTATAAGCAAAACGGATTTAAAATTTTATTTTGTTAGTATTCTTGTCCAGTTTTGAATCAATCTTATAATAAGCTCATAAAGTGAGTAAATCTTCTTTTCTTACTTATTGGAAATATTTTGCACAAGAATTATCTTTACCCTGAAAGTTTCTTAAGATTCACCTGTAAACTCTGTGACTACTATCTTTTGTGGTTTGTGAGGTGAAGGGTTTGGGGACGACATAGCTCTTTGAATGGTTATTAACTCATGTCCTCTATTTCTTCTTGAATACATCCTGCTCTCCCCCTTTTTTTCTTTCCTTTCTTTTTTCTTTCTGTTTTCTTTTTCTTTTTTTTTTTTTTTTTTTTGAGATAGAGTCTTGCTCTGTTGCCCAGGCTGGAGTGCAGTGGCGCGATCTCTGCTCACTGCAACCTCCCCCTCCTGGGTTCAAGTGATTCTCCTGCCTCACCCTCCTGAGTAGCTGGGATTATGGCTCCCGCCACCACACCCGGCTAATTTTTGTATTTTTAGTAGAGATGGGGTTTCACCATATCGGTCAGGCTGGTCTCAAACTCCTGACCTCAGGTGATCCGCCTGCCTCGGCCTCCCAAAGTGCTGGGATTACAGATGTGAGCCACCTCGCCCAGCCTTCTTTCTTCTTTTGAACCCACTGGGACTTAAGAAATTTTTCCTTTCTTTCCTGTACTCACTTGGAAGTTATATACATCACGTTGTGTATTTTGGCTGTTTTTTTCTTTTTTCTTAATCTTATCTATTTAGTCTTTTCAGATAACTAGCTTGTAGCTTTGTTAGTACTCTCTGTATATTTCGGATCTGTATTTCACAGTTTCTGAGTTATGTGTAATTTCCTTTTCTCTACTTTATTAAATATAGTACCTTCTCTTCTCTGTCCTTCTCAGTTTCCTCCTCCTCCTTCTTCTTTTTCCCTGAGTTAAAATTTAGCTTCTTTTACTTCCAGTCTTTTGTGTTTTCTAATATATTCCTTCAAAGATATGAATGTTTCTCTGAGTGTTGCTTTGGTTATATAGCCCACAAATTTTGCTATATAGTGCTTTGAATGTCATTTATTTTCAAATATTTCCTAAGTTTTGATGTTGTTTCTATTAGCTATTTGGGAATACGCTTTCTGTTTTATTTATTTATTTATTTATTTAAATTTTACTATTTAACTGTGATTTTTAAATTTGTTTGCATTTATCTTGGGATCATGGACTATGTGATATAGGTTTTTGGAATTTGTTGAGATTTACTTCGTGACATAGTACATGCCAATATTTTACAACTGTTTCATGCATTTTAAATTTTGGTCTTTTAAATTTTACATTCTTTTTTCATACTTAGTTGTACAGATGCGCTTTTTAAGGGAATGTAGATGCTCCATCTGTTGGCTACTGGGTTCTCTATGTATTTATTACATGCCGACTTTTAATTACACAGTTCAAATCTGTATCCTTACAAGTTTCTTCTTTTTCTTTTTTTGCTGCTTATTTTCTTTGTTTCTTAGAGGGGTACTTTAAATCTTTTCACTGTGATGGTAACTGATGTATCCAGGTCCTCTCTAATTCAGTCAGCTTCTCCTTTACTTACGGCAAGCTATGTTGTAACTTACAACATACAACAAGCTACGTTGTTAAGCTCATAGAAGGCCATGATTAGTATGTCTTCTTGGTGGGCCATACAGTCAGTTCTACGATGTATTGTCAAAAATCTCTGCACTGCACAAAATTGTGTAATAAAAACCACAGGGCTTATAGGAAACATGATGTTAAGGGGCATAACACTCAAACATGTTGCCAGTGGCACAAAAAAACACAGTTGCCTAGTGAACTATGCCTGGTATACCTAATAAAATTTTTACTCATAGCCCTATGGGGGAGGGTCCCCTGGGGGCCCTTCTTGCTAAGGTCTAAAGGTAGTACCCTTACTAGATTTACTGTAACTCCACTATCTTCACAGAAACTCCTCATTTATTCTTATTTTGACTAACTCATAGCAAAAATTTATAAGGAAGATGTAGACATTTTTGTTTTTGTTCTCTTTTTTAATTTATACTTTTAATGAGTGTTACAATAGGGCAGTGAGTGGAAGAATTTATATATAAATCCCAAGAAACCCAGCATCATAGGATAATTGGCAGCTTGAACCACAATTGGATAATAGAGCAAGGAACTATTAAAGATGGTCATGGTTAGTGTAACAGAGGTTTAATTTCCACTGGTAACTTCAACTTATTTCAAAATAGAGCTATGCATGGTTTTGGCTTGGATTTGGGGCAGACCTAACAATTTGGAGGAAGAAATAAGAAGATACTCATCATACTTCCCTCTCACCTCTTCTAGCTATGTTCCGTGGAACCTGCATGAGCCAGAAAGAGGCAAATTTGACTTCTCTGGGAACCTGGACCTGGAGTATGTGGTGTTGCTGCTTCTGTGCCCTGGTCAGGGGCAGGGCACAGAGGTGGCTACTGGGGGTGGATTAGCAACCAAAGAGAACCAGGGAGGGACGTGGGTCTGGAGTCCTGTTCTAGGACTGTGAGAGGCCCTGCACCCAGGACCCAGACGCTCCCCAACCGTGACCTGTCACCCAGAGGGACTGGGCCTGCAGCCTCCGGGCCCCACCTCTCCACTGCAGCCCAGAGGGGCAGAAGACCCTGGGAGCCGCCCGACTCTGCATGGGGTCTGGCGCCTGGGCTGGGGCAGGGCGGCCCCTCTAGGCTAGCAAGGCTATGGGGTCAGGTTCACTGTTGAGACCACTGAGCCCTGGGTGTCACCCTTCCTCCTCAGGCCCCCGATGGGGCTGTGCAGAGGCTCTGAGGCTGGGAGCAGCTCAGGCCACCGACCTGGTGTGGGAGTCCCCACGCTTTGGGGGTGGGGCCGAGCCGTCCCTTCGCCCCACCAGGCAGCTCCTCCACCCTGTGATGCGTGTGGCCCCCACCCGGCCTCATCCTGGGCCGTCGTGGGAGGGGCTGACGATGTGGACCTCCCTAGGGCCTTCGTCCTGATGGCCGCAGAGATCGGGCTGTGGGTGATTCTGCGTCCAGGCCGCTACATCTGCAGTGAGATGGACCTCGGGGGCTTGCCCAGGTAAGCGGGGCTACAGTCCCAGAGTCGTGGTTCTAGTGAAGTATTTGCTTTAAAAAAAGTGAATTTCAAGCTAGTAACAAGGAAAGTAACCTTTATTCACGGAGCCGATGGGAGGTGTGCTGCCCCACGCCACGCACCGTGCCTGTGTTGTCTTGTGGGAAGCCTGCGGTACTGCGGTGGCGGGGGGCGGGGTGCAGTTGTCATCCCCGATTCACAGATGAGAAGCTCCAGACGTTGGTCCTGGGGCCTTGGGCATGCGGTCAAGAGGGTGTGCGCGGGGAGAGGTGGCCACAAGAGGCTCCCACTCTTCTTTCCCCATGCAGGAGGGGCTGTAGCCTCCTCTGTCCTTCTCAAAATGCCCTGGGAAGAAAGGGACCAGAAGCTTTAAGGCCTGCAAGGGAAGGTTCTGACGACTCGGCTTGTTTTGAAAACTTCTGATCTTTCGCTTATTTTGTGAGGGGAAGGCTTGCCTTTCCATGCAGTGAGACCACCCTCAGCTCCCCTCCCTTCCCTCTTGCTTTTCTTTGCCTTGTTCTCTCCTCTGTGATTCTGGCCCCCAGCCCAGACTGCTGAGGGTCAGGGTGAGACTCCAAGACTCCTCTCTGCCACCCCTGTGGTGGGCAGGGCTTCCTGGGGAATCTGGGGCTCTGCCTCCAGTGAGCACCTCTGCACCTCAGAGTCAGATGAGGCCTTTGCTTTTCTCCAGGATGAAGAGAGAGGTCTTTGCTTTTCTCCAGGGGCAGAGAAAGCCTGAGCTGAGGGGAGTGGAGTTTTCGGGAAGCAGTGACTCCCGGCATAGCTTGGCTGGAGGCCTGCCTGGCACTTCCCCAGTGACCTGGAGTGGGTGGAGTATCATTGGCACGTAGGCTCCTGCCCTGAGCCTGAAGCCTTAGCCCTTAGTGGAAATGTGACACTGTGCCTAAGGAAATTTTTTCTGTCCCCAAGAATTTTTTTTTTTTAAGACGGAGTCTTGCTCTCGTCACCCAGGCTGGAGTCCAGTGGCGCGATCTCGGCTTGCTGCAACCTCTGCCTCCCGGGTTCAAGCGATTCTCCTGCCTCAGCCTCCTGAGTAGCTGGGATTACAGGCGCCCGCCACCACACCCGGCTAATTTCTGTACTTTTAGTGGAGACGGGAGTTTCGCCACGTTGGCCAGGCTGGTCTCGAACTCCTGACCTCAGGTGATCTGCCCACCTCGGCCTCCCAAAGTGCTGGGATTATAGGCATGAATCACCGCGCCTGACCAAAAAATGTTTTCAATAAACTGAAAAAGAATAGAGAGTGTTCACCAAAAGGTAGAAGAAAAAGCTCTTTAAGACATGGCTGTAAGAGCCTTGACAGGCCAGCCCCTCAGTCAGACCAAATAGAGCTGAAGGCCTTTCCGAAGTTGTGAAGTGCCTTGGAGGTGGAGGCGGCCGTTTCCTTTCAAATCCCACAAGTCTGTGAGAATGGTCTGAAAGTCTCACGCGGCACAGATCTTTCCAGGACCCGAGTGCTCCGGGACCGGGGGTGTGAGGCAGCTGGGCAGATGTGCGGCGAGCCGGGGCAGCTCTGAGCCCACTCCTGCTTCCCTCTCCCAACCCGTCTCAGACCCTGAGCCCGCCCCTCTTGCCCCCAGCTGGCTCCTGCAAGACCCCCGGTTACTGTTGAGGACAACCAACAAGAGCTTCATTGAAGCAGTTGAGAAGTATTTTGACCACCTGATTCCCAGAGTGATTCCTCTCCAGGTAAAGCCAAATTGTCCCCTGCATCTTTCTTACGTGCCCTTTAGGGAAAGAGTTTGTTCTGGCTTGATCACTGAAGAGGCCACATGCAGTCTCCATGAACAATTGAGTTGACTTTCTTGTAACCTTGAGTTCTGGACCCTTGGCTTGAGGACAGAAGCACTGACCTGTCCTGTCCTTGTTGTCCGGGTAAGCTTCCCCAGGGTTGCTAGAAAGACTCATCACACAAGGCAGGGACTGGTTGTCCACATGAACTTACTATTCCTCAAGCTTGCCAATCTTCCCATTGCTTCTTTCCACTTTTGACATGGCAAAAAGACTCAGAAGGTACAAATGAATTTTTGGTCAGATAAAAATCTCACCTTCCACCCTGTCCCAAAGCCATTTAGTTGCCCTTTCAGGAGACAACCAATTTTACTAGATTTTGTGTCTCTTTTTAGAGATTTTATCAGCACAGAAGCAAATTATACACACGTGTCTATGCCTCTCAGGCATTTTTCTTTTGTTACTTGAAATACGTAGATTTGAAACCAGCCACTCTTTTTAGTGCCTGCACACTGTTCCCTAGTAGGGATGTATCATAATTCATTTAACAGGTATTCAGTCCAGGCTTGGTGACTCATGCCTATAATCCCAGCATTTTGGGAGGCCGAGGCAGGGGGGTCACCTGAGGTCAGGAGTTCGAGATCAGCCTGACCAACATGGGAAACTCCATCTCTACTAAAAATACAAAAAAATTAGCTGGGCATGGTGGCACATGCCTGTAACCCCAGCTACTCAGCTGGCTGAGACAAGAGAATCACTTGAACCTGGGAGGCAGAGATTACAGTGAGACAAGATCATGCCGCCACACTCCAGCCTGGGCAACAGAGTGACACTCTGTCTCAAAAAACAAAACGAAACAAAAAAACAAAACTCGGGAATTCATATCCTATTCATGGACATTTGGATTTTCCATTTATGTTGTAAAAAAATAACTTGCACCCCCCATTCCGTGTCTGTGTAAGTCTACCTGCTATTGCCCTGCATTCTAGTTTGATTTACTCCTACAGATGGGAAGAACACAGGTGCCATGCATTGCCTTTTTTTTTTTTTTTTTTTTTTGAGACAGAGTCTTACTCTGTTGCCCAGGCTGGAGTGCAGTGGCTTGATCTTGGCTCACTGCAACCTCCACCTCCTGGGTTCACGCCATTCTCCTGCCTCAGCCTCCCAAGTAGCTGGGACTACAGGTGCCCACCACCATGCCCGGCTAACTTTTTGTATTTTTAGTAGAGATGGGGTTTCACTGTGTTAGCCAGGATGGTCTTGATCTCCTGACCTCGTGATCCCACCACCTCTGCCTCCCAAAGTGCTGGGATTAAAGGTGTGAGCCACTGCGCCCAACAGCATTGCCTTTTTTATGGTGTACCCAGACCTCATGCACTTGATAAGAAACGCCTTCATTTTTACCATGGCAACCTAGAGCACACAGTCAGGTCTGTGACAAAAAAAGAACATTGTACTGTGCGGTCTACAAGACAGCATTGTTTGATCATTGTAATTTTTTTAAATTTAAACAACATAACTCTTCCAAAAGAGAAGATGCACTTGGATATTAAGTAAAAATAGTTCAAGGACACGTCTCTTGATGCAGCTCGAGATGGGATAAAAATCTAGATTATGGCCTGGCATGGTGGCTCACGGCTGTAATCCCAGCACTTTGGGAGGCCAAAGTGGGAGGACTGCTTGAGCCCAGGAGTACAAGACCAGCCTGAGCAACATAGTGAGACCACAACTCTACAAAAAATACAAAAATTCGAGAGCGTGGTGAGCACCTGTAGTCCCAACTACTCGGGAAGCTAAGGTGGGAGGATGGCTTGAGCCCAGTTGCAGTGACCTGAGATCGTGCCTCTGAACTCCAGCCTGGGTGACAGAGCAAGACCTTGTCTCAAAAACAAACCAAAAAAACACCTGGATTTTTAGGTAGTAGTAGGCTGATATCTTACTCTTCTGTTTGGGAGTAAATATGGCAAACATATAGATCTAGGCCTTTGTAACTAATTTGGAATCATGAATTGTGAGTTCTGTTTTTTTTTTTTTTTTTGGAGACGGAGTCTCACTCTGTTGCCCAGGCTGGAGTACAGTTGTGTGACCTCGGCTCACCGCAACTTCCACCTCCTGGGTTCAAGCAATTCTCCTGCCTCAGCTTCCTGAATAGCTGGGATTACAGGCACCAACCACCATGCCTGGCTAATTTTTGTATTTTTAGTAGAGATGGGGTTTCACCATGTTGCCCAGGCTGATCTCAAACTCTTGACCTCAGATGATCCATCTGCCTCGGCCTCCCAAAGGGCTGGGATTACAGGCATGAGCCACAGAACCCAGCCTGTGAGTTGTTCTTATTAGGATAATTATAAAGAGAAGAATCGAGGGATAACAAAGGAAGAATGTGAGAGAGAGCTTAGGAATGGTGTTGCTGCAATACAGTTTTGAGAGACGGGCACTGCTGAGAGGAAGAAAACCCTGTCTTTAGGATTAAACTCTGGCTCCGTTAGGTGGAGTTGAGGTACATCTTTTGTTTGAAGGGCTGAAGCTGTATGTGTCTGTTTGCATTTCTGCAATCTAGATGGGACTCAGTGGCAGGAGTGAGCCTCAAAACCAGAAAGACTGGTGGCCGGGCGCGGTGGCTCACGCCTGTTAATCCCAGCACTTTGGGAGGCTGAGGCGGGTGGATCACGAGGTCAGGAGATGGAGACCATCTTGGCTAACACGGTGAAACCCCGTCTCTACTAAAAAATAGAAAAAATTAGCCGGGCGTGGTGGCGGGCGCCTGTAGTCCCAGCTACTCGGGAGGCTGAGGCAGGAGAATGACGTGAACCCGGGGGGCGGAGCTTGCAGGGAGCCAAGATGGCGCCACCGCACTCCAGCCTGGGCGACAGAGCGAGACTCCGTCTCAAAAAATAAATAAATACATAAATAAGAAATAGACATGCATTAAAATAATAGATAGGTAGGCTATATAATACACAGAAAACATTTATACAAAATTAATGTCCAGGCTGGGAGCTGTGGCTCACACCTGTAATTCCAGCACTTTGGGAGGCCGAGGTGGGTGGATCACGAGGTCAGGAGATCAAGACCATCCTGGCTAACACGGTGAAACCCCGTCTCTACTAAAAAATAGAAAAAATGAGCCGGGCGTGGTGGCGGGCGCCTGTAGTCCCAGCTACTCGGGAGGCTGACGCAGGAGAATGACGTGAACCCGGGAGGCGGAGCTTGCAGGGAGCCAAGATGGCGCCACCGCACTCCAGCCTGGGCGCCAGAGTGAGACTCCGTCTCGAAAAAAAACAAAAACCCAGAAAGACTGAATATTTGGATGGAAGTTTTACCAGAAGCACAAATGCCGTTCACAGGCACATGTATGCAACGAGGAAAGCTAATTTACAGGCATCCCATTGAACTGTGGGAAATGCTAGGAAACTTTTAAGAAGCAAGGAATTATAAGGGTAAGTGAAATGTAATGCCCCATACCTCGCATACCTTGCACTAATTTAATTATTGATACATCATTAGTATTTTAAGGTCCCTTTACGGAATTGGTTGTCATTATTGTTTTAATTATTATGTAAAAATAATTTTTAGAGTGCATTACTGGTTTACTTGGGACTTTTATTCTTATCCTGTTTATTTCACAAGGCCGACTGGAAATTCCTCTGCAATGGGGTTTTTAGAAGTCTCACCCTTCGGGTTGGAGAGAACTGATACTGTTCAATAATAAAAACAATTGTTTTCAACTCACTCGCTGAGAATATTTATGTCCATCCAGCGAGTAATTGCTGAGCGCCAGGGCCTGTGTGGTCACTGCTGGGTGTACCAGGCACAGCGGAGAGGCCATGCGTCCACTCGGGGGGCAGGCGTGGCGCTGCCCTGTGGAGGCAAACAGAATCTCAGTAGGAGCTGTGGGAAGCCAGCACGCCTGGGCAGAGGGTGAGGCGGGAAGGAGGCAGAGGGGAACCTGCAAAGGAAAAGCTGACAGTCATGCCTCTTCTCCTTCCTTAGTGCCCTCAGAGCCAGCATTCTTTTGTCCAAGAGGGAGGAACGCACTATAAAGCTGGCCATTTATGCTGTAGGCAGTGGGGACCCCGGGCCTGCTGTATGTTGGGACAAAAAGCTCAGACCTTGGCTTTCCAGCACTCAGGCTGCCTTCTCTGTGGCTGGGCTCCAAGGAGAAGGAAATGCATCAGACTGTGGAAGGACCCTGAAAGAGGATACTCTGAAAAGGCCTTTGAGTTTAGCATAACTAGGTCAATGTTGATGGTCTGGATGGCAGGATGGGCTGGAAGCTTTCCCAAGGGAGTTTGAGGAGTGAGTTAAAAGCAAGAAAGCAGGAGATGTGGGTGTAGATGACCGGTAGCTCTTCTAGGAAGTGTGGCTCTTAATGAGGAGAGTGGGAAGAGGGGAACATTCCTGGGCCTCTGCCCCCATCTTGATGCGGAGGGTCCTGAGTAAGTTTCCATGATCATGGAGGTCAGCTTGTTGCAAAGGAAGGTCAAAGGCACGGAGGGGAGAGGGGCTGTGCCCAGAGCCACGTTCCTGATCAGGCAGCGGAAGGCCGTGGGACCCACACGCAAGTGGTGGCATAAGCCTAAGGCAGGAGGGAGGTGGGAATATGGATGGGATTGGCGTGGAAGCAGGTGCATTTGTAGGTTTGAGGGCTCAAATTTAAGTAGCCAGTGTGAGAACCAGAGGGAAACCTGGCAGTTACGTACTGTAACGCACTAGGGAAGGCGGCTCCCACAGCAGCCAAGTGACCCAGCAGACTCTAACTCCAGCGCTGGAGCAGAGCGTGCAGACCACAGGGGCCGTGGATCAGAGCCTGCCGCACCAGCTGTGCAGCCTTCGGCAGCAAGCTCAGAGACTCCAGGCTTTTGCCCCAAATAGCCTCACTCTTTAACCCTCCTATGCTTGTTTCTCAGTACCGCCAGGCAGGCCCTGTCATCGCGGTGCAAGTGGAGAATGAGTATGGCTCATTCAATAAGGATAAAACATACATGCCGTATCTCCACAAGGTAAGAGGGCCTTGGTTTGGCCCCATGTTTACATGCCTCCTTCCTCCTCTGTGCGTTTCTGATTCCTGGATGCATGAGTGATCGGGCTGGACACTGTGCATTCTGAGAATGTTGGCCTGTGAACACGAGGTGCGGAGGGGTGCCGGCCCACTGCATAGCTGAAAATTTGCGTATAACTTTTGACTCCCTCAAAATTTAGTCACTAATAGTCTACTGTTGACTGGAAGCCTTACCAATAATAAACAGTCGATTAATGCAGGTTTTGTATATCTATTATATACTGTATTCTTACAGCAAAGTAAGCTTCAGAAAAGAAAATGTTACTAAGAAAATCATAAGGAACAGAAAATGTATTGACTTCTCATTAAGCAGAAATGGATCATGGTAAAGGTCTTTATCCTCATCATCTTCAGGTTAAACAGGCTGAGGGGGAGGAGGAAGAGGTGGAGGAGGAGGAGTTGGTTTTGCTGACTCAGGGGTGGCAGAAGAGGTGGAGGAGGTGGCAGGAGAGGCAGGGGATTGTAACTCGTATTGAAAAAAATCCGAGTATAAGTGGATCCGCACGGTTCAAACCTGTGTTGTTCAAGGTTCAACTGTAGATCAAGTTCATTTTCTCTGTGAATTTACAGCAGTCAAGACAATCACTATGTACCTAAATAACTATTAGAAGACAGAACATGGCATTAAAGGGCTATTCCTTTCTGCTTCCTGTCTCTATGACCCACGACTCTCATTAAAGCTGGGGCTGGTGAATCTTCCTCCACTGTAAATAATGCTTCAAGAACTTAGTGATGGGACTCTCAGCTTGAAGCTTTCTGGCCTGTAAGATAAACGTCGTCTCTTCTGTCCCTCTTGCTTCTTCACGGAGGGACTGTCAGGCCAGGGAATAACTGCAGTCCTGCCTGCTGTCCTTCCTGGTGGCTCAGCCCCTGCTGGCCCCTGACTTCCCATATTCAGAAAGCTGATGAGAGTTCAGTCTCAACTGAACCCCACCATGGGCTGCCAAGCAGAGTGCAGGGCTGCAGGGTTGGCCTGAGCCGTCCTGACTCCGCCCTTGCCTCTGCAGCAGTGCCTGTGCGGAGACCTCTGGCTGGAGGCCGGGGCGGGAAGGAGAGGGGTCCCCAGCTGGGCAAAGTGGGGAGGAGGGCGGGGCTGGACTTCATCCACGTGCTGGCTCCCGCGCTATAGCTGTGGCTTCTGGAGGTGGACAAGGTCAGAGAGTAATTTCCCTCCCTGTCTTTTCCCAGGGGACGCGTGGCTGCCCTGCATCGGTTGTGTTCAGCCAGCATTATTTAATCGGTTGTATTCAGCCAGCATTATTTAATCGGTTGTATTCAGCCAGCATTATTTAATCGGTTGTGTTCAGCCAGCATTATTTGTTTTTGATTTTAAAATTTACCGGCTGTGCTCAGTGGCGCATGCCTAGAATCCCAGCACTTTGTGAGGCTGAGGTGGGTGGATCACCTGAGGTCAGGAGTTCGAGACCAGCCTGGCCAACGTGTCAAAACTCTGTCTCTACTACAAATACAAAAATTAGCTGGGCGTGGTGGTGCACACCTGTAATCCCAGCTACTCAGGAGGCTGAGGCAGGAAAATCACCTGAACCTGGGAGATGGAGGTTGCAGTGAGCCGAGATTATGCCACTGGACTCCAGCCTGGGTGACAGAGTGAGACTCGTCCCCCCCCGCCAAAAAAAAAGAAAAGAAAAAAAAAGAAAAAGAAAAAAAAACCATTCAACTCCACTCCCAGGCCCAGGTCTGACTCGATAAGCACAGGAGACGCACAGCCAGGCCCTGGCTATCTGGCCTCGTGACCATGGTTTTTCAGATTAGATGTCCCCATCCCTGCAGCCATGGCAGGCTTCCTTGTTCCCCTTGACAGTGTTCGGCAGCACCTGAGCTTGGTGAATTCCCTGATGGTTCTCAGGACCCCACAGCTGCAGCCTCTCCCCTTCCAGCACAGAGTGGTTCCCTGGTCTTCTTCCTCTTCTTTCAGTGACTTAGATCCTCTTCCAGGGCATTTCCTGGTAAACTCAGCCCTTTTTTTCCCTGGAGACTTTGATCATGGGGTGTCAGAACCCACACTCGACCGATTTTAGGGTCATTCCCCACAAAAGTCACCAGGCTGAGACCGAGACAGTGCTTTCCCCCAATTTACTAAGTTGCAGAAGGTCAGACTCTGAATTCAAACCCGTGTCTAGCTCCCATCTCACCCAACTGAACCATGCTCTGTTTAGTTTCCGATTTCCTCATATAGTCGGCCCTCAGCATCCATGGAGGATTGATTCCAGGGCCCCTGTGGACACAAAATCGGTCGGTGTTCAAGTTCTTGACATAAAATTGTGTGGCACTTCCATGCAACCTATGCACATCCTCCCATATGCTTTTTTTTTTTTTTTCTGAGATAGTTTTACTCTGTCACCTAGGCTGGCGTGATCTCGGTTCATTGCAACCTCTACCTCTGGTTTCAAGCAATTCTTGTGACTCAGCCTCCCGAGTAGCTGGAATTACAGGTATGCGCCACCACACCTGGCTAATTAGAGACAGGGTTTCACCATGTTGGCCAAGCTGGTCTCAAACTCTTGACCTCAAATGATCTGCCTGCCTTGACCTCCCAAAGTGCTGGCATGAGCCACCATGCCTGGCCTCTCCCATGTACTTTAACTTACCTCTAGATTACTTCTAATACCCAATATGATGTAAATGCTACATAAATAGTTGCTATATAGTACTCTTTAGGAAATAATGATGAGAAAAATGCCTGTGCACGTTCAGTACAGATGCAATTAAGAAATATATTTTTGGCCAGGCGTGGTGGCTCATACCTGTAATCTGAGTGCTTTGGGAGTACAAGGCGGGAGGCTCACTTCAGGCCAGGAGTTTGAGACCAGGCTGGGCAACATAGTGAGCCCCCGTTTCTACTAAAGAAAAAAAAATTAGCTGGACATGGTGGCGTGTGCCTGTAGTCCTAGCTACTCAGGAGGCTGAGGTGGTAAGATGGCTTGAATCCAGGAGTTTAAGGTTATAGTGAGCTATGATCGTGCCACTGCACTCCAGCCCGGGGAAACACAGCAAGACCCTGTCTCTAAAAAAAATTTAAAATTAAAAAAGTAAAAACATATTTCTGACTGTGATTGCAGAATGCATGGATGCAGAACCCATGAATATGGGGAGCTGTATGTATTTCTTTTTTCCCATGGGAATGAGGGAATTGGGTTCATTTTGGTTAATTTTCTCAACAGGCCCTGCTGAGAAGAGGGATTGTGGAGCTTCTCTTGACCTCTGATGGTGAGAAACATGTGCTGAGTGGCCACACCAAAGGAGGTACACATTTAGAGTTAGTTCACAGGAGAACAGGGCTCTCAGCCAGCCCGTGTAAATCTTGAACACACTGCAGAGAAAACCAAGTGCATCTCGATACCTCCCTTTCCCGTGTCCACTGGGATGGATCCTGGAGTTCGATGTTACAATAAATGAGGACTCAAGGTTAAGGCTCAGGGCCACTCACAGCTCCCTATCTTGGCCTTGCTCCTGCCGTCTTTAAACACAGCAGCACTGGAGCTCCTCTGTTCTCAGGACGCCTTTCCATCTCCCATAGTTTTTCTGTGGCAAGAAATCTGCATTGGTGCTGCGCCTGGCTTGGGATCAGGGCCATCTCCACTAACTTGGGAAACCACAGGGAGAACCAGAAGATGGGTGTTGTGTCAGGAACCCCGCCTAGATCCGGTTCCATTCCTGGGATCCTACCGCCCAAGGCTCTGTGTGGACACTTAGGAGATCCTAGAGAATTAAGTGGCAGGAAGATTCTGGACGGACTCATCAGATGGCAATAGTGAGGGACACGCCCGGGAGTGAGCAGGGGAGCGGGGCGAGCTGCTGCCGGCGGCTGCCGTTCTGCCTCCTTAGTAGTGGCTCTTCCAAGGAAGCCTGGCACACTGGAACACGTGCTGAGCTTGGGGCCAGGAAGCCTGTGTCCCGTTTCCAGTCTAATCATGTCAGGGAGCCTTGGCCTGGCTCACTTCTCTGCACAGAGTGTGGTTAATTTCAACAGTGGGTGTCCTCGCAAGTGTCAGGGATGTGGCGATGGCCGTGGCAGCCCTTTGGATGTGGCAGAGTGGGGTCCAGACAGCATCTCGCCATCCTCACTGCTGAGCATGGGTTCCTCCTGCGTGCGTCCGGGCCGGGGGCGCATTCCTTCCCTTCCCTGACAGCACTTGTCTCATGCCTCAGCTGGGTCTCTCTCTTCTTTATGCAGTGTTGGCCGCCATCAATTTGCAAAAACTTCACCAGGATACTTTCAATCAGCTTCATAAAGTCCAGGTAAGACATTTCAGACAGGCAGGGTTTTACAGCTCCTCCTACCATGACCTCCCTTGCCTATGTAGCTGGTATTCCGTGAAAACAGGTTTGACAAGAAGACCGCAGGTTTTCACCCTGGGTCCTCGGCAGGTTCCAAGCCATTTTGGGAGCCTTTTGGGATGGGGAAGGAGGAGGGAACCCTGCTTGTGTCACCTCCGCTTGTGGATCACGTCATGGAGATGAGTGGGAAGGGCGAGGGGTGGTGGGAATCAGAGGGAGACAATGTTCCCTTTCCCCTGTGAAGAGAGTGCTCAGAGACGGCTATGCGCGTTGCTCACGGAGGCCTCCCAGGGAGTTCTGGTGGGGCTAGCCTTTCCCGCCACAGCTTACATATTATCAGAAGGGATGAGGGTTGTACCTGCACTGATTTAAGACGTGGATTGAGCGGCTCCCACCTTCTCTCAGTGGGTGACCTCCTGTGACATTACAGAGAAGGACAAGCCACAGCCCAGCCTCCAGGGAGTACATCTGTCCTTTCTCTGCAGCCTCCAGGGAGTACATCATCTGTCCTTTCTCCACAGCCTAGCTAGAGTGCGTGCTTCAAGACCAGGCCTGGTCACAGTCTCCTCTGCTTAACACCCTCTCCTGGTTGTCCTTTGTGCCCAGGATGACATGCAGCCCCCACGCCTTGGCCAGCTGGGCCGCTGTGAGCCTCTGCCTCCGCTCCCAGCCCCGCTACCCCTCCCTTGAGGGCCTTCCTTCCATTCCAGCACACTGCAGCCCCGAAGGCTAGCCAGACTCTGCAGCTTCAGGGCTCTGCCCCTACCCTCCACCCACATTATAAATAAGACTCATGAAACTTACTTCTTTTTTTCATCAATTTCTTTTTTTTTTTGAGACAGAGTCTCACTCTTGTTGCCCAGGCTGGAGTGCAATGGTATGATCTCGGTTCACTGCAACCTCCGCCTCCTTGGTTCAAGCGATTCTCCTGCCTCAGCCTCCCGGGTAGCTGTGATTACAGGCACCTGCCACCACACCCAGCTAATTTTTGTACTTTTTGGTAGAGATGGGGTTTCACCACGTTGGCCAGGTTGGTCTCAAACTCCTGACCCCAGGTGATCCACCCACCTTGGCCTCCCAAAGTGCTGGGATTACAGGTGTGAGCCACTGCGCCTGGATTTTCATCAATTTCTATACAGTTTCCAACTCGGTGAAAGGCAGGGGCCCTGCCAGGGCTCTGTGGATCTGTGGCTATCTCTAGTTTTTCAATACCTTTGCTAAGTCTTCTTCCTTTTTGTTCTTTTTTTCTTGTCACTTTCATTTAACAACTTAATTGAAATCTCATTTGTACACCATTAAATTCACCCATTGTCATCATACAATTCAACATACAGAGTTCCACAACCATCACCAGAATCCAAAATGTTCATTGCTTTTAATGCTTATCACAGTTAATCCCGTCTCCAGCCCTGGGCAGCCACCAGTCTTCTTTCCAGTTCTATAAATTTACCTTTTCTAGACGTTTCACATAAGCGCGCTCATGCAGTATTTAGTCTTTTGCATCTGGCTTCTTTCACACAGCGTGGTGTTTCTTCGAGGTCCATTTATGCATGTTGTAGCAGGACTCAGCGCTTCATTTCCTTCAATAGCTGACTGGATTGTGCTTGACTGTCACGTACGTAAAGTCATAGTCAAACCCAAAGGCCGTCCTGCTTTAGTGTGTTAATACAGTGACTGTGGTTTTTGCATGTTGAACCAGTCTTGCATTCCTGGAATGAATCTCATCTGATTGTGAGATTATCATTTTCTATTTTGCCAGATTCAGTTTATTCATATTTTTGTTGAGAATTTTTGCTTCCATGTTTATGAAGGGCATTGGTCTTTGGTTTTCTTTTCTTAAACGGTATTTGGTTTTAAAATTAGGATAACGCTGGCCTCATAAAATGAATTTGGAAGGATGCTCTCCTTTTCTATTTTCTGGAACAGATAGTGTAGAATTGTTAGCATTTCTTAATGTTTGGTAACTTTCATCACTGAAACTATCTGGACCTGAAGTTTTCCTTTTTAGAAGAATTTTAACTTGCAGTTCAATTTCTCTAACAACACAGGAAAATTTAAGTTATTTCTTCTTGGGTGAGTTGTAGTAATTTACATCTTTCAAGGATTTATTCTACTCATTTTATTCTATTCCATCTAAATTTTTGAATTCGTGGACATAGAGTTGTTTGTGATAATCCCTTGTTATCCTCTTAATGTGTTTGTTGTCATAGCGATGGCTCCTCTTTCAGTCCTAATATTGCTAATTTTGTGTATTTATTTTGGTTAGTGTGGCTAGAAGTTTATAATTTTTTTTGATCTTTGCAGAGAATCAGCTTTCGGCTTGATTTTGATTCCCTGTTATTTTTGTGTCTTCAACTTCCTTGGTTTCCGCTTTGAACTTTTAGCATTTTCTCCCTTCTGCTGCCTTCAGATTGCATTTGTTCTTTCTCTTGGTCTTTCTGGTGGAAATTTAGCTTACTGAGTTGGAACTTTTTTTCTTTTCTAATATAAGTATTTATGCTGTAAATTTCTCTGTATGTACTAGTTTTGCTGCATCTCGCCAATTTTGATGGGCTGTGTTTTCATTGAGTTCAAAACTTCAAAACATTTTTTTAAATTTCCCTTGAGACTTTCTTTATTCCATGCCTCAGTTGGGAGTGTGCTGTTTCATTTTTGAATCTTAGGGGATTTTCCAGCTAGTATTCTGTGATTGATTTCTAGTTTAATACTGTTAAGGCCCAAGAACATACTTGTATAATTTCTGTTCTTTTACATTTGTTAAGGTTTGTTTCATGGATCATAATATGGTCATTCTTGGTGAATGTTCCATGTATGTTTGAAAATAATGTGTAGTCATGAAAAAATGCTCACCATCACTGGCCATCAGAGAAATGCAAATCAAAACCACAATGAGATACCATCTCACACCAGTTAGAATGGCAGTCATTAAAAAGTCAGGAAACAACAGGTGCTGGAGAGGATGTGGAGAAATAGGAACACTTTTACACTGTTGGTGGGACTGTAAACTAGTTCAACCATTGTGGAAGTCAGTGTGGCGATTCCTCAGGGATCTAGAACTAGAAATACCATTTGACCCAGCCATCCCATTACTGGGTATATACCCAAAGGACTATAAATCATGCTGCTATAAAGACACATGCACACGTATGTTTATTGCAGCATTATTCACAATAGCAAAGACTTGGAACCAACCCAAATGTCCAACAATGATAGACTGGATTAAGAAAATGTGGCACATATACACCATGGAATACTATGCAGCCATAAAAAATGATGAGTTCATGTCCTTTGTAGGGACATGGATGAAATTGGAAATCATCATTCTCAGTAAACTATCTCAAGAACAAAAAACCAAACACCGCATATTCTCACTCATAGGTGGGAACTGAACAATGAGAACACATGGACATAGGAAGGGGAACATCACACTCTGGGGACTGTTGTGGGGTGGGGGGAGGGGGGAGGGATAGCACTGGGAGATATACCTAATGTAAATGACAAGTTAATGGGTGCAGCGCACCAGCATGGCACATGTATACATATGTAACTAACCTGCACATTGTGCACATGTACCCTAAAACTTAAAGTATAATAATAATAATAATAATAATAATAAAAACAAACAAACAAAAAAAGAAAATAATGTGTAGTTTACATCTATTTATAAATTCCCATCAGGTCAAGCTAATTGATGATATTGGCCAAGTAATCACTATCCTTACTGATTTTCTGCCTACTCATTCCATCAATTTTTGTGAGAGGAATGTTGACACCTCTAAATATAATCATAGATTGTTTATTTTTCTTTTACGCCTATTAGTTTTTGCCTGTTTTGAGGTGCATTCACATTTAGGATTATGATATTTTGTTGGAAGCTTGGCCGCTGTATCATTACGTAATATCCCTCTCCCTTGTTCTGAACTCTATTTTGATATAAATATAGCAACTGTAGCTTTCTTTTAATTAATACCTGCATGGCATATCTTTATCCTTTTGCTTTTTATATACCTTAACATCTGTATTTAAAATGGATTTCTTGTAGATATCATATATTTACATATTGCTTTAAAAAATTCAATTTGACAGTTTTTGTATTTTAAGATAATGTGGCTACATCATTCACATTTAAAGTAGTTATTGATATGGTTTGACTGAAATTTACCTTTTTGCAAATTCTTTTCTTTTTTGTACTTTGTTTCTTTCTTGTTCTTTTTTTCTCCCTTTTCTGGAGCTAATTAATAATTTTTTGATTCCATTTTATCTGTTCTGTAGACTTATTACTTATGTCAGTTTAAAAAACTGTAGCTGTTGACTTAGAATTTAAAATATAGGCCGGGCGCGGTGGCTCACGCCTGTAATCCCAGCACTTTGGGAGGCCGAGGTGGGCGGATCATTTGAGGTCAGGAGTTTGAGACCAGCCTGACCAACATGGTGACACCCCATCTCTATTAAAATACAAAAATTAGCTGGGCATGGTGGTGGGTGCCTGTAATCCCAGTTACTTGGGAGGCTGAGGCAGGAGAATCGCTTGAACCCAGGAGGTGGAGGTAGCAGTGAGCCAAGGTCGTGCCATTGCACTCCAGCCTGGGTGACAGAGGGAGACTCTGTCTCAAAAAAAAAAAAAAAAAAAAGAAAGAAAGAGAGAAAAAAATATATATATATAATTTAAAAATTAACCTGACACGACTAATCATACTGAAGTGTAGGTAGTACTAGGATTGTACAATAGTGTCTTCTTAATTCCCCACTCTAAAGATGTCTCTTCATTATTGTTTCTACTTCCATGGTTTCTGATGAGAAGTCAGTATTAATTCTTATCTTTTTTTTTTGTCTTTTATCCTCTGGCTACCTTTAGAATTTTCTGTTTGTCTTTAGTTTTCAGAAGTTTGAGTGTAATATGCCTAGATGTGGTTTGTTTCTTAAAATTTATCCTGCTTGGTGTTCCAGGAGATTCTTGGATCTGTGGTTTGGTGAAATTTACCAAACATTAAGTAAGAAATAATAATAATTCTACACGATATGTTCCAGAAAATGGAAAAGGAGAGAATACTTCTAAACTCATTTTATGAGGTCAGCATTGTCCTAATTCCAAAACCAAATAAAAACAACTAAAGCAAAGAAAACCAAAGACCAATTTCCCTTATGAACATGGAAGCAAAAATTCTCAACAAAGGATGAGCAAATTGAATCCAGCAATATGTAAAATGATAATACATTACTGATATGGTTTGGCTGTGTCTCCACCCAAATCTCAACTTGAATTGTGTCTCCTAGAATTCCCATGTGTTGTGGGACAGACCCGGTGGGAAGTAATTGAATCATAAGGGCCAGTCTTTCCCGTGCTATTCTCATGATAGTGAATAAGTCTCACGAGATCTGATGGGTTTATCAGGGGTTTCCACTTTTACTTCTTTTTCATTTTCTCTTGCTGCTGGCATGTGATAAGTGCCTTTCCCCTTCTGCCATGATTCTGAGGCCTCCCCAGCTATGTGGAACTGTAAGTCCAATTAAACCTCTTTTTCTTCCCAGTCTCAGGTATGTCTTTATCTGCAGCGTGAAAATGGACTAATACAATTACATCCTAGTGAGATTCATCCCAGGAATGCAAGATTAGGTCATTAATTTTGTAGAATTCTGAGCTGTCACTTATTAGATATTTTCTCTGCTCTCTCACCTTCTGCAATTCAAATCGCACGTACATTAGACCACTTAGTGTGGTCTCACAACTCTTGGATGCTGTTTTCTTTCCCACTGTCTTTTTTTCTCTTTACTTTTCAGTTTGCTTAATTTCTACTGACTTATCTTTAAGTTCGTTGATTCATTCCTCATGCCTGTTGAGTTTAGCGATGAGCCTATTGAAGAAATTTTTCGTTTCTCTTGCTATGTTTTTGATTTCTAGTATTTCCATTTGCTTCTTTCTTAGTTTTCATCTTTCAGCCAAAATTATCTATCTGATCTTGCATGCTGTCTTCCTTTTCCATGATAGTCTTAAGTATATTAATCATAGTTATTTTGAATTCCTTGTGAGATAGTTACAACATCTGTGTCTTATCTGTTTCTGATGATTGCTTTATCTCTTCCAAGTGTGTTCTTTTCTTGCCTTTTTGTATGTCTCATAATTTTTTATTGAAAACTGCGCATCATGCATAGGACATAGATACTGTCTTGGAGATCAGCCTGCCTTTCATTCTGCTAGGCCATGTGGGATTTTGTGTTCCCCTCGTCTGGAGTTAGGCTGGTTGTGGGGTTTGTTGTTGCTGTGTTATCCTTTGTGCATCATGGGCTTCAAATGTTTCTGGTGGTACCTTGTGTCAAGGGCAAGTGCTGGTTTGGCAGAGGTTGTTTTCTCTGTGTCTGCATTCCCCTCTGAGTCTCGCCTTTGCATTGAGTCCCACAGAGAATCTGTTGCTTGCGGATCTCTCAGCTATAGTATGTGTTACTTTTTCTCCAGCTTGGTTAGCCTGCTGGTGAGGGAGAAAGGCTTCCCCTGATGTTCTGATTATGCCTTATTGCCAGCAGATGCTGTCTGTGGGTCTGAGGGGTGTGGCCTTTGCAGGTGCTCCTACCCAGCTCTTCTTCTAGCGGCAGATCTGATCCTAGCATGTGTTCCTCCTTTCCCAAGGATAGTGCATCCCCTGCCCCTTTCCCAGATGCAATGGATTTTATCCAGTTAAGATGTCCTTAAGTGACAGCTTCTGTGCTGTTTCTCAGCTGATTGGGGCTTTTGTTCCCTAGAGAAGATGGGCTGGGAGAAGGTCTGGCAGTGGCGGTGGCTCTCTCCCCTCAGCCAGCACCAGAAAGGAAGCTGTGTTACTTTGTTAGGGTTGCCATAGCAAAGGACCATAGACTGTGTGGCTTAAACAGCAGATGTTTATTTTCCCACATTCTGGAGACTACATGTCTGAAATCAAGGTGCTGGCAGGGTAGGTTTCTTCTGAGGCCTCTCTCCCTGGCTTATTGGACGGCTGTCTTCTCCTCCCTGTGCCCTCACATGATCTCTTCTCTGTGTGTGTCTGTGTCCTAATCTCCTCTTCTTATAAGGACACCAGACATATTGGATTAGGGCCCATCCTATTGACCACATTTTTTTTTTTTTTTTTTTGAGACATAGTCTTGCTCTGTCGCCCAGGCTAGAGTGCAGTGGTGTGAACTCGGCTCACTGCAAGCTCCACCTCCTGGGTTCACACCATTCTCCTGCCTCAGCCTCCCGAGTAGCTGGGACTACAGGCGCCCTCCACCACGCCAGGCTAATTTTTTTTGTATTTTTAGTAGAGACGGGGTTTCACCGTGTTAGCCAGGATGGTCTCTATCTCCTGACCTCATGATCCGCCTGCCTCAGCCTCCCAAAGTGCTGGGATTACAGGCGTGAGCCACCGCGCCCGGCCCCTATTGACCACATTTTAATCAAGGCGCCTACAGGCTGTTCTCCTCTGAGGCCTCTCCTTATCTTGCAGATGGTCACCTTCTTAACGTGCCCTCGCATGGTCTTTCTGCCGTGAACACGAGACCCTGGTGTGTCAAAATTTCCTCTTCTTATGAGGACCCCGGTGACATGGGATTAAGACCCACACTAACAGCCTCACTTTTACCTAATTACCTCTTTAAAGGCTCTGTCTCCAAGTACAGTCACATTCTGCAGTACTGAGGGTTAGGCCTTCGTGTGAATTTGGCTGGGGGACGCAATTCAGCCTGCAACAGAGACTTGCCCGGGATTCTCCCGAATCTCCCCTCAGAACAGCTGGTAGACTTGGGGAGTTAAAGCCAGCATCAGGGTGTCAGCCGCCATCCGTCTCGGCTCCCTTGACTTCAGACTCTCACGCTGGCCCACACTGTCTTCAGCACTTCTTTAATATGATCTATTTGTGTTATATTAGAGGATCTAGCCCCAGGTAAGCAAGTGGCTTGGGTCCAGCTTCTTCCTGCAGGCATCAGGTTTTCCATGGATTTTAGGTATTTGGTTGCTCTGTGACCTAGGTTCTCTGATGGACCCAAGAAGCCATGAATTTACAGTTTTTCAAGTTTTGTCCTCGCTGTGAGGATGGGATTTATGTTTTTCCCACTGCTATATCTCTGAGCTGTACTCAGAAGTCTGTTTCCTTCTGAGTAAATGTAGTTGTTACAGTTTTTCTAGGAATATGTCCATTTCACTCAAACTAAAATATAATGGCATATAATTATGCACACTATCTTCTTGTTTTTAATGGCCGTATCATTTGTGCTGGTCTTTCCTTTTCATTTCTGATCTTAATTATTGATTCGTTTTTACTCTGTCTTAACATTCTCATCAGAAGCATGTTGGTTCTTTTCAAAGAACCGATTTTTTTTTAAGTTGTCTCTATTGCAAATTAATTTCAATTTCACTGCTTCTACCCTTAGGTTTATATTTCCTTTATTTATTTTACTATTTTTGGTTTATTTTGCTGTTCTAATTTCTTGAGGTGGGTAATTAGCCTTCACATTTTATCTGTATGTTTTATTATGAACATTTAAGGAATGGATTTCTCATTAGTTCATGAGTTTTATATTTGGTATATTTGATATACTGTAATTCAGACTAGTGTGAGTATTCAATATGATTGTTTCTTTGGCCTATGAGTATGTTTAGAAGTTAATTTTTAAATTTTCAGACATACGGAGTTTTTCTATTTTTTTCCTTTATTTCGCTGGTCAGAAAACATACTCTGTACCTTTTCAAACTTTTGTAAATTGTTTTCTTTGATTATTAATTCATGACTTTTTAATATGTTTAATGCCTTCTTATCAATTTTAATCATTACGTTGTTGAAGCTTAAAGTGGCTTCTCGCTGGCCTGCTGGCAGCACCTTCCACCTGGCTCCTCTCTCCTCTGACGTGACCCCATCAGTCTTTCATAGTTTACTTGGTTTCCAGCCAAATACAATGTCCCAGACTCACCTGATACATTTCCAATCCTCAGCCCAGAAACAGCGATTTCTCCTAAGAACCCTGTTGCTTCTGTAGAATACAAGCTGTGCTTACTATCAAATTGCTGTTACTTCTAAGCATTTTCAGAGTGTAGGGCCAGGATATTGGCATGTTTTAAACGAGGAGAAAACTGTGGTTTCATTGATTTCTTAAAAAATACAAATTTAGAATTATAGAGGTTATATTTAACTTTTCTGATTTATATTTTTATTTTTTCTCTGACTTTGGACATCATAGTTGATAACAACATTCACAATTTTGTTATTCACTTAATTCTATAATATATTCATAATAGGTTTGAAATAACACTGATAATATTACTGAAAATAAGAAAAATCTAATGATCTTAAAGATTTCTGTGGTTTTTCTTTTATCTTTAAGGTATATCACACAGAGAATGTGTAGTGAAAATTCTATGTACTAAGGTTACATGGAATACTTTCTTTGTTTTATGTAATTGTTTTACCAACTTGGTGTAGAGTTAGATTCATTTGTTTTCAATTTTTAGGTGTGATTCTTTATTTTTTATGTTTAATTTTGTTTGTGTTTATGTCCTATCAATGGTCAGTTTTGGTAAATGCCCTGTGTGTTTGTAATGAATGTATTTTGCGGTACTGGGTGCAGTATTCTGTTTAAGTTCTATGTCAATTTTATTTATTGTGTTATTCTAGTTTTCTATTTCCAATTGATTTTTTTGGCTGGTTGTATTGGTCACTGAAAGAGATGTGTTAATATTTCTATCATAATTGCAGATTTGCATATTTCTACCAGTAGACCTTAGTATTTTACCTGTCCTTTAGCAAGTTTATCAAAGTTTGCTTGATGTATTTTGAGGCTATGTAAATGTGGACTTGTTTTATCTTCATGGACATGAAATTTTATCACTAGGGAGTCATCCTGTTTGTATGCAGTATTGCTTTTTGTCTTAAGGTCACTTTTGTCTGTCATTGATATTGCCATGCCAGACCTCTCTGATTAATATTTGAATGTGTATCATTTTCTATATCCTCATTTGGGTTTTAATCTTGCTGTAATTCTACATTTTTCTTTAGACATCTCTCTTATTAGAGATCAGAAATTAGTTGAATATTTTTATTTTAGTCTGACACAATTAAACTTTTATTTGGAGCTGTCAGTCATTCATATTTCATGTAATTCTTGTTAGACTGAAGTTGAACCTGCCATCTGATTATGTGCCTGCTTTTAAGTGTTTCTTTTCTTTTTCTTTACAATCTTGGCTTCTTTTTATGGATTCGACTATTTAAAAAAATCAATTTCTGTTTTTTCCTATGTCATTCTGGAGTTACAGAGTCTGATTTTATCTTTTAAAAGTCATCCTTGAAATTTTAATGTAAGTACTGAGTCCCCTGCAGTCTAAAGTTCTGCTCTCCGCCTGGATTGTACAAGTGCCTCAGGGCAAGCACTGACTCTGGCCACTCCATCAGATGCATCTTCTGGATTTTTCTTGTATTTGATTTCTATCTTTTTAAAACTCTAAAAATATCATGTATTTGTTTTATACAATCAATATTCCTTCAGTTTTAGCCCAATATTTATCTTTTTGCTTTTTATTATTTTTCATATCTTGGAGATTCTACTCAGGATCAGTTTTCTTCTGCTTGAAGTACATGCTTTAGTGATGTCTGTTTATGGCAGACTCTCTGTTTCCAGGCTTCAGTCTCTTCCCGGCTCTGAATTCTAATGTGGCAGTTTTCTTTCAGCACACAGTCTGCTGACTTCACTGCTGTGATGGGGAGGGCTTCTGTCAGGCTTTCTTTTCTCCTTTATTACTAAGAATTTTTTGTTTCTTTTTTTGTTTTCTGCAGTTGAACTATGTCTCTTTCTGAGTGTCTTTTTATTTATTATTCCAGTTTGTCGGGCTTCTAGAATGTGTGTGTTCCCAGGTAGTAGTTCTTCAAATGTTGCTTCTCCTGTGTTGTCTCACTCCTCTCATCCTGGAATTCCAGCTAAATTCATTAAACCTTCTCAAATGTGCTGGGTATCTCTTTAGTTTGTACATTTTTGTCTACTTATGCTGCTATTTGGATACTTTCTTCTGATTTATTTTCATATACACGAATTCTCTTTTCAGCTGTATCTATGGTGATACTGTATTTGATTTAACTTTGTAAAAATCCTCAATGAGTGGGTTCGTCCAAATAACATAGATCATGATTGTTGGAAATTGTGAGTCTTTGATCATATCTTTAAATATGTTAAAAAATTTTTTTATTTGGTTTATTCTCTTTAGGGACACAAGTTATGTGTAATGCAAACTTCTTCTGTCTTACTTTCACATCTCCTGCATCCATTTCCTTCTCATTCTTTCTACTCTCTGTTCATTTTAACTGTGCTCACTTTTCACTCCTTTTCTTTTCATGTCCCTCACAATGTTTATTTTCCTTTTAGCTGCTTCCAGTTTGGACTTAATATTTTCTATTTTATCTGCCTTAAAAAAAATCTTTGTTAGGTAATATTTTAGCTCCTTATATTTCCTTATCATGTCTTCCTTGAGTACTTTTAGTTCTCTTTTTATGCTCTCCATTTATAGAGGTGATTGTTTCATTGGGGTTTTTAACTTTATAACAATATTTTTGGGTCACAATTTTGACCTATGCTATAGAAAGTTTTTGGTGTTCCTCCTCTAATTTCTTTCCCTGTTGAAAAAGAAAAAAACTCTTTTTTATTAGAATTTTAAATGTAGATTCTATTGTTGTTTCTTTTTTATTATTACTCATCTTTGATGGAGATGAGTTCTTATTGGCTCAAGGACTCAAGAGAAGTTGCTGTGAGAGCCCGCATGCGACTGCGCTAACAATGTATCTTAGTGGCATAATAACAATGTATCTTAGTGGCACAATGCTGTAGGCAGGGATGAATTCTTATCTTTACCCATCTTCCTTTTTGCTTTCTCTCCTCCCAGGGAGCCAGTATAGATGCAGGACTGCTCTCAGATGCCTCACAAGCAGCAACTTCTTCCTCCTTATAGTTCTTATCTGTGATTCTTCCATAATTTTGTCCTTCTAAGCTTCTGATGCACTGAATTATGTAAAGTGCATTCCCTTCACCAGCTTGTGCACCCTATTCTGTAACTGATAATAAATGGTTGGTATTGCACTATAGAGTATGCTTCTTACTTAGGAGAAATTTGTGCTGTTAGTCTTTCCTAAAATCTTCGACAAAGAGCATTCTCTCTCTACGTTTTTTGAACCCCTGATAGACCTTCAATGCTTTTGCGCTTCTTCCTCCTCATTTATATTTTGAAGTTTCAGATGACTCTTAGCTTCACAGAGGATGTTGTTTGTGTTTCCATTTCTCAGTCCTTATTTTGATTTGGAAGATTTCCAGGAGGAGAATGTCAAGCCCACAGTACAATTTTAACACCAGAAGTCAGTCTTTCCTCTTGAATACAAATGGAAAATTAAGGATCTGTATTTATTTAATAAAATTTCACAAAGAGAAAATAATTAAATTACAAATAAAGAAGAAAATGGAAATCAGGGAACATGGAGTTAATTCAGGCAACAAAATAGAGTAGTAAAAAGGCTTATTAATATGCATAGAGATATGAATAAGATTATACCTGAACAAGAGTGGGCTGTTAAGTAAGAGGGACAATCAGGGAACCAAAAACAACTCTTTGAAATTAAAAATCTAATATTTGAAATTAAAAATTAAATATAGAAGTTGGAAGGTAAAGATGATCAAATTCCCTAATATTACTATTAGTATAAGCCCACAAAACAGAAAAGAGACAAGATAAACGTCTTATAGGAGTATTGTAGGAGACCCAACATCTTATTAATACTGGTTGCAAAAAGAGTGGACAAAGAGCATGGAGGAAAGGAAATTGCAAATAACATAAGAATTTCCTTTAACTGAAGTATCTATATGTCCAGATGAAAAGTGTACCTCAAATAGTAAGCACAGTAAGTGATGAAAAAGACCTAAATTGTGAAATTAGCATCCTACAGAGAGAAAAACCACAGGTTTACATGCCAAGCAAAAACAATTAGAATGGCATAGGATTATAAAATATTGGATAATAGGAAGCAATGGCATATGCCTTTAAAATTTGAGGCTAAATGAATTTTAACTTAGAATTTTATACCCAATTAATAATTTTAAATATTAATTGTGTTGATAGCCAGACATTTAAGGACTCAGAATATTTATTTTCCACTCATCTTTTCTATGGAAGTGTTTGAAGGATGCAGGAAATGAGAAATGAAACCAAAGTAGAAGAGAACATAGGATCTGGAAAACATCATAATCCAAATCCAGGGAGCAGCTAACAAAAGTCCTAGGTTGACAGATCTTTGGGCTTAGAGTGAGACAATCTTAGAGCAGCAGCATGCCAGAGGACTCCAGGAGTGCAGCTGAAAATGCATGCTGAGTGGCTGACATATCACCCAGAAGAAGCTCAGCTATGATCTTCCGTTTTAATATCCATGGCACAGCAACAGCCAGGCCTACTGTAGAGGAGGTGTCACCTTTTAAAAACAGAATCTACGTTATTCAGCAGCACTGAAAATGCTAGGCTACAAGTGGAATGCAGGTGTCAGGCTGAAAGCCTGTGGCATCTGAGTTTCTACATAAGGAATTGCGGTCAGGTCCTCGTGTATCCAAAACCCATTCTTTCAACACCAGCCTTGGGTGAGACAGGGTTGAAATTGCTGATGGTGCTTTCCGGGTATAGTAGGGAGGCACATGAAGCTGGAGACCATGGACGTTTAGGAGTGGAGGAACCAGAGCTGTGAATGACGGCCAAGGGCCGTGGGGGAAGAAATACTGGATCAAAACGGGAAAGCTCTGAATTGGGAAAAAGGAGAAACGCATGAGTTCCTTAGTTCCCATCTATTGCATTCAGGTTTTCTGATTTTTCTTTTTTGTTTTTTGCCAGACTTAGTATTTGCTTTGGTTTGTTTTTAGAGAGATAAGCCCCTTCTGATTATGGAATACTGGGTCGGCTGGTTCGACAGATGGGGAGATAAGCACCATGTTAAAGATGCAAAGGGTGAGTGTTTTGCAGTGTTTGACTCCAGGAAGAGATGGCCCCAGGTCCCATGAGAACTCATTCATACAGTTCTCTGCTAATTGATTCACTTGATCAGCCGTAGATATTCATGCAACTTTTCACATACAAGCACTCAGCCAGGCCCTGAGGATGCTCTGGTGGATAGAAATTACATGGTTCCCACCCCCAACAGAGTATAAGTTAGTGAGGTCCACAGATCATTACAGAGTAAAACAATCAATATGTAGTTCCATGTTTGGTGGATACTTTGAAGCAAACAAACAGGGTGCAGTGATAGAAAAGACAGAAGAAAGACCTGCGCAGGTAAGGTTAGGTGGTCACCGAAGCTTCTCTGAAAATGTGACATCTCTGAGGAAGGTGGAACATTAATCATCTCTAGCAGTGCATAGGCCCTCTCTATGGCATTGTCAACTAAGCACTAATAATAGTCAGGGGACAACATGCAGCGATAGCCAAGAGCATGGATCTTGGAGCCAAAGAGATCAGGTTTTAATCTCAGCTCTGCAGCGCTAGCCATGCGCTAGCTTCATGCAGGCTTCCTTCATTTTAATTCTCAGTGACCTCATCCAAACGTGAGGATTATCATAAAACCAACCTCATGAGGCTGGTGTGAGGATCAAGTGCTGCCACTTAGAGCAATGCCTGGCAGTCGTTTACTTAATAGGCATTTGTGTCTACAGAAGATATTTCGAAAGAGCTGTTATGAAAACAAGGCCACTTGTATCTGAAGTATAGAAAAACATTGAAAAATACTTGGGAACTGAGAAAAGCCTGTTTTAGGTTGAAAAATAGAAAAAAAGTCAAAAGAAAAATGCCACTATTACCACCAATAACACCAACAATAATACCATCACTACCACCAACAATAATGCCAGCAACAATACCACCACCATCATCACATCACCACCACAATCACCATCATCACCAACACCACCACCAGCACCACCACCATCACCATCATCACCATCACCACTACCACCACCACCATCACCATCACCACCACCACCATCACCATCACCACCATCACCACCACCACCACCACCACCACCACCAAATACCACCACCACCACCACCACCACCACTACCACCACCATCACCATCACCATCACCATCATCACCATCACCACTACCACCACCACCACCACCACCATCACCACCATCACCACCATCACCATCACCACCACCACCATCATCACCATCACCACCACCACCACCATCACCACCACCACCACCACCACCACCAAATACCACCACCACCATCACCACCAAATACCACCACCACCACCACCATGTCCACCACCACTACCACCACCATCACCATCACCATCACCACCACCACCACCATCACCATCACCATCATCACCATCACCTCCACCACCACCACCACTATCACCACCATCACCATCAACACCATCACCACCATCATCACCACCACCACCACCACCAACACCACCACCACCACTACCAAATAAAACTTTTCTGGTCTCTTGTATGGCAGGCACTGTGCCTTTTTTCCACATATATTACCTCATCAATGAATTTTCTCATCAGTCCCATGATATAGCTGGAATTAATACATTCATTTAACAGATCAGGAAGCAGTGGCGTTGAGAAAGAAAATAGGTTGCCCCAGGTCATACAAATAGTAACGAGCACAGCCAGAATTGACTCCCACTCTAAATGACTTTTAACCTTCTTCTTCCCACTGTGGCCAGTGGAGAGATGATTGCAGCTGTTTAAACACAGTACAAAATGGAAGTTTTGTGGCTAAAGATTAAGAGCAACCACTTGTGGACTATGGCGGTGTTTCCAAGTCAGTGTTCCCAGAAACATTTCACTGGAAGGTAGTAATGAGGGTGTACTAATTATATGTATGATTTCAAAAAACTTAAGGAAAATTAGATATTTAAGTGACATGAGGGTTCTTAGGTTATTATTTAATAGATGTAGTTTAGAGTCAAATTATGTCAATATTTTGGAAAAAAAGTGTTCAAAAATCTCTTGGGATTGACAAGATTCGGTGTCCTAGAGTAGTTCTGGCCAATTCTGCCTATTTTTTTGTTGGAATCTTTGTAGAGGTTGAATGATAAAACATTTGCAGTAGGTCTTTAACGTCATCAATAGGTTCTTGGAAACTAAACAAAATGATGTACAGCATATCCTCATATAATACTGTTTTCTTCAACATTGTTTCATTATAAAATTGAGAGAAAAATTGTTTTTTTTTTTATATCATTTTACTTAAAGTCTCCATTCCCAAGAATGTATATAGCCGTGAAGCGAGGAGTTACTGTAACTGATTGTGGAGTGGGGTTGGAAAGGATAAGAGTTTGCCAGAGGCTTCTGTCTCCTCTTAATTTCTAACATTCTCTGTGTTCTCATGTTCCCCTTTGCAGAGGTTGAACATGCTGTGTCTGAATTCATCAAATATGAGATCTCCTTCAATGTATATATGTTCCATGGTGGAACCAACTTTGGTTTCATGAACGGGGCCACATATTTCGGGAAGCACTCGGGCATTGTCACCAGCTATGGCAAGTGTCGCTGGTGTAGTAGCCTCTCCAGCATGGGCGGTGCTGGGGCTTTACAGAGGAGGCTCCGGAAGCCTGTTCTGGCACCACTGGGTTCTTGACCTATAATCTATGCTGAGTACTGAAGATTTTCCTATCTACTTTCCTTCCTTCTGTATGTTCATAATGCCCCAACAGGCTGTCATTGCAGTAGACAGGGCTTTCCGGGACTTAGAGCTCCGCTTCACACATCTGGTATACTGCCCTGTTGGCTTGAACCTCTGAAGAGAGGCAGGGTAGGAACGGTGACTGCTGTAAAGGCACAGACCTGCACGGCCGGGCGATACAGACTGAGCAAAGAAAAGAGTACCCGTTGAAGGGGTGTCCACTCTTTTGGCTTCCCTGGGCCACACTGGAAGAAGAAGAATTGTCTTGGGCCACACATGAAATACACTAACACTAATGATAGCTGATGAGCTTAAAAAAAAAACACAAAATGTTTTAAGAAAGTTTATGAATTTGTGTTGGGCTGCATTCAAAGCCATCCTGGGCCGCCTGTAGCCCATGAGCTGTGGGTTGAACAAGTTTGCATTAGAAAGTGAAGAAGTGGGGGCAAGCCCAGTGTCATGGCTTGACACTGGAAGCCAGTGGAAGGTGCCCAGGAAGAGTTGTGGGGAATGTCCTTAGACTGGCATCACACACCCACGTGGGATGGAAGGTGTCTTCCTTTTGTCTCACTCACGGTGGCCCTGGCCATCTCCTGCCAGCGGTGCTGAAACAGGGCCTCCTGCAGAGACTGCATGGCTGGTGACTGGCCCTGGTGTCTTGCAGACTATGATGCAGTGCTCACGGAGGCTGGAGATTACACAGAAAAATATCTGAAGCTTCAAAAACTCTTTCAATCTGTCTCAGGTACTCAGCACCCATTTAACTTACGGGCCAGCCCTCCTCATGTGGAGTCTCTGTTCTGTGGAAAAGTGAGGAAGGCGTGGGTCTCCCTTGTGGGCAGCAGTTACACCAAGCTCCTGAGAACAAGGGCAACCTTAACTTCGAACCCTGGGGTTAAAATCTGTGTGATTTTTTAAAATCAGGGTTTCTAAGCATTTTATAAGCCTCAGTTTCTTCACTGAAGCATAAAGATAGTAACCTTGGTCTCCTGTGATGACTGCGAAGATTGAGTTACTCTTTGTAAAGCTCTTATACCATGGATGACATAGTAACCCCCAATATGAAAGGAAAAGCCATGCTGGATAGGCATGGGGGGCTTAGAGAAGGCAGTGGTCATCTCAGGCACTTTTTGCCCTGTGCCCCATCTCCATTGCAGCAACTCCCCTGCCCCGAGTACCCAAACTTCCTCCCAAGGCTGTGTATCCCCCCGTGAGACCGTCGCTGTACCTCCCGCTGTGGGACGCCCTATCCTACTTAAATGAGGTGCGTGCTGCCTGGCCACAGGAGGCGGAGTGGCCATTGGAGGGATGGGGGAGGGATTCCTTCAGGAAACTTTTTATTAGGAAGTGGGAAAACAAATCCTCTGCATTTCATTCAAATTTAGAACTGTGGGACAAGAGCCACCAGCTCCTTCCGGGTGGACTGTGAAGGGGTTTGACCTTGGAGTCAGTGTGCAGGGGAGGGGCAGCAGGACGTCGGAGGATCCCGGGTTCCCGCTTAGATGAACCTGTCTGGAGATGCTCTTGTTTGGACTGTGTGGTCCTTACGGAATCCACGTAGGAAAAGCTGCTGAGCTGGAATCGGGAGACTAGCTTCTGCCCGTGCTTCACCAGCAGCTGGGCCTGAACTTCCTGGGTCACTGCTCCCCCTTTTCCATCAGCCTTCCTGTCCTATTTTGAAGAAAGGTGAAAGCTGTTTGGAACTGAAACTGTAGCCCTTGGATTCACATTGGTTTTACCTCTGCTATCACTATTTTAGAGAAAAGGTAGTGACTGGTACACTAAAGAAACTACATTTATTTAATGTAACTAAATTTAATTTAATGAAATAAACATTTGCTTGGTGCCTCATTCATTGCTAGACTTCAACTATTTTAGAATACAATTTATTTACTCTTTTTTTTTCTTGAGACAGGGTCTTGCTTGGTGGCTGTGGCTGGAATGCGGTGGCACAATCATGGCTCACTGCAGCCTTGAACTCCTGGGCTGAAGCAATCCTCCGGCCTCAGCCTCTTGAGTAGCTGGGATTACAGGAGGGCACCACCACGCCCAGCTACATTTTTAAGTTTTTTGTAGATGTGGGTCTCACTATGTTGCCCAGGCTGCTCTCAAACTCCTGGCCTCAAGTGATGCACCTGCTGCGGCCTCCCAAAGTGCTGGGATTACAGGCGTGAGCCCCTGCGCCCCATCCATTTCCTCTGTTAATCAGTTCTTAGGATTATAACGATTGCTCCCTCATCACCATGCCCTGCATTTCCCTGAGTTTCCTTCCTGGGCAGTGGAGACGTAAGCACAGAGCAGTGTCACATGGCATCTGTTTCATCATTTCCCATTTGAAGAACCCTTGGGGACCATTAGGCAGGACCAAATGACAGGGTCTTAGGAAGGAGGATCCTGACTGCTCAGCCCTTGGACTTCTGCTCTTGCCATTTCTCCTCATAGCCAGTCAGGTCGCGTCAGCCCGTCAACATGGAGAACCTTCCCATAAACAATGGGAGCGGCCAGTCCTACGGGCTTGTCCTGTATGAGAAGTCCATCTGCTCCGGAGGCCGCCTCCGTGCCCACGCTCATGACGTGGCACAGGTAGGGCCAGCAGGCTGTCTGTGTGGGAAGCAAAGTGCATCACCTCCCCATGCTGTCGGGCAGGGTAGTTGACTGAAGGATGCACGTTGCTGTTTGGTGACCTACTATATGGGAGGCATTGGGACTAAAAAGTCAGGCCAAATAGACTTGCTTTCTGCTTTATCACCACTGAGAGTCTCTTGGGGCCTCCAGGCAGCTTCATGCCATCAGTGAGCACCACAGCTGGTCCCTGCCTTCATACTGACCTCCTTCTCCCGAAACCGCGGCCTCTCTTCTCCCTTTCTTCGGGTGGGCCTAGCAGTCTGACGCCGGCTCTTCTTTTGCAGGTGTTTTTGGATGAGACAATGATAGGGATTCTGAATGAGAATAATAAGGACCTGCACATTCCTGAACTCAGGGTATGTAATTTGAGAGTCCAGGTGATGCCCTCGACCCCCCTCAAATGCAGACGGAGCCTGGTCCTGAGACAGTCAGCCTCCCTTCTCCACCCCTGCTGCTGGTGCTGCTGCTCACCTGGGGCGGCGGCAGGAAGTGTGCAGGGCTGGAAGCCAAAGTGCCTCCCAGGCCCTGGCCCCTCAGGAGCTACCGCATGTGTGCTGGAGGGGAGGGGATTTCCTCACCAAGTCCTGAGCCTGTCCTCAGCCCCTGGTTGGGTTTCTGTGCCTTTTGGAGTTGGTTAAAGGTACAGCTGAGTCTCTCTGCCTTTCCTAGTAGGATCAGCAGAGGGGAAAGGGAAGATTGACTATAGGAACACAAGGCAGTCCTTAGGTGAAGGGAAGACTGCTGGGCCCTGGAGCCTCCTGTTCTCCCATGTGTCTCTCCATGTGGGACTCAGTGAAAAAACGGGTTGTCGGGTAGACGCCCTCCATGGCTGCGTGGTCTCCATGACCTGGCCTGTCCCAGCAGGACTGCCGATACCTGAGGATCCTGGTGGAGAATCAAGGACGAGTCAATTTTTCATGGCAAATACAGAATGAGCAGAAAGGTGGGCTCTGGCTGTGGCTTCTCCTCAGTTGCTCAGAACCGAAGACCCGGGCTATGCACTGGAGTCGGGGGCGGGAGAGGGTGGGGAAACCAGCCGCTCAGCAGTGGGCTACCCAGGCCCTGGGAGCAGAGATGCAAAATCGGCCCCTCGCCCTTGTCTTGCCTTCTCTGATCTCCAGGGCCAGAGGGTGGGGCCAGTGTGTTCGGTGCTGGCTTGTCCTCAAGCAGGGCCAGTCTCCTTTTGGGAATTTCAGGAAAAGTTCCAGTACTAAGTGGGGGAACTTTCTTGGTAGTGTGGAAACATACAGCTAGAACCCTTCAGTCACAGCAGGTCAGACAAATGTTTGCCCTCCTGGCTGTGCCCCTGTCCTAAGGCATGTACAAGTCTGCATTGCTTTGTCCCAGATGCTAGAGAATATCCAGTCCTGGCTCATATTCTCTTTCCTGCCTCCCATCTGCATCTGCAGGAATAACTGGATCTGTCAGCATCAATAACTCTTCCCTGGAGGGCTTTACCATCTATTCCCTGGAGATGAAAATGAGCTTCTTTGAGAGGTATGCTCCAGCTGGCCCCCAGTGCACACTTCAGTGATCGGGGAACTCAGAGATTTCAGATTCCTCATTGCAGATAAAGAGTCCAAGATAGAGACTGAGTGATGTACTCCAGGCTGTTGGGTACTTCGGCGTCAGAACTAGGGCCCTGGAACAAGTGTCCTGATTCTGATCTTAACGCATCTAGTCTACTCTATCTCATTGAAACAGAACCTTAGGCTCGGCCCACGCCACCTGGGGTGGGTACTGGGAACTGGGTTGGGAAGGGGACTTCTTCTCCCCCATGGCTTGGCCTTTCTTCCAGGCTCCGCTCTGCCACCTGGAAGCCTGTCCCAGACAGCCACCAGGGCCCGGCCTTCTACTGTGGGACCTTGAAGGCTGGCCCTTCTCCCAAGGACACCTTCCTGAGCCTGCTGGTAGGTGATGCCCTCTGCTGCCCTGGTGTTCCAAACACCAATTTTATTTTTAAAGAGTCCTGAAGCAAAGCCAGCGTTCCTGGAGGAATACTTCCCTTTCTTCTTTTCCTCTTCTTCCTCATCTCCAACCAAGCCTTCCAACATTGATCAGTCTTCCTAATTTATCACTGTTCAGAGAATAACACATCAAAGCACAATTAAAAATTCAAACAATAACAAGAGGGAGAGAGCAAAGCATGAAGTTCGCCTTTGAACCCACCCCCATTCCAATTAGTCTCTGCTTCTCAGAACTCAACACTGCCAACAGTGGTACATTTTTATATATAACTTTGCCTGAACACACACGTACACAATTATTTTTACACTAATAGAATTGTACTATGTATTCTGAAGCTTGCCTTTTTTTTCTGTGTGGGGTGAGTTGGTAAGTTAGTTTTTACTTAGAATATCTTTTTCTGTATAAATACACATAGATAACATAAATGTACAAAATGTGAATGTACAGATCAACAAATGATCACAAAGTGAACACCATATAATTATCACTGAAAGTTAAAAATATTGTTGGCACCCCTCCCAACTGCTGCCTTGACTTCTAACACCCTAGGCCAGTGTCTCCTATTTTGACTTTATGTAAATGGAATCATACAGGGCATCTTTTTTAAATATGTTTTCTTTTGTTCAACATTGTGAGGTTCAGCCATTTATCGATGTTGCAGTGATTTGTTCATTTTCACTGTTGTATTGGGTTCATTTAGTAAATACATTATAATAATTTATTTAACCATTTTACTTTTTCTGAACATTTGGATTATATCTAGGGCTTGTCTATGGTAAATAATTAAGACTTCGTTTGTGTTTATGTTCATAACTGAGATCTCTTTGTCAGGTTTTGGTGCCAATGTTTAGGGATCTCATAAAGGATTTAGGAAGGCGAATTTGTGTAAGACAAGTATCACTTCTTAAACATTTAATGGAGTTCATTAGTGAAGCCTTCTAGAGCTGGCATTTTCTTTTTGAAAAAGTGTGTGAGTGTGGATTCAATTATTGAAAGATTAAAGTACTATTCAGATTTTGTTTCTTTTAAAGTTAGCTTTGAGAAAATATATTTTTCTGGAAATTTTCCCATTTCATCTAAATTTTCAAATATATTGCCTTTAAAATATTCGTTTTTGATGTCTAGATCATTGGTAGTAACGTTCCCCTTGTCATTTGTTACAGGATATCGATGCACTCTTTTTTCTTGATAATTCTCACCAGAACACTATCAATTTTATTAATTGTTCAAAGTACAGTGTTTGGCTATGACTCTTACTGTGTTAAGTATTTATTTTCTGATTCTGTCATTATCTTTATTATTTTGTTTATTCAATTTCTTAGTTTAGGATTAATTTGCTTTATTTTTATAATGTCTTGACATAGATACTTAGATAATGGACTTTCAGTCTTTGTTCTTTTTAATTATATGAATTTAGGTTATTAATCATCATTTACGCGTGGATTTGGTTGCATCCTCTAAGTTTTAAAAAGATTTTTTGAGGTAAAATTACATAACATAAAATTAGTTCTGTTAAAGTGAACGATTAAGTAGTCTTTCATGCCTTCACAATGCTATGCAGCCTCTATCTCCAGTTCCAGCACATTTTCATTATCCTATAAACATTGGGCAATTACTTCTCCATTTTCCCCTTCTCCCACCGCCTGGCAACAGCAATCTTTTTATTATCTTTATGGATTTGCCTATATTGGAAATGACTCCCATACCTTTTTTTTTTTTACACGTAGAATAAGAATAAATTTATTGTATTTATTTTCATGACTGAAGAATTACATTCTTCAAAGCAAGAATTCAGAATGTACATAATTATAAGCCATATTTCATATCAGTGCATTATTTTTATATTATACTTTCTATTATATGGGTAATGGTTCATATTGAAATACAGAAAAAATAAGTTGTAAGACAAGCGATGTCTATATAGGAAGAGATGAATCATTTTAGTGTCTTATTAGTTGGATAATTGCTGCTTTAAGGTTGCCATGTTAGCCTAACAGTTTAATCATAACTATAAATTCTATCTAAAAAATAATAAAGGTTTCATAACAAACAGCTGATACTAAAGGTGAGCACTTCACCTGTAGGTGCTTCTCTGAAGGTGTCAAGTAGACTTCGGTATGTGCATTTTAGAATGTCTTAAAGATGATTTTGTAAGGAGCTGGCAGGCAAATTAAGCCCAACAAAAGAGAAGGTCTGCAAATTATCCTGCAGGTTAGGGCCAATCTTCTTGAGTCTGCTAGGAATTATAAAATACCTACTCTTGCTCTTTCACCTCTAAGTTTTAAGTTGGAATTTTACTTTTCCTTCATACGGCTGTGTGGATTGTTGAAGGTCACATGCTTCACAAGCACTTGCCCATAATGACAACTTCCATGTTTTGGGGGACATTGAGAAGCTTCCCTGGGTCCAGAACTTTGCTATAGTAGGGCTGTGCTTTCTTCTCATATTAAGGCAAATAGTGTAGACCGAAGGCGCCATTTGGCAGGTAGTATTCAACCTGAGGCACTGGATGTCCTGGAGGCAGTGTCCAGAAAGCTGCAGGCCACTCTGGGGGCCATGTTGTTGCCGGGGGGAAACTTGATGATCTTTACCAATCAGTTTATACTTTTTGTGGATTCTTGGTACTGTTTAAGTTCCTTTCTTTTCAAGTTGAAGGACTTCCTTTAGCACTTCTTGTAAAGCAGGTCTAGTGGCGATGAACTCCCTCAGTTTTTGTCTGGAAGTCTTTATCTCTTATTCATTTTTGAAAGACAGTTTTGCTGGATGTAGTATTCTTGGTTGCCAGTTGATTTTTCTTTTAGCATTTTAAATATATCGGTCCATTCCACGCTAGCCTGCAAGGTTTCTGCTGAAAAATCTGCTGATAGTCTTATACCCTACAAGTTTCTATCAATTTTATCATCATCATCAAAGAATTCAAATATTTTCCAACTTCCTTTGTCATTACTTGTTAGATTTATGGTTTATTTAGAAGTGCTTTTCTTAATTTCCAAGAATTTGGATATTTTAGGGTTATCTTTTTTATCAGTTTCTTTCTTAAATGCATTATAGTCTGAGAAGTTTATGTGAAGACTAGTTTAATACAGGATCAAGCTTGTAAATATTCTGAGGTATACTTGAAAGAATATGTGTATACTGTAGATGTTAGATCAATGTTCTATTATGTCAATTAGTTCAATTTTGTTAATCATCTTCTTTTAAATGTTTTATGTCTTTATTGATTGTTATTTGCTTTGCCTATTGACTATTGAAAGGTTGTATAAAAATTTCCCGCTATGGTTGTAAATTTATTTATTTCTCTTCTGTCAATTTCGCTGATATGTTTTGAATCTCTGCTTTTATCTTTCTTATGTATGTTGTATATACATTTTTGGTAAATTAAGAATTTTACCATCATGAAATGTCCCTCTTTATCTCTAATAATGCTTCTTGCCTTAAAGTATTATTTTTCTGAATATTAACAGAGCTATAGCAACTTCCTTTTGGTTAGGGTTTACATATCATTATCCATTGTTTTTCTTTTATTTTTCCAATGCCTTATGTTTTTGATGCTTCTCTTATATGTAGCATATAACTACTTTATTTGAAATCAAGACCAGCAACCTTTGCCCTTTAATTTGAAGCATTTCAGAGACTCCAATTTTATGTGCTAGACTGTTTTGTTATATCCCAGAATAAGCAGGTGCCTCTAGTGGAAAAACTGCCTAGATGTCTCCTTGTCTCTCCATTTTCTTCTTCTAGATCTTGATCCTGTAATTCTTCATTATATTGCAAGCAGATTTTTAAAAATGTGCAGCTTTTATATTAATAGCCACTGTCAGCAGTGGTGTTCATCACTATTACCTGATATTTATTTCTGGAAGTAGAAGATCTGCTTTTTAAAATATATAACATTATATATCACATAACAGGAACAATAGCAGCCTTACCATTAAAGGGTTGGTTCTATTTATGCTTTTCTCTTTCATTCCTAGACAGCAAGGTAGAAGTTCTATAACATATCCCACTCTAAACTCACCTTCATTTGAGTGCCATAAAGTATCTCAATCTTGCTCTCACTCTCCAAGTGCCTTAGGTTTTACCTTGCTAATGTGAACCAATTTCCAAATCTCAAGCCACCATTCCTTTCAGAACTGGAATTATGGATTTGTGTTCATCAATGGACGTAACCTTGGGCGATATTGGAATATTGGGCCTCAGAAAACACTGTACCTTCCTGGAGTTTGGCTTCATCCAGAAGACAATGAGGTATGTCACTCCAGTCTCTGCCTTGAGATCTCATAAACTTTCAGATCAAAATGTGAGTTGCAGTGTCTTTTTCAACCTGTACTAAATAGGCTTCACCTTTCCCACTGTCAACCTTTCTTTTCTTCTCAGGTCATCTTGTTTGAGAAGATGATGAGTGGCTCAGATATCAAATCTACAGACAAGCCCACGCTGTAAAACTGTGTCTGAACATTTTTTTTTTTTTTTGAGATGGAGTCTCACTTTGTCGCCCAGGCTGGAGTGCAGTGGCACAATCTCTGCTCACTGCAAGCTCAGCCTCTCGGGTTCACGCCATTCTCCTGCCTCAGCCTCCCCAGCAGCTGGGACTACAGGTGCACGCCACCACGCCTGGCTAATTTTTTGTATTTTTAGTAGAGATGGGGTTTCACCAAGTTAGCCAGGATGGTCCCAATCTCCTGACCTTGTGATCTGCTCTCCTCAGCCTCCCAAAGTACTGGGATTACAGGCGTGAGCCACCACTCCCGGCCGTGAACATATTTTTTGGGTTGCTGGAGTTCATCTATAAGTCATTTTTGAGGAATAAGATTTATGTTAAGACTATCAAACACAGTGTTGCCTACAATAGCAAAAATGTGAAAATAACAACAACAACAAAACAGCAGAGGAATTGTTATGTATTTTGTAGTCTATCTATATGATGCCTATTTTTAGGCTTTAAAAAGTCTTCAAAATCTTTAATGACTGATTTATCTAGTTAAATGCTTAATCCTTAGCAGGCTCTTATTCTTTAATTAAACGTGCCTTTGAGTAGATGTGAATAAAATAAAAACAAGTTTCATTTCTGCCTCCCATACTCAATTGAAGGGAAGGGAAAGGTCTGAAGCCTGGGGAAGAGTAAGGATACTGATTTCCTCATGCCAGAGAGAGTATTGCATGTACTAATGGGCAAACTCACGGTCTCCCTCCTCTCTCTCTCTCTCTCTCTCTCTCTCTGTGTATGTGTGTGTGTGTGTGTGTGTGTGCGCGCGCGCGTGCATGTGTGTGTGTGTATGTAGGAGTAGGGGAAAGGAGAGGGCAATGAACAATGTCTTTCATTTCCCTTCAACTATGTGTCTACAAGGTGACCCTGCATGTCACATCTAATCAGAGAAGGAACAGAAATTTGGTCATTTGCTTCAGACACGTGTGACAACAAAGCTAGCGCAGGGTTCTCTGTGTCTTCTTACTCCCTGTCTATCTGGCTATAGTCAAGGCTACTACTGATAGTGGGTAGGCATTAGTGAGATTAGCCACACACACATGAATATTCCAACCACTATGAAAAGCCAGTGGAGCCATTTGAAAAAAATGGCACCATTGGGAACCAAGCACTTTCTTATATACAAAACACAGCACTTGGCCTAAATTCAAACCAATGCACTATAAGCAAATCTTATCACCCTGTTAAATATAGTGCCTAGGGCTTTCAAGTAATTTAGTAAGTAATCTTGTGTCCAGAGGGAAGAGAACCCTCTGTTTGGATTGGAATGAAGATAAAGATGTCAGATTATCTTCTCTCCCACTAGTCTGAATGACTATTTCAATGGAGGAAACTTCTGTGAGATACCTCCACAATTCTACATAAAACTTTATTCTCTGGGGATCTAGCCTCAAACCTATGAACTCTATAGAAACTGCAATGTAAAGGAGGGAAGCAGAACTAATAATCATAATGATCTTGAGTACATATTATATTTCAGGTGTAACATCTGCAACATCTAAACTTAACAACAACCATGCAACATATCCATTTTACAGATGAGAAACCAAGGTTCAAAGAGGTATTTGAAATCATGTCTCTCTGATTGGCACCTCCTCTTTCGCTACTACCTTAGTTCCACACGTATGCCAGTCTTTTCCAAATATGAATGCAAAAATGCTATTCAGAAGATATAATGCTTTCAGTGCACTTAGAGAAAAAGAGCTCACAACTTAGAATTCTTTACCCAGCAAAACTATTTTACAAGAAAAACAAAAAAAAAAAACAAAATATAGAACTTTCTGACAAACAAAAACCAAGAGAGTTATCATCAAAAGATCCCCACTAAATGATGTTCTGTAGCGGCCTTTCTCAATGTCCCATAAGAGAATTAAACACTGCAGAAAGTGTCTTCAGTGACTAGTTTCTCATTATATCATCTGGATGCATATTAGAGACGTTAACTCATTACATACTGTGGATGTCTTGGGGCATTACATCTTCACGCTCTCAGGGAACCACAGTTGAGAAGAAATTTCTAAAAGATATGCCACGAGCAGATGGAAAGTCTGACTTTTAAGAAAGAACGTGGAATCCAAGAAGGATGCTGACATATGTGAGAGTGAATATGGACAAACGTTAACTCCATAGAAATAGAGCCAATGTCTAACTTGAGGTAGCATCAGCATAAAACTCTAAGACCAGGCAAAAACACTGTGTAAAGCGAGAGGGATGTGATGGCCAAAAAGTGATCTAAGATTTCTGTAATTCTCAGATATTAACTTTAGACTTTGTTGAATATTCCTAGTTAATAAACTAAGCTTAATGTTTAAAGAATATACATAGAGCTTTTAACTTTCTAAAAAAATTAGGAGGATAAATAGAGTAAGAAAAAACAAACAAACAAAATCCTCTAACCAATAAAAGACAAAAGATAGTAGAAGATAAAGAAGTAGAAAAATAAGTACAAGTATAAATCATGCTGCTATAAAGACACATGCACACGTATGTTTATTGTGGCACTATTCACAGTAGCAAAGACTTGGAACCAACCCAAATGTCTATCAATGATAGACTGGATTAAGAAAATATGGCACATATACTCCATGGAATACTATGCAGCCATAAAAAAGGAGGAGTTCATGTCCTTTGTAGGGACATGGATGAAGCTGGAAACCATCATTCTCAGCAAACTATCGCAAGGACAGAAAACCAGACCCTGCATGTTCTCACTCATAGGTGGGAATTGAACAATGAGAACACATGGACACAGGAAGGGGAACATCACACACTGGGGCCTGTCATGGGGTGGGGGGAGTTGGGAGGGATAGCATTAGGACATACACCTAATGTAAATGAGGAGTTAATGGGTGCCGCACACCAACATGGCACATGTATACATATGTAACAAACCTGCACGTTGTGCACATGTACCCTAGAACTTAAAGTATAATAAAAAAAAAAGTACAAGTAGAAACACATATTAAGACAGTAGAATAAATACAGATATATCAGCAACCATAGTAAATTTTATAAATGCGCTAAACTCTAAACGGTAAAAATTGTCAGACATTATTTAAAGAAAACTATAAATATTTGAGTTTTACAAGAGATACACCTTTAACATAAAGATGCAATGATCGAAAGTCCAAGGATAAAAAATATGCTATGCAAATTCTAACTGAAGGAACTATAGTAACTGTATTAACATCAGGCAAGTAGACTTAAAGACAGAAGGTGTTACTAGGTATAGAGGGTTACCCATAGTAATGGAAATTCAATTCCTGAGAAAGATATACTAATTTTGACTTGTTTTTGTCTGAAAATGTAGCTTCATAATATGTAAAGCAAACATTTCCAGATCTATATGTAGAAATAGAAAAATAAAAGTACCTTGTACTTGAGAAACGTTTGTTCTACTTAAAAAGTTGAGATACGATTCATATACCATAAAATTTTTCAAAATGAGTTGTAAACTCTTTTAAAGTCTACAATTCAGTAGTTTTTAGTAGGATATATTCACGAGATTGTACCAGCATCATCACCATCTGATCTAGAACATTTTCATCACTCCAGATAGCAGCCCTTAACCTGTCAGTAGTTACTCCTGATTCCCCTTTCCACCCAGCCCCTGGCAACTATGAATTTACTTTCTGTCTCTGTGGATTTGCCTATTCTGAACATTTTACGAAAGTGGAATCGAATATGTGACCCTTTGTGTTTGGCTTCTTTCATGTAGCTTAACGTTTTCAAGCTTCATGGATGCTGTAGCATGTATATTCTATCCTTTTTCATGGCTGAATAATGTTCCATTGTATGGATACATAGCATTTTGTTTATCCATTCATCAGTGGATGATTATTTGAGTTGTTTCCACTTTTTGGATATTATGAATAATGCTACTATGAATATTCATGCATAAGTTTTTGTGTGGTCGTATGTTTTCCATTCTCTTGGTTATATACCTGGAAGAGGAATTGCTGGGTCATACGGTAATTCTGTGTTTAACTTTTCCATAAAGCATTAAACTGTTTCCAAAGTGGCTGCAGCACTTTACAGTTCCCACCAACAAGGTATTAGGTTTCTAAGTTCGCCACATCCTCACCAACACTTGATTTTAAGCTCTCTTTTTGATTACAGCCATCCTAGTGAGTATGAAATGTTATCTCACTGTGGTTTTGATTTGCATTTCCCTAAAAACTTGTCCTCTTAAACATTGAATCCAAACATGTAACAATGAAGTCATGCAATTGGACTTTAAGATAACAAAAATTGGCTGGGCGCGGTGGCTTATGCCTGTAATCCCAGCACTTTGAAAGGCCAAGGTGAATGCATCACCTGAGGTCAGGCGTTTGTGACCAGCCTGGCCAACGTGGTGAAACCCCGTCTCTACTAAACACACACACATGCGTGCGCACACACACACACACGTACACACACACACACACACACACACACACAATTAGTCGGCCTGGTGGTGGGTGCATGTAATCCCAGCTACTTGGGAGGCTGAGGCAGGAGAATCGCTTGAACCCGGGAGGCGGAGCTTGCAGTGAGCCGAGATGGCACCACTGCACTCCAGCCTGGGCGACAGAGCGAGACCCCGTCTAAAAAAAAAAAAAGTAATCTCTTAAATTGTATGTGCATTTCAGCTTTCATTTCCACAGAAAGGTGGTAGTGTTTTTCATCAGGTGTCATGGAAGAATAACTTCTCTCTGGCCATATCAATGGATTTACTTCTTCAGCACATTCCAGCAAATAAATCATTAGTTGCTTGTAAGGCCTGTGTTGCTGTTATTCTCTGCAAAGTGTAATATTAAGCCTTTTTTTTTCTTTTTTGCTGAAGCTTTTTAAAAAGCATGTTTTAGTTGCTATTCAACCTTTCTGAACGTCTTGCATAAAGTAAAGAGACAAGAGAGTTTCAAAATCTTTTTTATGTCGTGTACTCTGTTTTTGGTTGAAGAGGCCCTACCTTATACTGTGCTGAAATTTCTTTCTAAATACAGAGCTAAAAGTCGTGAATGAAGCAATTACACATCTGTAATTCCTAAGCCACTTATGGCCTTAGCCATGTTTGTTCTTTCTTTGCCAATGATAATTGCATGGCAACTTTATATCCTAATTTTTCATTTCATAACTATTTCTTGGGTTGCTGTGCTATACTCAGAAATCATGGCAAAGAATAAAGGAGAAGAATTGTTAAAGTTTTCGTTAATCTACCATACCAAACTTAATCTACCGTACCCAACTTTAAGGCAACTTCTATTTGTTTCTGCATGCCCAAATATCTGATATACAAGACATGGATATTTTAATAATATCACTGATTGATACACAGTAAAATATAATTCAGGAAAACATATTTTAGTAGCATGTTTTGTAGAAGGAGCTTTGTACCTCGAAGTCATAACTTGGGCAGATTTAAACAATTCTTTGGCAGCCAAAAAACTACTAAAAATACCAGCATATAGCAATTATCCTGAGAAGCTTTTTATTTAGTCTCTGCAGACTCAAAGCTATAAGAAATTATCTTTTAAAAGTGTTATTATAAATCTGTCTTTTGAAGTTGGATTAGTGAGAACATAATGTGCCTAATTTTTGCCGACCACTATCGTTTTTTCTTTGTACCTTGTCTGTTCTTTGTTCTGTCTGAGCTGAAAATGATTTATCATAGATGTAGCTGCACATAATTTTGGAGATTTGCCTTCTCATGAAATTTGAGGTGGCAAGAATCCCCAAAGAAGACTTTTTCTTCAAAGATTCATGGCCTGAATGATATTAAATAATAACAATAAATTTGGTATAAACCACATTTTTATAAAAAACACATGCATGTTGTTTAGTGTAATAAATGGTACTCATCAAGCAATTCTAAAATGATAAAAATTGTGATATAACATAATCTTTATTGTGTTAATATATATTTATTACTTATACATTTAAATTTATAATTCATATGATATAAAATGTTTACATATTTTATACTACATTTTATATTTTAAAAACATATTTTCTATACATTGTTGGCTTAAAGAGGATATCATATTCTTCCCAAAGTTATAAAGTTATAAAGCTAATGTATGCTCTCCACATTCACATGAGCTGTCAATCTGTTTCCTTAGGTGCTTCAACATTTGAAAATTCTTAATAATTGTTTTTGGACATTAAATCAACAGTTTTTATAATAATCAGTAATTGCTTTATTTCACTTTAACCTGCTGATAACATTTTAATGTTTCACTTTATGTTACATCTCAAATGCATACTTGCATTTCAAAGTGAGTACAGTCGTCCTGCAGCATCCGTGGGGGACCAGTTCCACCATCTACTATGGATACCGAAATCCACAGGTGCTCAAGTCCCTGATATGAAATGAGGCAGTATTTGCATATAATCTATGCACGTTCACTTGTATCCTTTCAATCATCTTGAGATTATTTATAATACTTAATACAATGTAAATGCTATGTAAATAGGGTTATACTGTATTGTTCAGGGAATAATGACAGGAAAAAAGTTTGTACATGTTCAGTACACATGTGTTTTCTTTGTAGTTTTCTTCGTTTTAATTTAAAAATCTATGGGTACATAGTAGGTGTATATATTTATGGAGTGCATGAGGTATTTTGATACAGGTGTGCAATGTGTAATAATCACATCAAGGTAAATGGGGCGTCCATCACCTCAAGCATTTATCCTTTCTTTGTGTTACAAACCATCCAATTATACTCCCATGTAAACGGACTCTCTCTGTCACCCAGGCTGGAGTGCAGTGGCGCGATCTTGGCTCACTGCAACCTCCCAGGTTCAAGCAATTCTCCTGCCTCTGCCTCCTGAGTAGCTGGGATTACAGCCATGCTCCACCATGCCGGCTAATTTTTGTATTTTTAGTAGAGATGGGGTTTCACCATGTTGGTCAGACTGGTCTTGAACTCCTGACCTTGTGATCCACCCGCCTTGGCCTCCCAAAGTGCTGGGATTAGAGGCGTGAGCCACCGTGCCTGGCCTCCCACAGTTATTTTTAAATGTACGATAAGTTATTGTTGATTGTAGTTATCCTGTTACTACCTATTAGATACTAGATCTTATTCATTCTATCTAAATTCTATCTAAATTAGATACTAGATCTTATTCATTCTATCTAAATATATTTTTGTACCCATTAACTATCCCCAGTCCCTCCACTCTAGATGTGAATTTTTTACAAAAAAAATTTTTAATCCATGGTTGGTTGAATCCACAGATGCAGAACCCACAGATACAGAGGGGTAAGCGTGTTCTGATATTAACAACAAATTCCGGTGACACGCCTCACTCTCACATCTGGCAGGGTTACGACGTGGATTTGAAATTAACCTCAGTGATCACTCTGTTGTCAAGAGTTCAGTGAGGACTTAAACTATCTCATATGCTCCAACCTAAAGCTAATCCCTTCACTTGGTCACCTTGTCCCTACACTTTACCTCCTCAAGGGTTTCACAACAGAAATTCTCTACGGTCTGTCCTACCTCACCAGTTTTGTCTGCTGATCAAGATCACTATCAGCATACAAGCATGCTGTAGTAGAAATGAAAATAGAACACGGCTCTTGATTCAGTTCCCTCTTCTGCCCCAGTTACCATCCCATTTATGTATTCCCTTTCTTATTTATTTATTTATTTTTGAGATGGAGTTTTGCTCTTGTTGCCCAGGCTATAGTGCAGTAGTGTGATCTCAGCTCACTGCAACCTCTGCCTCCCTGGTTCAAGTGATTCTCCTGCCTCAGCCTCCTGAGTAGCTGGGATTACAGGCACCCACCACCACGCCCAGCTAAGTTTTGTATTTTTAGTAGAAATGGAGTTTCACCATATTGGCCAGGCTGGTCTCGAACTCCTGACCTCAGGTGATCCACCCGCCTCGGCCTCCTAAATTGCCGGGATTGAAGGCGTAAACTACCGCACCCAGCCTATGTGTCCCCTTTCTAGCCTATATTCTCAAAAGAGTCATCTACATTAATGGTCTTAGATTTCTCTTCACCCTTCCTTCCCGAACCCATTCCAGTTGGCTTCCCAAATCCCATGACCCCCAACTCCACCCAAGCTGCCTGTGTCCAGTTCACCAACGTTTACCACATACTAAATCCACGGGTCGATCCTCAGTGTTGCTTTAACCTCACCTGTTGGTGGCATGGTTCCTTGCCTTTTCTCAGTGTTAGGTGTGCCAGGGCTTGTCCCCATCCCCTTTCTCGGTCTGCACTTTGTTAATTGGTGCAGGTTCTTGCCTTTAAATACCAGCTCTCTGTCAACTCCTAAATTCGTATCTCCATCCCAAACCTCTTTCTGGACCATCAGGATTGATGTTCAGCAGCCTGCGTGGTGTCTCCACTCCACTCCACTCAATGCAGCAGGTCCAAGCTGAGCTACTGATGTCTCCCAGAAACTTGCCCATGACCTTCCCCATCTCAGGTCACAGCGACCAGCACTTCTTGTTTCTCAGGCCCAGCCTGTGGGAGACATTCTTAAGCCCCCTTTATTTCTCTCCCCCTACAAACAATCCACGAATTGCAACAACCCTCTCATGTCTGCTTTCCGAATACTCCCAAAAATTCAACACTTCTCACTACCTCCACCGCTGTCCCCTGAGCCAGCATCGTCTCCCATATGGATTACTGCATGGCACCAGTGATCCTTCTAAGTTATCATCACCGCCATGTTCAAACCATGCAGTGGCTCCCATTTCATTCAGAGTCAAAGCCCTGCTCTTAAAGGCCCTGCATGATCAGGCCCCTGTATCTCTCTGTCCTCATCTCCTGCCTTCTTGCCATCACCTCCCACGCTGTCCTCCTAGCCTTTCCTTGGACACCAGGGACACCAGGTCATGCTCCTTCCTGAGGGCCTTGGTACGAGCTGCTCTGTCTGCTTGGACAGTGCTTCCTCCAGGTTCTATCTTGGTTCGCTTGCATGGAGAACTCCCACTGTGTTCCGATCTTTGTTCAGCTAATGTCTTTCCGGGGAGACCGCCTCTCTGCAGACCCCTCCCCACCACATTCCCAGTCCTCCTTCCCTTATTACTTTTTTTTTTTTTTTTTTTTGAGATGGAGTCTCACTCTGTTGCCCGGGCTGGAGTGCAGTGGAATGATCTTGGCTCACTGCAACCTCCACTTTCAGGGTTCAAGCAATTTCTGGCTAATTTTTGTATTTTTAGTAGAGACGGGGTTTCACCATGTTGGCCAGACTGGTCTTGAACACCTGATCTCAAATGATCTGCCTGTCTCAGCCTCTCAAAGTGCTGGGATTACAGGCGTGAGTCACTGGGCCTGGCTCCCTTATTACTTCTTAAATTTTTGCAATGGAGTTTACTACCTTTGAATATACTCTACAGTTTACTTATTCATTCTGTTAAGTTTTATTGTCTTTCTTCCCTAGCTAGAACAGAAATTTCAAAGAGAAGAGATCTTTGTTCTGTCCACTGATACATCCCAAGCATGTGAAACAGTGTTCAGTATGTTGTTTATGGTCATTAAAATTTGTCATTTACTTTTTAATAAATACAATGCTGCAGAATTAGATCTTTGGCTATTAGGCCTTCAAAGGCTGAGCCTACAAAATGATAGTTAGGCTTGGTAAGGCCAAAGATCAAGTTCTGTGCATCCTTATCGGATGTGCACAGGCCCCTTCCAGTCCCACTCACATATCTTTGGGGCTGAAAAGCTTTGTCTACTTCCTTTATCTTAAATCTGCCTTCTCTTTTCTTTTTCCTAGGCCAAATCTCCATTCCAGGACTTTCTATTTTGTTTTGGCTAGGGTTGAAATGGCCCTCATTTATTCCCAGGAATTCTCCTGTGCTCTGAATTTCTTTGTTCAAGACCCCTGGCAACTTGACATCATAACTGGACTTTGCTTCTCCTGAGGGGAGGGTGGATGGGGGTTGCTGGACAGAGGTGTCTGTCCATAAGGAGGAGGTGGGGAGGAGAGGGTTATATCTTGGTCCAGGGGCCCAAGTGACTGTACTATCGTAGAAGCCACATTTTTCATCTTATTCTCATGACTAAAAGAAATTTTGCCAATGTTTTCCTAAAATTCAGATATCCTGTGTTTAAAGCATTAGCAGAGTGCCCTCAAAAATGAGTTACGTGAATGAATAACTGATCTGTAAACCTGTTACCTATTAAAAATAAAAAGTGAAACAGCAAATGAGACTAGTTTGACATGATCGCTTTTCCCACGTGACTTCACTGTACTGATTTTGAGCGAGTGTGGTTTTTATTCTCCTGTGTGTGCATTTTGTATGTGTTTCGGTTTCCCGCTGATTATCTGTGATACAGGAATTTTCAAGGAAGGAACTGTGCCCTCTGGGTCTGTTGGAGCTCTGACTTAGAGCAATGGAAATGGCACACCAACAAGATTTAACTTTTTTAAAAAGCATTTCTTGTATTTTCTAAACCCTGGACACTAGAAAGAAGGCCTGGGAAGAGGATGATTCCTGTGTACCAGGGATTCATTACCAAGCCAAGCACCTTGGCAGACCACTTTTTTACCCCACTCTTATGCCAGCTCATTGTAACTGTAGCTTTTGTTCCCAGGGATTTGAGTATTTTCACTGTCTGCTTTGGGTTAAGATCACTAAACATTTTGGAAAGGAGACACTGAAGGAGTATCTTGCTAATTTTTTTTTTTTTTTTTTTTTGAGACGGAGTCTCGCTCTGTCGCCCAAGCTGGAGTGCAGTGGCACGATCTCGGCTCACTGCAAGCTCTGCCTCCTGGGTTCACGCCATTCTCCTGCCTCAGCCTCTTGAGTAGCTGGGACTACAGGCGCCCGCCACTACGCCCGGCTAATTTTTGTATTTTTAGTAGAGATGGGGTTTCACCGTGTTAGCCAGGATGGTCTCGATCTCCTGACCTCGTGATCTGCCCCCCTCGGCCTCCCAAAGTGCTGGGATTCAGGCTTGAGCCACCGCACCCGGCCTAATGTTTTAAAAAACAAAAGTCTCAGGCTGGAAATGGTGACTCACGCCTGTAATCCCAGCCCTTTGGGAGGCCGAGGCAGGTGGATCACCTGAGGTCAAGAGTTTGAGATCTGCCTGGGCAACATGGTGAAACCCCGTCTCTACTAAAAATACAAAAATTAGCCGGGGAAGGTGGTGGGTGCCTGCAGTCCCACCTATTCGGGAGACTGAGGCAGGAGAATAGCTTGCATCCCGGGAGGCATTGCAGTGAGCTGAGATTGCACCACTGCACTCCAGCCTGGGTAACAGAGTGAGACTCTGTCTCAAAAAAAAAAAAAAAAGTCTCAGCCTATGAGCAAGACGCATCTCGGGTTAGTGCTAACTTTGTAGCATTCTGTGGTATCATTAAGCCCAGATAAAGTAAAATTGTTCCTAGACTGTGAGCAGGGTGTGTCCCTAGTTCTGAACATCCCACAAGGTTAAGGGGAAATTTTTTTGAAAACACTCAGTTATGTATATTTTTCTCGCACAAATAAAAACGAAGGATACAAGGGTGGGCCAAGGAGTTCACGGTTTTCACAACCCATGTTAAGTTTTTGCTAACGTTTGAAGAAAAATGGAGATGCTTGTATTGCTTAAACCATTTGAGAATTCCCTTATATTTGATAGATTCTGCCACTGTTCAACGTGACCAGAAGTGAGAGGATGAATGTGGGGTGCATGTCTTTCGGATGGTCCCCTGCAGGCAAAGGGGCTAGCCTTTGACAATTTCTCCACACGCTTCGGGGCTAGCTGGTATATTCCAATTAAACCAACATGTTTCCATCACAGACTTCATAGCCATCAAGCAATCATAGCCTTACCCAATGGAGAAAAGGAGCGGGCTTGGAGCGCGTCCACGGGAGTGGGCCTCCCTCTGCGCGCCTCTGGGAATGTTTGCGGTGCTTAAGTCAGACCCGGATTGCTCCAAGCCCAGCTTATCCTCCCCAGTTCTGCCAGGGTTTTTTTCCTCTTGTTTGTTCGTTTGTTTTTGCCTCTCTTTGATTTAACTTTTGCTCCTTGACTAAATATGTGCTTAACGCTAGACAAAGGACACTTCATACCCAAGTCTGTGTCTTTGTTCCAAGATCTGCAATTTCATTTGGTTCCTGTCGGCTTTACAAGTTCAAAACTATGCCCCCGTTTAGGAAATGAATTCAAAGCATGCGGCAAGGGAGACATTCGACAAACCCGGATGCTCTGGAAAACGTTGCCCTTCCTCGAGTTTCTTTCAGTAAAATCTGAATTTTGTTCCCGGGAGGAGTTGGGTTTGTGATTGCTACAGTGTAAGTTGCACCGAAATACTACATCATGTTCTTTGGGACATACATTCTGTTTCAGAATAAGAATGATATTCTTCCTTTCCTAAAATGTGAGAGTTTTATATGGACCTTTTTAAAATAAAAAATTGGAAGCCCTTGGAGTCAAGGCCAGAGTAAGACTCGCAGAAACCAAAGACAGAAAATATTTGGAACCCCCCCTCCTCAGACATGAACCACACTGAAATGTGTCCAGATACAATTCTTCAAAATCCTGGCTTTTCACAGGATGATTTGTTATTGAAAAAGTTGTTTGCTTCAGAATCTGAATTGTTTTAAAAGATTCTGTTGGTTGCCCCTGCTTTGCGGACGCCTTTTGTACGTTCTTCCTGATGTAGCGCTGCGAGGGGCGACTTTACCTCGGCGTTTGACAGGTACGCAGCATTCCCGCACCCGCCTGCGCCTCGCGAGCAGAAAGACGGCGGACTCTGCACCGCTCCACGACACTGGGGACCCGCCCCGGCCAGACCCGTCCCCTACCGAGACCTTGTCCCCGCCCCGCCCCCGGCCGGGGCCCCGCCCCGCCAGCCCCGCCCCCGCCAGCCCCCTCTCCTACCGAGACCTCGTCCCCGCCCACCAGCCCCGCCCCGCCCCCCCCCCGACAGAGGCCCCGCCCCGGCCCCGGCCAGCCCCGCCCCCGCTTGCGCGAGGCCTAGGGCTGCAGGCGCGGAGCCGCGAGCCCCAGCCAATGAGCGCCGGCGGGCCGGTTGCCCAGGCGACCAGTGCGCGGCTCCGCCCCCCGCGGCGAGGCTCCCGCGCGCGGCTGAGTGCGGACTGGAGTGGGAACCCGGGTCCCCGCGCTTAGAGAACACGCGATGACCACGTGGAGCCTCCGGCGGAGGCCGGCCCGCACGCTGGGACTCCTGCTGCTGGTCGTCTTGGGCTTCCTGGTGCTCCGCAGGTGAGAGAGAGCTTCGCGCAGCACCTGCCGGACCCCACATTCCCCAGCCCTCCGCACCTCGGGTTCTCTCCTCCCGCGACCCGCGAATCCCGAGTTCCCGGGGGGAGCAGCCCCAGCTGCTTCTTTCTGGGAGCTCCCCAATACCCCCGAGTTCCCCTGCGGCTGCAGGCACTCTACTCCTGCCGCGCGATCCAGGCCTCTGGGCGACACCCGGCGTGCCCTCGGGAGCCGGCGTCTGTGCCCCGAGCCGCCCACCCCGCCGCGCCTGTGACGCCGGGCTCTGCCCCCCGTGGACGCCCGCAGCCCTCCAGCCGTCAGAGCCCTCTCAGACGCACCCCATCGCGGCCCCGTCCCCACTGCTCCGCGGAGAGCTCCCTCTGCCCTTCCCCCAGGCCCCCCTTTTCCTCCCAAGCCTCTGGGAGGCGCCTTATTCCGCAGAGGCCGGCGCTTCAGCCTGGCAGGTATGGTCTAGCCAGCTGGCCTGGCAGGGTCGTAAGAACAGTGTCCGTGGGCCTCCAAGATCCCGGGCCATGATTTATTTGCACAGTAGGACTGATAGGTCGTCTCTCTCCACTTTCCCACCATTCACCTGTTACCAGCTCACCCTTTCCTCTCCCCCTTTTCCAAATGTTGTTTATGGCAAAGGAGTGGCTTCAGTGATACTGTGATTTACCCACAGCCTGTGAAAAAGTTTTCTGGGTGCCCTAGCCCAGCATTTTTCTAAACTGTGCTTATTTTAAGGATTCTACAGCCCTGACCCTATCTTTCAGGTCAGCACTTTCCATATTCAAAACCTCCAGTGGGAAGCCGACCGGCAGTATCGAATGAACTGAACGGTTGGAAGTGGTGGCAGGCCCTACGCCGCTCGGCTTTGTCATTTGCTTCTTTTTTACTTAGAGAAACTAAGTTCTTAGTTTCTCTGCACTTCCCCTGGGAGACAGGGAAGTTTTTGATGGAGATAAATATCTGGAAGTCCTTTGTGGCCAGAAGAACACACTGACAAACTCTATGTTTACACCTTGTCAAGACTGGATTCTTGTTTCTGAGATAGTGGGGACGTCATGATATTGTTTGGGAGAAGGACGGATTTTCTTCTCATTCTGGGGCCCAGAAAACTTCAGGCATTTAACTTCTCCGGTTGTTCCCAAGATGTTTTCTGTCCTGCCTAAGATCTCTAAGCCATTCCTCTCTGAAGATTGGCCCTGGCTCCTGTGGGATGCTCAGCTTTCCTCCCTGTGCAAGGCTTACGCAAACCCCAGAAGAATTACTCAGAGCAGCGGCAGCAGATCCTCCTGCATACAGCAGGGTAGCAAGGCGTGCAAGCTGCCAAGAGAAAGGCTAGCGGCTGCAGGCCTGTTGTTGGTCAGGGATACAGGAGTCCGTGCAGGGGACCCAGGCAGGTCACTATTTGGGGCAGCACTGTGGGCTTGAGATGGGCTGAGTGGTACACCCAAAAAGTCCCCAGGAAAAGGTATGCGAAGGAGGCTGAGGGTTTGTTATTGTTTGGTGGGACAGAGGTGAGGTGGCAGGGAGCTGACCTAGCTGGGAAGACGCCTGAGCTTCTTTGAGGTGAGGTAACTGTGTCCCCACCTAGGTGGGGTGACCGCACTAGGAGTCAGTCTTGGGCCATTGGAGCAGGTGGAATGGCAACAGAGAATAAAGAGCTGCAACCAAATTCTGTGAAAACAGTTTGGCCTGCCTGGGAAGGATGTTTTTCTTGCCTCTCCATCCTTCTAGCAGGTAGAACAGAAGCTCAAGGAGCTCTGAACCAAGTTCAGGGCCGTGTCTTCAGATCCTGTGGAATACGTGTCTTTTTGGCATCTTTTTGATTTTTTCACCCTCATGGGTACATTCTGCCAGTTCCTCCTGTCTGACTTGGGCTGGACACCAGTGAGTATGAGTTGCTGTAATATCTCTGGAGGCAGGAGGAGAACATCCTCTTTGTCTTTCCCTCTTCCTGTCTTGCCCCAGCTCTGACTGGGTCATTAACTGAGTGGGAGGTGGGGCCTCTCCCAGCTGTTACTGGGCAGTGTTGAGGTGGCCAGTGGAATATAGGTCACGTGGAAACTGGCCACCAAGTTCACTCTTTGTGGAGCCGAGCTGTCAGGAGCAGCCCCTTTCCTGTAGCAGAAGGCAGGTATTTGGACAGTGGCTGGCATGGGCTGGGGGATGTTTGGCTATAGCTTTTCTTTTTTTTCATCAACTTTTCCTTGGGCTGGTTCACGGTCAGTCATAGCTGGTGGGTTACATCATATCAAAAGACTAGGATGACCAGGTTGACTTTTGGGGAGGATTTCAGTCTTAGAATTTTTATTTTTATTTTTTTTAAGCGTAAACAGTGGTCTTTCTTAAAAATTACCTTTATTGGAGTTTAATTAATATGTACAATTTGATAAGCTTTGACACATATCTAAATCCAGCTGTGAATCTATCACCACAGTTAAGATTGTGAAAACAGCCACCAGCCCCCAAAGTTTCCATGTACCTCTCTGTCATCCCTCCCTCCTACTCCTCCCTGCTCCCCAGCCCCAAGCAACCACTGATCTGTTGCTTTCCGACACGATATATTGGTTTGCATTTTCTAGTGTTTTATAGAATTGTAATCTTAAAGCATGTTTTCCTTTTTGGTCTGGCTTCTTTCACTCAGAGTATTATTTTGAGGTCTGCGATGCACGTATCAGTGCGAACCGTGCCTTTGAGCCAGTTGCCTTTCATTCTCTTCCTATTCGCACTCCATGAACACAAGAATGCCTGCTTGATATTATCTAAAGGCATGGTTCTCATTCATGATTTTTTCCTTAATATAAATGAATCACCGAGCAAGAATACAGGCAACGCTGCATCTCTCATACCTGAAATTTTAGCTGGGAAAGTTGGGAGAGGGGAAAGCCTTCATGTGGGCAGCCAGCATCATGCTCCTAAGAGGTAAGTTCATTTCTTCTCTGAGGTCCGTCTCACACACTGCCCTGCCCTGCTGTTTTCTTTATTCCAGACCCCAAATTCTTCCTATAGAAAGGAAAAGGAGGAGATGTATCAAACTCTTTCTCCTGAACAAGGTGGCTAACTTAGCAATGCAGGTCACTTTTTTTTTTTTATGTGAATCATGGCCAGTCCTGTCTTCCAAGGGTATGTGGCCAAATCATGCCTCTCCTCTGGAGCTTCTGGGAGGTAATTGATTTTATGGGCCTTGCCTATTCTAGGACTCTTCTCTGCTTGAGGCCTGAGTCATATTTCATGGAATGTTCAAACTCTTTGAACAGTGTTCCTTTCATCTTGTAGTAGTAAAGTTTTCAGCATCGGGGAAGTGTCTCTTTCAGCAGGTGATCACCTGTTGGATACAGGTGTTGAGGGATGTCTGAATCACCCTGTGCTAGGAAGATCGAGTTGGCTCTGGGATTCTTACAGGACCATGCTAGCCACCAGCAGAAGGAGACCAGAGTTGTCTTGGAGCAGCCATAGTATTGGTATAGGTGTGATTCAAGGGAGGGACTGGGCTACCAAGAAGATTGGAGACAAAGAGCCTGGGCTGCAGAAATAGCAGAAAGTTGACCAAAGGGTTCTTCCCACCTTAAGGTAAGGAAGTGGCAAGTGAAATAAAAACATGTAGTCCTTGATGAAGTGGTGCAGAGTTCCACGAGGTCATGTCAGACGCTCTTCTGGGAAGAATTCAGGAGATGCTGTAGCTTGCGGAGAAAGGTTTGAGAACATTTGGACCTGAAAAGGACTCTGGGGTCTAGGCACGTCCTCCCTCCCTCCCTCTCCACCATCACCAGCAGGGGCAGGGTTTTTTGGTGTCAATGTTGGGATATTTGCTGCTTCCTCTCCACTCAGTTTTAGCTTTTGCTTAAATCTATTGCTCTGGATATTAAAGACCGTATTGAAAAAGAGTTCTCATGTGTGGATGTCTCCTGGGATAGAAAGGCAGCAGGTGTTTTTAGAGGCTCCTGCTAACGAGGTAGATATTTCTTGACTCGTGTCTGCCTGTTAGAGACTCCTTGTTGATACTCACAGCTTCTGTTCTTTGACACTCAGCGAAACAGTCAGTGGGCTTGTTCCTTTCAAGCACAGATTGTATTTTTTTCCCTTAAGAAGTTATTTTGTGAGTAGGCAATTAATGAACATGGTAAGTATTCAGAGTGTGAAGGGGAATAAAGTGAAAAGAAACTCCCATTCCTGGCCCCTAGGCTAGGCACCCTTCCCTATCCCCTATTCATATCAGCTGTTACTACTGGTAATGGCTTCTTTCAGAAATATTCTATGCATATACAAGAAGATAGCTACACATATTATCCCACTTGTCCATTAGACACATAATTTATTTAAACAGCCTTCTACTGATGGACATCGATTGTTTGCAATCTTTTAGCTACTGTAAACAAAGCTGCTGCAGATATCTGTTGGATGTATTTCTATAAGTAGAATTGCTGACCGTAGGATAGATTCATTTTAAATCTTGATAGACATTTCCAAATAGTACATTTTATTTCTGTTGGATCAATGTAAAGGAGATTCCGAGCCCAACTCAATAGGGCCAAGTCGATTCTTGAGTCTTGTAAGAGCCAGTGCATCTCTTGTATATCTTCATAGATAAGTCCTATGTGGTGGATTAAAAAAAAATTTAACATAATAATGTTTTTCCGTATTTGTGATATCATTTCATTTAGAGTCTACAAGCATCTTGAAGATCAGGGGCTTGTTATCAAGAGTAGAGGCCTTGTGTTATCTAACAGAGCTTTCTCTCTGGGTGAGACACAGTCCTTTTCCTGTTTATGATGCTGTCAATGGTCCCAAAGTACTGCAAAAGTACAGAGTAACAGAATGTTAGAACACTTTTTGTTGTTGTTATTGTTGTTATATGGTTGATTAGAGTGAGGGGTTTTTGTTACTTTACTATTGGATCTCAAGGTTTTGGTCTAGTAAACTCTTCTTCATGTACTCACTTCCTACAGTCTTTAGGAAATAACTGCTCTCTGAACCACCAATATTGCTTCCGGGTCAGAGCCTGGATGTGAGGCCAGGGTTCCTGCCTTACCTGGGAGCCTTTTCAAAGGAAAAAGCAGAGGAGCTAGGATGGCAAGAGTGCTGTGGACCTCTTGCTGGGGACCTCACATCTCTGCAAGATGCATATACTTGCCTTGGGAATGGCAGGCCAAAGCCCTTGGGCGTATTTAATGCCTCTCCCAGCAAACAGGAGTCCAACACCTTGGGCCCAGACCAAGGAGCACATATAGAAAGCTGGGCCAGAAACAGGGACCGACTTCCATTTCCCTGAGGCTGAAGTTCCTGGAGCCCGGGGATTGGTCCAAGAGGCAATATTTTGGAGTAGAGGCATTAAGGGCACCATCTGGGCCAAAGAGTGAATAGTTCCTTCTTCAGGCCCTCAAATTCTTTTGCTGAGGGTGGAGAGAACATGGCTGAAGGCTGCTGGGACCAAAATATCCCCAAACAGACAGTTTAGGGCAGCAGGATGTCCAAGGAAGTTGAGCCTCATGGGAGCCTAGAACCGAACCAGAATCCTGAGAGTGATGAAGTCTGCACTGAAGACACATCCAAGTGAGGAATTCCCATGTGTTTGATGTCTTTGTGGGCAGCTGAACACACTTGCCATCACATGGTGGCCTCTGGCATGGCCACTTGGAGGAGGGTGGAGGTGAGTGTTTTCTTGGTCAGGATCTTCATGGGATGCCCTGGATTTGGATTCAGTTGAACCTCTGTTTAGGAAGGCCCTAATAGGGCCACAGTGTACCTAAAAATTGAATTTGTAAGCTATCGTCTCAGATGAACAAGTATGTGAACACGTTATGTTATAGCATCAAAATAACCAGCCTTTGGGGCCGGCAAGGACTTATGTTCTGGGAATCGAAGGACAATGATTGCAGTTCCTGACTCAGATACCAGCTTGCGTATGCTGGTGGCCAGCCTCGGACTGCGTGAGTGCTGCCTGGTCTCCACCGGCGGTCATCGTACTCCGGATGTTCACGGCACTCCGGATGTTCTGCTGTGCCCGGTTGCATGGATCCTGGCCTATCTGTGTCTGGTCATACTCTGCATGGCAGACCAGAAAGAGATGACTGTGACCCCAGTGAGGCCTCCCAGCCGTACCATGACCCCGGTTCCTGATGAGTGTTTGCAGGATTGACGGGTGATGCAGGGATGCCCGCTGGCATGGCAGGACGCATTTCAAGCCTGGCACACTTCACTCAAGGAGATCCTTTCTGGTGGTGACAGGATCTGGCTCACCTCCCACCCAGCCGCCCTGCAAGATCCCCTCTGAAACTTGACAGCCAGTCCCATTCCCAGAAAGAGGTGGTGACCTTGCCACCTGCTCATCTGCCCTTTTCCATCCACTCACATCCGGGAGCACTTTTTACTACACCTGGAATCTCCTGCCTGCTGGGGCCTGCCCTGTACCCTTCATCCTCAGGACCCACCTCACCAGTCAAGGAAAAATTACTCCAGAGGGCTCCACCTCCCCCTGCTTCCTCACCACGGGGCACAGCAGAACTTGGTACCTATGTCCTCTGCTTCAGGTTTCCATTGCAACCAATTTTTGTGTCTGCAGCTTGCCCAGCCTTCAGCACGAATAGTGCATGCCCCTTTTCCACTTGCCAAAAGGGAACTGGTGAGGATGGGCTGTAGAGGTCTTGTTAGGTTGTGCGCGGCCCCATCAGAAGTCCTGATGTGCCTGCCTTCCTCCAGGAACCCCACCTTGGACCATGACCATGGCCACCCTCTCCATCCAGGTGGAGGAGCGGAGCCTGACTCTGAGCAGAGCAGACCTGGGCACTGAGCACTGAGTTCAGGGTTTGCTGTCCGGACTCTTCTAAGGTGGAAAAATCGCTTTGGATAAATGAAGCCGAGATACATAGGCAACAGGAATCCTAGCAGAAAGTGTTAACATAAGCTCCAGTTCAAAAGAAGGCAGGTGTTCCTGGTTTCATCAGATAAAGGTCCATCGTGGATGAACTGCTCCCCAAGAAAAGTGACAGAAACACGCTGGGCTTCCTTAGGATTTGGTTAGCTGCTTGGTATCAAGCCTAATTTAGGAGTAAAGTCTTGCTGACCTTTAAACCAACCAACTCCAACCACACTGTTGATATTTCCTTTATTTTATTATTACTGAGTTACTCAGGAAATTATGGGGTTATTCTCCGTCTTATGATTATTAGTATTAATGATCATTATCAGTGTTAATAGCCATTTACATGATGCTTCGTTGTTTATGAAGCTGTAACTCGCATGGTCTCATTTACTAGCAGTGAATTCCTTGGAGAAACCCAACACGTATCATCCTCATTTTCTTGGTGAATCCATCCCTTTTAATAAGGTATTGACAACTTCTCTAGTAACCTACCAGAAAATTCCCATGAAGAAACAGTTGAATTCACCAGAATTTGGAATTGGATAACAGCTAGATTGTTTTTTATTCTTGTTGTTTATTTCATTCCTCTTGCTATGCACTGAGAAGAACGTTTCATTCTAAAAATATAGAAAATGGTGTGTTATAAAGACACTAGCAAAGACAAGCTCTATCCAGGGAGGGAGTCTACGTAGTGTCCAAGGAGAAGACGCAGATTGGGCTTCTCGAGCTGTAACCTTGGGATTGGTTAGAATGCAGATTTTGATTCAGTAGGTCTCAAGTAAGGCTTAAGGTTTATGCATTTCTGACAAGCTGCGGATGAAGACCTGGAAATCTGGTTGGTGGATAGAAGTTGTTGAATTGGGATGCCTCTTTCCAGGTGTCTGCACTTTGAGTCAGGCGGCTGTGACCCTGAGGGAGTTCAGAGGTGTGGCTGTCTATAGACCACACCTGGAGAAGTCAGCCTAGAGGGAGGTTTCCTGATCCTTAGTCATCAACTAATCAAGGGGAGAGGTTAAAGGTGTTGGTTCCTAGCAGGGACTGTGTTGGAATGTCGGTCAGAGAGGCTTCTCCAACCCTGCCTACACCTCTGCATTTAGCAGGGTGGGGAGTGGAGGCTCTCGCACCCATAAGTAGATGTTAGGATAAGTAATGTGTGCTTTAATAAGAATTGGAGATTGTGCTTTTGAAGTTCTGGCTGGAGAATAAGGTTTGGTACCTGGTGGAATGATTGCTAAGTTGTATTGTCACTGTCTTTAAAAACAGTGATATTTTGTGTGTGTGTGCATGTGCATGTGTGTGTGTATTTTCACCACCAGGTTGTCAAAATGCCCCTGTTTTTAAGAAAATAATCTGTCCATCCAGTTCTTCCTCATTCTGGCCTGGGGTGAGCCCAGCATGTGCCTCTGAGGGAACCAGGGGGAGAACCTGTGTTGCGGCGGGCAGGTGAGTCTGGTGAGTACCTGAGGCAGGGAGGGCTGAGCAGGTGGCAGGGTGTGTGCTTTGGAGCAGGTGTGGCCTGAGCAGTTGTGAGCCTGTAGCCAAAGCAAAGCGCCTGGTGAGCAGAGCAGGGGGCACCAAAAGAAGGCCCGGACGGTGGCCCAGAGGGGCCGAGGCCTTGTCTTAGCACTCCAGGGCTTCATCTGCAAGGATGTGGGCCAGCAGAGTTTCTGGGAGAGGGCAGATCGCACATATTTTCAGCTTTGCAGGCCACGCAGTCTATCGCAAGTACTCAACTGCAAAAAGCCATTCGTAGATGGTGTGGCTGTGTGCCAATACAATGATTTATGAACACTGAAGTTCATATAATTTTTTATGTGTCCCAAAATATTATGCTTTTGATTTTTTTCCAACCACTTAAAAATGTGAAAGCTATCCTCAGCTTGCAGGCTGCACAAAGACAGATGGCAGGCTGGATTTGACCCGAGGCCCAAGTTGGCCCACCTCTGGCCTACAGGCTGTGTTGGTCTAATAGGATCTCAGTGTACAGAATCTTTCATTGTCAAATTTTAGAAATTGTCATAAGATGGCTTGGCACAAAGTCTAGCACATAAGCTATATACCACCATGGGGAGAATGGAGAAGTTGGGATTATTCCACATTAGGGACATAAAACCCACTTGTGGCTATTCTCTCTAAAGCTTTCTCTTTGGAGAAAAAAGTGTGGTGAATAGGTTCCCATAACTCTCTAATACGCAAACACATGCTACAATAAATTGATTTCAGATAGAGATAAGACCCTTCGACTCACAGCAGAGAGTGTTGCATTTCTCCGGGACCCTCACAGCAGCCTTTCTGAGCAGTTGGGAGAGGCATTAGACTCGTTTTATAGAGGAAGAAGCTCCTGCCCACAGAACTGGTGTCACTAACCCAAGGCGACAGTTCTACCAAGCTGGGGGCCAGGATTCACATCCGGATCTTCCTATTCCAGCTAGCGTTTTTGCTGTCACTGTCTCATACAGTCCTTTGGAAGAACTGTGTCCTAAAATGTCATTTGCAAGCCATTTACTAGAACATGGAAGTTTTCTCTTTAGAAAAAGAAAAATGTGGTGAACAGATTCCCAGGTTGCCCAAGATGAGATGACCCTTTCATCTGTAACACAGCAGAACCATAGTCCTGGAGCTTCGGTGTGAGTTCTAAGGCCCTGGGGCTGTGAGAAGTAGGAAGGAGTAGGTAAAAAAGCAAATTTCTTTGCCTGAGAGTGGCCCCAGACAAAATTCCCAAGAGGCTGGCGATGTCCGAGCTGTCTTCTGCCCTGTGGGCACCCTGCCCCCTCCCCGTCTCTGGCCATCTGGGCCCTCTCGCTTGTTCCCTCCCTCTGTGACACTCAGCTGAGGGGCGTCTTGTGCAGTGGGGCCCGGCTGGCCACCGCCTGCTAGTGTCAGGGCAGGAGCGAGCGCCGGTGGGGACGAAGGCACAGCCCACACCGGCTCCTGCCCCGGACTCAGCCACCCAGCACCGGCTCCTGCCCCGGACTCAGCCACGCCCTTGTTTCATGCCTCCAGCTTTCCTGACCTTCCTGACTTGAAATGTGGGTCTCCCCAGCTTCTCGCACGGCTTTCGGGAGACAGGGTGGGAAGGAGACCCACCCGGCAGCACCGAGTCACTGGGACCCGGCTGAGGGGCTCCCTGGGGCCGACCCCGAGAGATGCCGAGAGGCGCTTTCTCGCGGACCGGAGCCTTCGACGGCCTTCCCGTGGGGGACTCTGCTCTAGCTGGGTCACCTCGTGGGGGGTGCGCGGTCTTCAGAAAATAATGAAGACCTGGAATCGGGTGGATGGGTGGACGCCGCCAACGCAGACCCTCTTTCCAGGTCTCTGCTCCTGCGGTCGGGCGGCTGCGACCGTGCCGGGGCTCGGAGGTACCGTGTGAAGTCGCTGTCGCGCGTGGCCGCGGGGCTGGCCACGGTGAAGCCCGTGCGGCGCCCGCCCCGCCCCGCCCCGGCCCCAGCAGCAGCCTCTCCCGTGGCGTGACGGCTGCCGTCTCTCCTTTCAGCCCGCCGGCCTCCATGCCGAGTGCTGTGCTTGCTGCCGGCTGCAGCCTCGGCCTGCCCTTCCCCTGCCGCGGGGCCCCGTGCTGAAGAAAGACCCCTTCCCAGGTCTGGCTGAGGCGGAGGGGAGCTTTTCCCAGCCACCTGGACGCAGGCGCCCTCGAGAGAGAAATGCCGAGGACCTGCGAAGGGGCGAGGAAGCCGATCTCTCTGCGGCCCGGAGCCTCCAGGCTCCAGAATGTCTTTGTCTTTCCAGGCTGGACTGGAGCACCCTGGTCCCTCTGCGGCTCCGCCATCGACAGCTGGGGCTGCAGGCCAAGGGCTGGAACTTCATGCTGGAGGATTCCACCTTCTGGATCTTCGGGGGCTCCATCCACTATTTCCGTGTGCCCAGGGAGTACTGGAGGGACCGCCTGCTGAAGATGAAGGCCTGTGGCTTGAACACCCTCACCACGTAGGTGCTGCCCCTGTCCCCCCGGAGCCTGGTTCCTAAGCAGGGCGCCTGGTGTCTGCATGCGAAAAAATATAAGAGGAACCGGCCCAGGTCCTCTGCCCAGGGCGAGAGAGCCAGGGTCTCCCTCCTCCTCCCCACCACAGAGCTCCTGACTCATGGGCGCCAAGGGACATGAAATGGATGTGAGGTCTAGAGGAACCGCAGTAGCAATGTCGCACAAAAGAGTATAGGGAAGGCGGTGAGTGCAGATTGAGGAGGTGATTCAGTGCTAGCGAATCTTTTTGTGTTACAAGCAGTCTTCCCACTTCCAGTTTATACAGCCAGTGAACGGAGTCTTCTTCAGGAGAGCTGCCTGAGAGGCTCTCTGGCCCCAGTTTTCAGCACTCCTCTTGGGCAGTGGTCTTAGAATGCTGTGGTTGCCATCCCAGCCTCTGCTGTGATGATTGGCACATGGTAGGCACGCACTAAAATGTCGAACTTGCAAATCATTTATAAAGTGTGCTCAGTTGTGAATAACCTGGATCTTTTCATGGGTTTTCCCCCCAAATTGCCAACTGATACTTGACGCTAAGTCTATGAAATAAAGGGGGTGATCAGGCTGGATTATTCCATGTTTAGGCAAAAATATGTGATTACAAATCAAGGAGATGGCTTTTCATGGGTGGTTTATGAACTGATTTTGAAGACAGTTCCTTAAAGAGTTACAGAAACCTGCCGAGCCTTGACAACTTCCCCGAAAGGACTCCTGAAGGCTGTGGGAGTGCTGCAGGCTCAGCACTCTGACTCGCAGAAGCAGCACCGACGACACTTGCTGAAAGGCAGAGCTCGTGTGTCTGGGTTGGAAGCCAGGCAGGCTCTCCTCCTTCATCTGAGAATATTCTTTGTAGTGGGCAGAGGCTCTGCGAAAGCCAGCGATGGGGTGGGGCCGGGAGAAGAGCAGCTGCCATCACTGTGTCATCCATGAGTCGTCCCTTCCGCCTCTCGAGTTGAGCCTGTCCATGAGCCTGCTCCATCCCTTGTCCTGTCTTTCGAGTTGGAAGCTTCATTCTGTTGCCCGTTTTGGAATTCCGGGGCTTCAGTAAATATAGGATGATCACCGAGCTTTCCCCTTACTCCTTGTAGCTGTTTTTTTGATAAAGTTACATTTTCTTCTCCAATGGGGCGTGGGCATGGTAAGCTAACTGGGGTCAGAGCGCCTGACCTTTTACTCAGCCGGTCTTATGCTTCATCCAAATCTTGTTGATGCAGAGGGAAGAGGGCTTGCCCTCGATTCTGGTCCCTAGATCAGTTCACTTAGTTCTTGGTTCCAGTCCTAAAATCATGAAGAAACATATCTTTAGCCATCATATTGGATTTTTGGGCTAAAGAAGGTAATGTGAGAGGTGAAATGGAATGAATGACATGCTCTAGCCTATAATTATCATTTCTGTTGCAGCTATGTTCCGTGGAACCTGCATGAGCCAGAAAGAGGCAAATTTGACTTCTCTGGGAACCTGGACCTGGAGTATGTGGTGTTGCTGCTTCTGTGAACTGGCCAGGGGCAGGGCACAGAGGTGGCTACTGGGGTGGATTAGCAACCAAAGAGAACCAGGGAGGGACGTGGGTCTGGAGTCCTGTTCTAGGACTGTGAGAGGCCCTGCACCCAGGACCCAGACGCTCCCCAGTCGTGACCTGTCACCCAGAGGGACTGGGCCTGCAGCCTCCGGGCCCCACCTCTCCACTGCAGCCCAGAGGGGCAGAAGACCCTGGGAGCCGCCCGACTCTGCATGGGGTCCGGCCGCTGGGCTGGGGCAGGGCGGCCCCTCTAGGCTAGCAAGGCTATGGGGTCAGGTTCACTGTTGAGACCACTGAGCCCTGGGTGTCACCCTTCCTCCTCAGGCCCCCGATGGGGCTGTGCAGAGGCTCTGAGGCTGGGAGCAGCTCAGGCCACCGACCTGGTGTGGGAGTCCCCGCGCTTTGGGGGTGGGGCCGAGCCGTCCCTTCGCCCCACCAGGCAGCTCCTCCACCCTGTGATGCGCGTGGCCCCCACCCGGCCTCATCCTGGGCCGTCGTGGGAGGGGCTGACGATGTGGACCTCCCTAGGGCCTTCGTCCTGATGGCCGCAGAGATCGGGCTGTGGGTGATTCTGCGTCCAGGCCCCTACATCTGCAGTGAGATGGACCTCGGGGGCTTGCCCAGGTAAGCGGGGTTGTGAAGGGTCCTGTGTGCTGTGGCAAAAAGCTCACAGACATAGGTCTGGTTTGTTTCTGTGTTCCAGTTCCCATTCTGTACTGAATTGTGTTCCAGTTCCCATTCTGTACTGAATTTCCTTTTCAGGAAAAGCAGCACCCAGAGGGGATCGCTTTCAGTGATGCTGCAGTGAGTGCCCTCACGTAGCCATGCATGGGCTGCTTGTGTGACAGGCAGCAGCAGGGCTGGCCCTCCTGGCATCTCATGCTTCAGGACTCTGCTGTGGAGCTGTGAGTCCTGGCAGGTCATTCACCTGCGTGTCTGCAGTATGGGAAAAATCCGACCTTCCCTGTCTGTTTCTTTTTTTTGAGACAGAGTCTTGCTCTGGCACTCAGGCTGGAGTGCAGTGGTGTGATCTTGGCTTACTGCAACCTCCGCCTCCCGGGTTCAAGCGATTCTCCTGCCTCAGCCTCCCGAGTAGCTAGGGTTACAGGTGTGTGCCACCACGCGCAGCTAATTTTTGTATTTTTAGTAAAGACAGGGTTTCACCATGTTGGCTAGGCTGGTCTGGAACTCCTGACCTTGTGATCTGCCCACCTCGGCCTCCCAAAGTGCTGGGATTACAGGCATGAGCCACCGCGCCCGGCCTTCCCTATCTCTTTCTTAGGAATGTTACCAAGCATATTTTGAAAAGTCCAAGTATTTTGATAAAGTATAAGAGAAACAAATTCTTGTTATGGTTTTGTCTTCCTATCTCGGCCCACGTGTGTCATCTTCCCAGTGCTAGTCTTGGCTGAGTTTGGTGTTCTGTGGTTGGAGTGGAAATCTGGACAGGAATCAGCTGGGACTTCATTCATTCCTCATCCTCAACATTGTGGCCTTTAAGATTTTCTTGTTAACTGGTGTAACCTTTCTCAGCCTCCCAGTGTACCAGGTGGTTAGACCCAGACTGCCTCAGGGAAGAGGCTGATCCTTGTCCCCAAGCCGTCTCCCCTCCCCTGGTCCCTGGGGAGCCCTGGGCTTCTTTTCCTCCTGGTTTCCAGCATGACCCGCCCTTCCCTCGGGGGCATAGCTTCTGTCTCCACTACCCAGGGCCACTTCTCAGGCACTGATCCATCCAGCCTGGTAGGCTCACCCTAGTCACGAACACAGCCAGGGCAGCCTCTCCCATCCCTGTGGATTAGAAAGCTGTGTGCCACCGTCAGCGATTTCCTCGGCTCAGCCGGGGCCGGGCACAGGAGGACGAAGGGTTTAACAGTCTTAACTTAGAAGCAGTGGGGAGCTGTGGCACTCAGACTCCCCCTTCTCACCCCGCCCATGTGGCACCTGGCCATGCATGAGAGGGGCATGTGGGCACACCTGCGGAGGGGGCGTCCGGGCGTGAGTGAGAAGGCTAACCTGTCAGGTGGGGTTAGAATGTGGGGGTGTCGGTCTGGAGGAAACTGCTCTCTCCTCACCCCTTGTTTGACCCACAGAAATGGGATAATTTCCTGACCCTGTTTAGGACTTCCAGACCAGGGCAAGAGGAGCCTCAGAGCCTTTTGTTAGAAAATATGTGTCTTCTCAGAACCTGAAGTGAGAAGGAAGAGCCCTGACTCCAGCTTTGGAACCAATCCACGCTGCTGTGTTCCTCTGGGGAGTTTGGGATCATAGCAACAGGGTGGAGGGAGAATTCAACTCTTGCTCACCTGCTGCTCTGGGCTGTGCGCCACTGATGCCAAGGCGTTAGCCACGTTGGCAAGGATGGGGACTGCCTCCTGCTCAGCCCCTCGCAGTCTCTGTCAGGCTTGTTTTTTGGGGTGACGCTAGAAGGTTGTGTCTCCTCCTTCCACAGCCTCAGTGATTCCTAACCCTTTTGACTTCACTTTTTGAAATGGGATCACAGAGCAAGTTGTTGAAAACTAGGCCTGGAGTCCTGTGAAAAGCTTTTCTCACTGCTGGCAGCCAGGCCCTGTAGCTGTGGAGCTGGAAATGAACTTCCACCAGGCTGTGTCCTTGGGGAGGGAAGCTGCAGGAGTGCGGGTGGGTGCTCGCCCCAGAATCGGTTTGCATTGTCTCCCCACTTCTGGGCTCAGTGGGGTGGAGGAGGGCACAGGTCATTCTGGAGCACTGGGGGGCCTCTCCCTTCTCACGCATCAACAGCCTGCTCACAGCAAACCCACTGTGACACTAACATCCTTCCTTTCCCCCGTTTACACTTCAAGCTGGCTACTCCAAGACCCTGGCATGAGGCTGAGGACAACTTACAAGGGCTTCACCGAAGCAGTGGACCTTTATTTTGACCACCTGATGTCCAGGGTGGTGCCACTCCAGGTACAAGCAAATGGGGTCTTCTTTGATCTTGGTCTGTCTTCCTCTAGGTCGTGGATCATCCTTGGTTAGTTCTCAGACCAAGGGTCCTCCAGTGTTTTGAACACACGAGCAGGCTCTTCCTCACCGTCCGAGACTCGTAACTGAGGGGCTTGCAAGAGTTGTCTTTGGAAAGATCTGTGCATTTCAGTGTTGTCTCACTTGGGTGCGTTACTGAAAGGACAGACAGATGTAAGGGCTCACATTGCCACATACAGCACTGGAGAGACAGGGATGCTGTGATAGCCGGGAACACGCATCCACTGGCATCTCCATGGTTCCACAGAGACAGGGATGAGGTGATAGCCGGGAACACCCATCTATCTACCAGTGTCCCAGTAGCACTGCGGCTCAGTTTTGCACAGGGTGGAGCACATGTGGATTAACCTTTGCCTATAAGACTGCAGGACTTTTTATAAATTATAAAATTCCTTTCGCTGACTTTACGAGATACTTCCCTCTGCTACCAAAAAGGTGCTGCATGGTACACACTTACTATTCAAAACATGCGTTAAAGTACGTTTTGGGGGAGGAAGTACCTTAATATTTTATATAATAATTGGAAGCTTTGGAAAGCAGGAATGGGAAAAATCAACCCAGTTGCTGTGTAAAACCAGAAAGAACGGCATTGAGAAATTAGTACATCAATAAAAAATTAGTTCAAGTCAGTGGTATGGAATACTCACCACACACATAAATCAAAGGGAACTGCCAGATGAAACACAGGATGCTCAGTTATATTTGAGTTTCAGATAAGCAAGGAATAATTTTTTAGTGTAAATATATTCCAAATATTGCATGGGTCATACTTACACTAAAAAATTATTTGTTGTGAATTCAAATTTAACTTTATGTCTGGTATTTTTGTTTACTAAATCCGGCAGCCTTAACCATGACAGAAGCAAGGAACTAGGAAGTCATTAGCCTAGATCTTGCTGGGAAGCTGGGGATCAGCAGGTTGTAGGAGTCGGGTGGGCAGCAGGATGGCCGTCCTGGGAGCAGGCTCAGAGGCACTTGCAGACGTGCAGCGGGTCACCAATGCATCTTTTTGAAATAAACGATAACATAATTATTATTATTTAACATATTTAAATAATCACATAGTTATTTAATTTTTGTGACTATGGGATAGTATACATAACATAAACTTTGCCATTTTAACCATTTTGAAATGTACAGCTCAGCGGCATTGAGTCCACCCACACTGTTGTGTGCTCATCTCCACAGCCTTAGTTCAGGCTGCCACAACCAAACACCTAGACTGAGTGGCTTACAGACAAAGAAATTCATTTCTCCCAGTTTTGGAGAGTGGGAAGTCCAAGAACAAAGCACTGGCAGATTCGGTGTCTGGAAGGGCCCCCTTCCAGGGCATATACGGCCATCTTCTTGATGCAACCTTACATGGCAGAGAGCGTCAGAGAGCTCCCTGAGGTCCCTCTTATAAGAGCACTAGCCCTGTTGGCAAGGACTCTATGCTCATAACTAATCACCACCCAAAAGTCCCACCTCTGAATACCGTCACAGTGGGGGTTAGGATTTCAACATGTAAATTTTGGGAGAACACAGTCTATTGCAACCACTGTCTATCTCCAGTCCTTTTCTGTCTTCCCCAATGTAAACTCTGTGCCGTTAAACCCTCCATTCTTCCCTCTCTCAGCTCCTGACAGCCATTCTACTCTCTGTCTCCATGCATTTGATCATTTTAGCTACCAAATATAAGTGAAATCACATAGTATTGTGACTGGATTATTTCACTTAACAGCGCCCTCAAGGTTCATCTGTGTCATAGCCTGTGTCAGAATTTCCTTCCTTTTTAAGACTGAATTATGTTCCATTGCATGTATATAACACGTTTGTTTATCCTTCATCCATTGACGAACGTTTGAGTTGCTTCTGCCTTTTGGCCACTGTAAATAAAGCTGCTGTGAGCATGGGTGTACAAATACCTTTCTGAGCCCCTGCTTTCGCTTCTTTTGGGTATATACCTAGAAGTGAAATTGCTGGATCAACTTGTCATTCTACATTCAGTTTTTTTTAGGAATTGCCATACCGTTTTCCACAGAAGTTGCACCAAATTACATTCCCACCAGCAATACACAAGCTTTGCAATTTCCCCACATCCTTGCCAACACTTGTTATTTCCTGTTTATCTGGGGAGAGCCATCAGTGGGTGTGAAGTGGTATCTCATGGTGGTTTTGATTTGCATTTCCCTGGTGATGTTGAGCATCTTTCATGTGCTGATTGGTCTTTTGCATATCTTGGAAGAAATGTTTATTCAAGTCTTCTGCTCATTTTTGAATCTAGTTGTTTGTTTTTATGTTGTTGATTATAGGAATTCTTTTTACTTTCTGGAGATCAATTCCTTAACAGGACCTGCCAGGACTGGGTCCTTCGCTTCAAGGCAGCAGGTTCCCTTTTGGCTCAGGGTATGTCTAGAAGTGTCTGGAAGCTAGGGCCTGGAACGAGGGCCTCTTGACTCTGCCGGCGCCCTTTCCTACTGTGGTTGAGCTGGATCCAAGATGCAAGACAAAGTCCTCTTTACTCTTTGCTCTCCTCTCCTTAAGCAGAAGGAAGGAGCCACTTTCGTTGCTGTGAGCTGCGCTACCTGGGCTTGGGGGAGGGATGTGCAAGAACTCCCTTAGCCATGCCAGCTGGTGGCTCCTTAGGCCATGCGCTGTGCTAGTACACTGGCTGTAAGCTCATCCTAGCTCCAGGAGTTGCATAGGAATTGCGGTCTTTGTGTCCTAGACTGCCTTTCATGTTTACCTAGGACTCCAGAGCACTTCAGCCCATGGTGGTGAGGCTTCCCAAGAAACTCAAGTTCCAATCACTAGGGTGGGCAGTTCCTCTCTGGCTAGGGCTGGTCCAAATGCTCCGTCTACGTGGATGCTGGCTGAGCTCAGCATGGCTTTATCCTGTGCTGTGACAAGGCAGCACTGAGTTCAATGTAAAGTTCCCCAGTCACTGTGCTCTCCCTTCCCCAAATGCACAGATCCTCTCTCCTCACCACTTGGCTGCCGCTGGGAGATGGGAGAGGGTGGCATCGGTGGTGTAAGGCTGTCTCTCTTGCCTGCCTTAATGCGTCTTTTGGTGATATGAAGTTAAAACCAGGTACTGTGACGGGTCACTTGAGTTTCGGTTTTTGTCATGGTGCTTTTCTGCGTGCAGATCACTGTTAAAATTTCGTGTTCCAGCAGGACGGATGAACGGTGCAGCCTTCTATTCCTCCATCTTGCTCCACTGTCTTTTATTTTCTTTTAGTATTTTGTTTGTAATGTACAATCAGTGTACAAATATTTCACCTCCTTGATTAAATGTATTCCCAAGTATTTTGTTGTTTTTGATGGTGTCGTAAATGGAATTGTCCCCTGATGGTGGATAAAAACAATGCATTTTTGCACATTGATTTTTTTTATCCTGCAAGCTTACTGAATTATTAGCTAGATAGTTTTTTTTAGGGGTGTGGGGATGTGCACTGTTTTCTGCATTTAAGATCATGTTGTCTGTGAACAGAGATAACTTCTTCCTTTCCAACTTGGTTGCCTTTATTTTTTTCTTGACTAATTGCTCTGGCAGGACTTCCAGTACCGTGTTGAATAGAAGTGCTGAAAGCACGAATGCTTGGTTTGTTCCTGATCGTAGAGGAAAAGTTTTCAGTCTTTCACCAGTGAATATGATGTTGACTGTGGGCTTTCTGTATGGGGCCTTTACTATGTTGAGGTAGTTTCCTTCTGTTCCTAGTTGACTGAGTGTTTTTTATCATGAAAGAATGTTGAATTTTATCACTTTTTTCTGCATCAATTGGGATCATCATGTGGTTTTTCCTCTTAATTTTGTTAATGCGGTATATTACATTGATTGATTCTTTTTCTTTCTTTTTTTTTTTTTTTTTGAGATGGTGGTTCCCTCTTGTTGCTCAGGCTGGAGAGCAATGGCGCTATCTCAGCTCACTGCAACCTCCTCCTCCCAGGTTCAAGTGATTCTCCTGCCTCAGCCTCCTGAATAGCTGGGGTTACAAGCACCTGCCACCATGCCCAGCTAATTTTGTATTTTCAGTAGAGATGGGGTTTTACCCTGTTGATCAGGCTGGTCTCAAACTTCTGACCTCAGGTGATCCACCTGCCTCAGCCTCCCAAAGTGCTGGGATTATAGGCATGAGCCACCATGCCTGGCCTACATTGATTGCTTTTCACATGGCAAATCATCCTCGCATTACAGGAATGAATCCCATTTGATCATGGTTTATAATTCTTTTAATATGCTGCTGAATTAAGTTGGCTAACATGTTGTTGAGGGTTTTGGCATCAGTATTCATCAGGACTGTTAGTCCGTGTTTTCTTTTCTCATAGTGTCTTTTGTTTGTAATAAAAGAAAAAAGTGTCAACTTTTTTTGACACTTCTATATCCAGCAAAACTCAAAAATGAGGGAAAAATTAAGAAATTCCCAAAGAAAAGTGAAAAGAGTTTATTACTGTATTCTACCTTATAGAATAAGGTAGGAAGTGTTCCTTCCCTTTCAATTTTTGGGAAGGGTTTGAGGAAGACTGGCGTTAATTTTTCTTTAAATATTTGGTAGAATTTACCAGTGAAGCCATCTGGTCCTGGACTTTTCTTTGTTGGGAGGTTTTTAGTTACTGATTCAGTGTCCTTACTAGTTATAGGTCTGTTCAGATTTTATATTTCTTCATGATTTAGTTTTGGCATATTATATATTTCTAGGAATTTGTGTGTTTCATCTAGGTTATTTAATATTTAATTTGTTGGCGTACAATTTGTTCATATTCCTCTTCTGTAATCGTTTTTATTTCTGTAAAATCAGCAGTAATAGCCTCATGTTGTTTCTGATTTTAGTTGAGTCATATCTTTTTTCTTAGTTTAGCTGCAGTTTGTCAGTTTTGTTGATCTTTTCAAATAACCAACTCTTGGTTTCATTAATTTTTCTTTATTGTTTTTCTATTCTCTCATTGTCTATCTCTGCTCTAATCTTTATTATTTCCTTACTTCTGCTACCTTTTAGTTTGTTTCCCTTTTTCTGGTTTCTTAAGGTATAAAGTTAAGTTGTTGGTTTGAGACCTTTTGTCTTTTAAATGTATTTATAGCTATAAAATTTCCCTCTTTGCACTGCTTTCACTGTAATTCATAATTTTATTTCCATTTTCATTTTTCTCAATATGTCTTCTTTTTTTTTTTTTTTGAGATGGAGTCTCGCTCTTGTCGCCCAGGCAGGAGTGCAGTGGCATGATCTCAGCTCACTACAACGTCCGCCTCCCAGGTTCAAGTGATTCTCATTACTCACCCTCCCAAGTAGCTGGGATTACAGGTGCCCGTGACCACGCCCGGCTGATATTTGTATTTTTAGTAGAGACGGGGTTTCCCCTTGTTGGCCGGGCTGGTCTTGAACTCCCTATCTCAGGTGATCCGCCCGCCTTGGCCTCCCAAAGTGCTGGGATTACAGGCGTGAGCCACTGCGCCTGGCCTCAATATATTTTCTAATGTCTCTTGTGATTTCCTCTTTGGACTATTGGTGAAGATTTTATTTCCACATACTTGAATTTTTCAGGACTTTTTTGGTTATTGATTTCTAGTTTCATTCCATTGTGATTGGGAAAAATAAAACTTTGTAAGATTTCAATTTTTTAAATTTATTAAAGCTTGAGGCTGGGTGTGGTGGCTCATGCCTGTAATCCTAGCACTTTGGGAGGCCGAGGCAAGTGGAACACTTGAGGTCGGGAGTTAGAGACCAGCTTGGCCAACATGTTGAAACCCATTCTCTACTAAAAAATACAAAAATTAGCCAGGTGTGGTGACGGGCACCTGTAATCCCAGCTACTTGGGAGGCTGAGGCACAAGAATCACTTGAACCTGGGAGATGGAGGTTGCAGTGAGCCAAGATTGTGCCACTGCACTCCAGCCTGGGTGACAGAGCAAGACTCTGTTTTTTTTTAAAAAAGAAAAATTTATTAAGGCTTGTTTTTTTGGCTTACTATATGGTTTATCCTGGAGAGTGTTTTATGTGCCCATGAGAAAAATGTGTATTGTGCTACTTTTGGGTGGAATGTTGTGTATATATATGTTTGGTCCAACTGGTCCATAATATTGTCTAGGTCCTCTATTTGGTTACTAATTTTCTGTCTGGTTACTCTATCCATTATTGATATTCAGATATTGAGTCTCCTACTATTATTGTCTATTTTTCCCTTTAATTTTGCCACTGTTTGGCTCATATACTTTGGAATTCTGGCATTTGGTGCATATATGTTTATAATTGTTATATCCTTTTGGTGAATTGACCCTTTTATCATTATATATATTTTATCATGTCTTTGTCTCTTGTAACAGTTTTTGATATAAAGTCTATTTTGTTTGATATTAGCAAAGCCACCCCTCCTCTTTTGATTACTGTTTGCATAAAATATCTTTTTCCAGCCTTTCACTTCCAACCAATAAATATCCTTAGATCTGAAGTGAGTGTCTTGTAGATAGTATATAGTTGGATATCGGTTTGTTAAAAATCCATTCTGCCAATGTATGTCTTTTGATTGGGGAGTTTAATGTGTTTACATTCAAAGTAATTACTGATAGAGAATCACTTGCTTTTGCCATTTTGTTGCTTTCTGTATGTCTTACAGCTTTTTGTCCCTCATTTCCTTTATGACTGCTTTACTTTGTATCTAGTTGATTTTTTTATAGTGACACTTTTTTATAACGATTCCCTTTACCTTGGGATAAGGTAAAGGATATATAATATCCTAAAGTTGTGACATTCTGTTTTAAATTGATACCAACCTAACTTCAACTGCACACAAAAACTCCTTTACAGTTCTGCCCTTCCACTTTATTTTATTGATGTCACAAATTATGTCTTCATATTGGGTGTACCCATTAACTTAAATTTATAATTATTTTATGTCTTTTAAAATCTTGTAGAAAATAAAAAGCCACATTGTAAAGAAAAATTATAATAATATTTTTATATTTTTTATGTGTCTATCTTTGCTGGAGAACTTTATATTTTCATATAGCTTCAAATTACTCTCTAGCATTTTTTCATTTCAACTTTAGGTGTTTTTTTTCTAGGGAAGGTCTAGTGGTAATGAACTCTCTTAGCTTTACTTTGGGAATTTCTTAATTTTTCCCTCATTTTTGAGTTTTGCTGGATATAGAAGTGTCAAAAAAAAAGTTGACACTTTTTCCTTTCAGCACTTTGACTATATCATCTCATTGCCTTCTGGCCTGAAAATTTTCTGGCTGAGATATCCTTTATAGTCTTATTGAGGATCCCTTGCCTGTGACCAAAACTTTTTCTGGCATTCAAGAATCTCTCTTTGTCTTCAATGGTTTGATTATAGAGTGTCCCTGAGTGGTTCTCTGGAATTTTTTGAGCTCCTTAGATTTATATAATCTTGTCTTTCCTCAAATTGGAGAAGTTTTCAGCTATTATTTTGTAAAAATAATCTCCCTGCCCTTTTATCTCTCTTTTTCTTCTAAGAAACCCATAATTCATATATTATTCTGCTTGAAGATGTTGTGTAAGCCCCTTAGGCTCTGTTCACTTTTCTTTATTCTTTTATCTCCTCAGACCTGATCATTTCTGATAACCTGTGTTTAAGTTTGCTTTTCTTTCTTCTACCTGTTTGAATCTGCCGTTGAACTCCTCTAGTGAATTTTTCAATTTATATATGGTATATTTCAGCCCCAGAAGTTCCTTTGGTTCTTTTAAAAATAATCTCTGTTTCTTTGTTGATATTCTCTTTTTCTTCATATATCATTTGCCTGGTTTCCTTTAGCTCCTTGAGCATATTTACGACAGCTGTTATAGATCTTGCTCTACTGAGTCTGGTGTGTGTGTTTCTTCAGATACTGCTTTTGGAGATTTATTTTGTTCCTTTGATGAGTCATACTTCCCTGTTTCTTTTTATGTTTGTGTTTTTTTGGTTGAACATTGGGCTTTTGAAAAAACAAACACCTATTTCAGTTTTTGCATGTTTTCAGGGGAACCCTCACTAATTAGTGGGCCCCTAAGCCCGGAGATCAGCCCAACATGAAGACTTAAGAGCTGATATTTTCTGGGCATGTGTTCTGTCTGTATCTGTGTGTGTGCTTCCCTCCCTACCTCCCCTCCCTGGTCGCTTTCAAGGGTCTTTAATTCCCAGAGTCTCACCCCAGCTTCTTCTTGTGGCCTTAGATGCTTTTCATTTTCTTTTGCTGTAATTCTTTTCCCCCAGGCATCCAAGGCTTTATAGTCCTCTGGCAGCTTTCATATGCTGCCATCTTTAGCTTCCAGCCTGAAGTCCAAACTATGTTGACGATTCCTGTTTGAGCTCCATGTCAGACAAGACAGAAACCAGTACGTTGGGCAGAACAAGTTAGAACATCGTGAACAAGTTAGAACATTGTAAACAAGTTAGAACATTATCAACAAGTTCCATTTTGCTTCTTCCCCATGAGGGAGCGGGGAGTTGGGACGCATCCTCCTGACCACACCATGCTACATTGGGGTGGGGCAAGAACTTGTGAAAACATCATACAATTTTGTACCATTTTGCATATGACTTTTTGTTTTGATTTGGTGGTCACTTGTTTGGTTAGACACTTAAATGGTTTCCAGAGCTCCTATTAAGTTATTTTAGTCAGTCTGGAGTTGTTTTCTTGATGTTTTCATGGGAGAACAAGGGCCTAGTGCTTCTTCCACTGTCTTATTGATACTAATCTTTTGAGATTTTAGTTTTCAATGGGATCTTTTGCTAGTCACTGGTGATGGGCGTGGCAGGGTTGGATACTACAGTTCCCCTGCACACTCAGCTCCTGGTTTTCTGTCTTTTCTCCGCAGTACAAGCGTGGGGGACCTATCATTGCCGTGCAGGTGGAGAATGAATATGGTTCCTATAATAAAGACCCCGCATACATGCCCTACGTCAAGAAGGTAAGAATCCTCTTAGTGCGTTTCTTTAGATTCCTTCCTCTGGAGTGTGCTATAGGCTGTGGTGTGACATGTGGGTCTAATATTTTTCTCATATTAATACATCCTCCAACATCATGTATTAGTGAATTTTCTCTGTTGTTTTATTTCAACAGGGTTGTCACTTATTTACCCTTGATTGAGTTTCATCTGGGAATTTCAGTACACACCTGGTATTGCAGGGGCTGGGAATAAAGGAATTGGCTTAATTGCGTGGTGATGATTAGGAAGGCTTCCTGGAGAGGCGGCTCCAATTCTAAAGTCTAAAGCAGTGGTTCCCAGCCCAGGCTGCACACTGGCTCTATCTGGGGAGTTTTAAGAAATCCCTGCGCCCAGGCCATGTACCATACCAAGCAAAGAAGAATCCTTGGGGTTCTCAGACATCTGGTTTCAGTGTGTAGGGAAGGCTGAGAGCCACTGACTCAATGCATGACTGACCAGCGAAGGGCAGAGCCACACTTAAAATAACAGGCTACATTCAGATCTGCTTTCTGTCCCTTAGTAGCTGAGACCTTGAACAAATGCCTCGAGTTTTTTCTAAACCTCCTTTCTCTCTTCTATAAAGTGTGACTAATAGGAGTATTTACCTTTCCAAATTGTGAGTATGATGTGATATCCCGCAGCTCAGTACTGTTCTAGTAAGTCGTCAATAAATAAGACCTTGATGGAATCATTGGCATTTGCTGTGGAGTACCTTGGAGGTTCGGCCATGGTGTGAGCTGAGGAAGTGTAAGTGGCCGCAGTGACTCCACCTACCTGAAGGCCGGACGGCTTTGGGCCTTGATGCCTGGGCAGCATCCCTTCTGCTACGACGTGCAGAGCATTTTCCGTCTGGAAATTAATTCAGTCCCTCCACGTGGGAGACCGAGGCTCAGTCCCTTCAACTTGTGGGTTCATGCGTACTCTTCCCCCTTCTCACCTGCAGAAAGCCCTCTTAGGAGGAAGCAAGGCCGTGTCCAGGAAGGGTGGCATTCCTCAAGCTGGAAAGGGGCAAGGTCCATTCTGATGGCCATGCCCAGCCACGGCCTGGAGTAGGGCACTCCTTCAGCTTCCTACAGAAAGATCCCATCCCAGCACAGGACTTGAAGCGTCTCCTGCGATACCCCATTCCCGCAGACTGTCTCTTGGCCCTGGGGCCTCTCAGCGGTTGTTGACTCAGTTACTCAGCTGCAGAGAAGGAGAGCCCCACGAGAGGAGAGTGCAGCTCCCTCAGGGACGTCCTGCTCCACTCATGCTTCCCTGGTGTCGGGGCGGAGGCGCCCATGTGTGACTCAGGTGGGCAAAGAGAAGCAGCAGCGTCCAGCCTCTGTGGTCCGGAAGCTCTTGGGAGAATTCACCAGCCTCTCTCTGAGGCTGCTGGGAGAGTGGTGTGAGAGAACAGGTGCCTGCTCCCAGCCTAGCTCTGCAGATCTCTGGTGCTCAGGCGGGAGCAATTATCCCCTCTGGGGTGGAGTCGGTAAATGAATGCCCAGGAAATGTTAAGTGTGTGTGTATGTGGTAGGGACCTAAGTAAATGCTTGCTAAATATCAGTGAATGATAGTGTGAGGTGGTAGATACAGGACTCTTGATTAATCCCACCTGGGCTCATGGATTGAACTCTGCAGCTCTCCTGTGCCTGAGACCAGAGCCCCCTCTGCTCTTTCCTTCCCCGCGTGTGGGACTGGACACGAGCCTTATTCGCCCAGCAGATGATCTCGCTGTCTATCCACTTCCAAAAGATTTCAGCGGAAATAAACAGTCTTGGCATAATATCTGCAGGGAAGATTACGAGAAGACACCTCTGTTGGGATTTTTGATCCAAAAGATCCTAGCACCTCAGCACAGAGCCTTTGGCTCTGGGTTCAGGCCCACGTTGCCATGGGCCCTGTAACCTGCGATGCTTGACTTCACGCCTCCGAGGCGCGTCTCTACTGTGAAGACAGCAACTGCAAGGCTCGCGTAGGACAGTCTGTGTATGAGCGGAGGGCCTGGCGTGGCAGTGACTGCTCTGCGGATGTCAGGGGACGCTCTGAGTGGTGATTGTCGTCACTGCCCCTCAAGCACAGCGTTTCTTCCACTTCACTCTCTGCTTTACAGCTGGGAGGATGCTTCCTGCTGTTCTGGGCATGGGCAGTGCACCGTGGGCACGTGACAGGGCATGGTGGGCCCTCCTGGGCCTTGCCATCCCCCAAACCCACACCGGCCAGCGTGGGGAAGGGACAGGCCTGTTGCTTGTGCTGTGAGAGAAGGGAAGGATGTAGGTGTCGTCCTGGAGGCCTGACCTACTCGCTGGAGCCCAGCAGACAGTGGCGGGTGACACGCGGCAGCAGGCTTCCCTGAGCTGGCCTCAGTGTAGACTCGCCTAGGCATGCTAGCTGGCCCACCGGGCACCTTCCAGATCCGGAGCAACCAGGGGCTGCCCTAGTTTGCCAGCCCTGCCCCTGCTGTGATGGGAATTCATGCTGATTGGAGCTGTGCTGAGCATGGCCGGTGCAGATGGCAGGAGACTTTTCTGTTTTTGGCAGAGAAATAAACGCTTTATTTGTCATCTCTCCTTCTAGCTCTTCAGGCTACCCAACTGCAGCTGTGTGTCACTGCAGAAGCTCTAAGGAGCCAGGGCAGACGAGGGCTTGTCTCATTTCCCCCACAGGCACTGGAGGACCGTGGCATTGTGGAACTGCTCCTGACTTCAGACAACAAGGATGGGCTGAGCAAGGGGATTGTCCAGGGAGGTAACTGCACTTGTGTTGGGCCGTGGGGGCTGGCGGCGGCCCTGGGCTGGCTGTGCACGCTCCCGCTGTGGGACTGCGACCCAAGTAGGAGTTTCTCTGGTGCCTGTTATTCTCCCGTGCATATGGCACTGGGCTGCAGACACCCTTGGGTTCCATGAGTGGGGAGGGTCTGTGTGAGAGATTGTGGTGCGTGGCTGGCTGGGTGGCTGTTCTCCTGCCCTGCTGGGCACTCGGGCTCCAAGGGCACTCTGCAGATGACTGCTTCACGTGCGGGCTTCCTGTTTTCAGAACATCGCAGCTCCGTTCTTCCCAGCTGCATGGGCCCCGAACCTGGTAGTGACTGTGAGCTCCTCTCCATTCCGCCTGGCACCTAAGCCATTGTTTGCTTTATCTCCCAGTGCTCCTGGAATCCCTACAGGCCTAAGCAGTTGCCTGCTAGCAGCACCCCTGGCCTGCATTGCTGCAGTAGCATTTTCACTGTTGACTCCATAATGTGTTCTCAGCATATCAGCCTCCGTGTGCCTCTGAAAATGTCGTCCAGATTACCCTATCCTGCTGAACGCCAGGCATCTCTGTCACACTCAGAGTGAAGCGCAGGTTCTGGGAATGACCTCGAAAGGCCTCTCCACTTGGCCTCCAGGACCTAGCTGAGCTCACCTCCTGCTCCTTCCCTTTGCTCACACCGTTTCACCCTCTTTACTGTTCCTCCAACATCCAGATCCCCAGCCTGGGGGGCTTTGCTCTTCTTCCAGAGAGCTACATGGCTGTTCTCCGAAGTTAGCGAGGCTTTCTGTAGCACCACACTTGAAATTGAACTTCTTCCTTCGTGGGGCTCACTCAATCCTTCTCCCTGCTTTCTTTTCGCCCTCTCACCTTCCAGGTAGTTTATTTATGTCATTCATCTGTTTCACCCAGCAGTACTCTTGGCGGGGCTTGGGCTTTGGCTGGTTCAGGCTGTGCTCAGGGGCCCAGGCGTGGTTTGTGGCCTTGGTGAGCATAGCGCCCTCCCATCGTTGCAGCGGGGCCCTTCCTGTGGCCTCCTGCACCCGTGCTTGTGTCTGCTCTGGCACATTCCACGCTTTCTTTTCTTTCTTTTGCATTTCCTTCCACAGACCGAGCTGCTGGAAGATCTCTCTATATCCCTGCAGCAGCGCCTAGCTGGCACCCAGGGAGTGAAGGTCCATGAATGGCGAGGAAAAGGCTTTTGTCCCCAGGCAGAGTCAGTCAAGGACCCAGACCTCGTGTCTCCGGCATGGGGAGGACCAGCAGTGATCCCCACGGCTTCCACGCGGTGGCGCCGTCTCCCCACGGCTGCTTCCAAGGCCTGCTCCGGGCTCCGCAGGGCTGTGGCTGTGTTGGGAGACTCCTGGTGCTGGAGCACGTTTTAGCGCTTGGCGGCCTCCCGGTTTCAGGCCTTGCAAGGAAGCCCGGGAGCCGCCACTGCTTTTCCCTGTGGCCCTCCCACCTCCAGGCACCCACCTGCGTGCCCCTGTTGCCACCTGCTGCCCGGAATAACTTCTTTTTTTTTTTTTTAATTAAAAAAATTAAATGGTCTAAAAGTGAAATAATCGAAAATGTTGGTAGAGAAATACAGTGTTGCCTACTCTTCGTTACATTCTCCAGAAATGACCATTTTCAACTCTTTGACTTTTTCTTTGGATATTTTCCTTCTTATTTCCAAATACTGTGAACATACAGCCCTGCATCGTTTGCTTTAAAAGTTCTGCCTATTGGCCGGGCAGTGGCTCAGGCCTGTCATCCCAGCGCTGTGGGAGGCCGAGGCGGGCGGATCATGAGGTCAGGAGATCGAGACCAGCCTGCCCAACATGGCGAAACCCTGTCTCTACTGAAAATACAAAAAATTAGCCGGGTGTGGTGGCGGGCACCTGTAGTCCCAGCTACTCGGGAGCTGAGGCAGGAGAATCCGTGAACCCGGGTGGCGGAGTTTGCAGTGAGCCGAGATTGCACCACTGCACTCCAGCCTGGACGACAGAGCAAGACTCCGTCTCAAAAAAAAAACAAAAAACAAAAAACATTATCCGAGCGTGGTGGCGGGTGCCTGTAATCCCAGCTACTTGGGAGGCTGAGGCAGGAGAATTGCTTGAATGTGAGAGGCAGAGGTTGCAGTGAGCCCCGATGGTACCCCTGCACTCTAGCCTGGGTGACAAGAGCAAAACTCCGTTAAAAAAAAAAATTCTGCCTATTGACTTCTTGTTCCAGTAGGTGATGAGTGTTCTTTCCTGCCAGCATGGCTGTTCAGCCCTGATAGGCGCCAGCGTGGGCCTCGCGGATGTGTATGACAACGGTTCACTGCAGGCACCTGCCACGTGGGTGATGCCCTGCACAGTATCTGTGAATTCTCAGGGTGCCAGCCGGCTCTGCAGTGTGCTTAGTTTTCAGTGTAATTATTCTGTTTGTTTTTCTTTTCATTTCAATTCTCTTTCCTCCCCTCAACTCCCCTGGTGCCGCTTTCTCTTTTAAACAAATGCTTTGCCAGAGATGTCGCAGATGCCTGTCGATGGTGTTCCTCAGGTCCTGTGCCTGTCCGGTTCTGCCTGGGTCTGATCCGGCTCGTGTGGAGGCCTCGCTCTCATTGTTCTGGCCTGCATGGTGGGGGGTCTGCTGCTTGGCTGCATCCCGCGTGGAATCCTGCTTCCTGGAGTTCCAGGAAACAGGATGTTTCTTGGTGCTCCGTGGCTTCCCGGCACCTGCTGTTGCTGCTTCGGCACAGGGGACTCCGGCTCCCGAGCGTTTCCTGGGTCTTCTTCCTCCTCGCCCCCGGCCAAGTTCCTCAGGGAGCCCGCCCTCCCCTTCTCGTGCTGCTGCGCATCCGGGGAGCGGCCCAGTTACGCTCACCATGGTGGGCCGTGCGGGTTGTGCGTGTCTTTCGTGGTGCTCCACCCTCTCGTCCTCGGGTCTTTCGGTCATCCTTGTGTTTGTGTATTGGGTGCTTCTGTAGATTGTCTACGTCTTTTCTGTTCTTTATCTCTGTGCCTTTCAGCTCTTCTTTCTGGGTGACTTCCTGAGCTTTTATCTTCCAGTCCTCCCGTCATTTCCTGGGTCACGTTTTTCTTGAATGTATTTCTCTTCTCATAGCATACTTTAGAAATGGATACTACCTTTCTTATTTCTCTCCGAGGGTAGTTTGCTTTTTACAAAAGCGCTGCCCGCGTTCCCTTCCCCGGCGCTGCCCGCGTTCCTTCCCCGGCGCTGCCCGCGTGTTTTTCTGCTGGCTGTTCCACTCCATCTCCTGCGCGAGGGGATGCTCTGGATCAGCCGCTACCCAGCAGCTTAGGAAAGAGGCTCTCGGCTGCCACTCGGAGCGCCGGGTGTGGGAGAGGCTGTTGACAGGAGTTCTTCCCCCTGGGATGACTGGGCCGTGGGGCTTTTTCAAGAAGGGACACTCACTTGTCGGAGTGTGGGGCTGTGTCTGCCACTGTTGAGTGTTTCTGGAGAAGTCCTGGGTTCTTGCCGCAGCTGTTCTGGGCCAGGCCGGCGGTGGACAGGAATGTGCTGTGGACACTGCCTTTCTTCCTCTTCCCGCCCTCCCCTCCACCTGCCACACACGCCCACTCCCGCAGCAGCTCGGGCCCAGGGTTCTCAGGCAGGATGGCCCCCGAGGAGGGGATGGGCCCAGGTGGGAATGAGGATGAAGGCTGAGGACAGGGCATCCTCCCATCTCATGGTGACCAGGTCCTGGGGCTGGGAGTGGGGTGAGGCCTTGGGCTGGAGCTGGAGCCGACTGTCACCCCTTCCGCACTCCTAGACCATTTACTGTCCCTGTGTCCTTCTCAGTGTTCCAGGATTTGCCAGTGTCTCTTCTTGTTGCTGTTCCTCATGGCCGTCTACCTGTCCACTCTCCGCTTGTATTTGTGAGACGTATCAGGAAGGACAGGACAGAGATGCTTGTGTTCACTTAGCCCTGTGCATCCTGCGGACTTTGAGTTCAGCCTGCTCAGTTTCAGACTGGCCTCCTGTCTTCAAAGGGCTTCTGGCTTGAGGGGAGGGGTCTGGGTGGAGGGTCCCACCCAGTGGGCTGCTGGAGGGCAGGGACAGGGCAGAGCTATGGTATGGTGTCAGGGAGACCCAGGTGTGCAGTCCCGCTCTGCCGCTACCTGAGGCCAATTATTGTGACCTAGAGGCAAGTTATTTCACTTCCCCGGAGCCCCAGCTGTCGCTTGCGTTCCTTCACTGGCAATCAGAGGCTTTCGTCCTGCAGCAGAGCATCAGGGTGGCCTGGCTTGCCAGGCTGGCTCAGCCTCTCTGGTGTGTGCCTAGGCTGTGCCTGTGAACTGACTGTTAGGCAGATAGCAGGCAGGTGAGGGGCCCCAGGATAAGGCTGTGCCACTGGGGTGGGCGTGGGCATGCCCGGGTGTCAGCCAAACAGAGCGCACCTTTCTTGAGCATATGTTTCACTGATAGAAAGCCACTGAAAATAGCATTTTAAATTTTAAACGGAACATGTTATGGGGTAGAATACAGAATTAGCCCTTATCAAGAAATCAGAGAGGAATCTTTGTTTACATCATTACCTTGGACCGGATGCTTGGGGTGCCAAGGAAGGATCAGGCTCTGGTTCGTACAAAAGAACAAGGAACAGAGTGCATGCTCGGCTTGTAGAAGTCACAGTTGATTGAGATCAGGTGCACAGCGAGTGACTGCCTCTCAGCTCTGTGCTGCTGTGGCGGAGTCTCCAAGACAACAAGATAAGTCTCCTGGCGTCCTGGCTGACTTATTTATTTATTTATTTTTGTGAGACACAGTCTCACTCTGTCACCCAGGCTAGGGTGCAATGGCACAATCTCAGTTCACTGCAACTTCTGCCTCTTGGGTTCAAGTGATCCTCCCACCTCAGCCTCCCAAGTAGTTGGGATTACAGGCATGCACCACCAACCCTGGCTAATTTTTTTGTGTATTTTAGTAGAGAGGGGGTTTCACCATGCTGGCCAGGCTGGTCTCGAACTCCTGGCCTCAAGTGATCCACCTGCCTTAGCCTCCCAAAGTGTTGGGGTTACAGGTGTGAGCCACCGCGCCTGACTGTGGCTGACTTCTAACTGGAGGTGGGAAACGGTGTCAGGGCCGCTTACTTTATTGTGCTGGTGGATTGAGAAGGGTCTGGGGTCACCTAGAAGGTCCCTGGCTTTGAGACAGTGCTTTGTCTCTCTCTCTCCTCTTCCCTTTAACAGTCTTGGCCACCATCAACTTGCAGTCAACACACGAGCTGCAGCTACTGACCACCTTTCTCTTCAACGTCCAGGTAAGTCCAGCCCCAGGGAAGCTGCGGCCCGCCCTGCTCAGCGGCCTATGGGAATTCTGAATGCCTGTCAGCGTGCTCAGCTTCCCCAGCGCAGGGAGCTGGACTCAGGGCTGATGGCCTCTGGCCCCCCGCCCATGCCACTGTGTGCCTGCAAGGCCCGCTGCCCAGAAACACCTCTGAGGGCTGCTGTGTAGGCTGATGCAGTGTGGACATCACCCACTGCCCTGAGAGAGGGGCCCTTTTGGTGCACTCCTAGAGGACTCGACTTTTGTGGCCTCAACTAGCTCCAGACTTGCTCCCAGGGATTGAGGGGGGAAGGAAAAACTTCCCTGTCCTATACTACACAGGCATCCGACCTTAACCTGTGAGGCCCCTGCAATCCTAGAAAGATTATTGTCATCAGCAAGGCAGAAAGCCTGGTCCACTCCAGGTGCGGAGAGAGGGAGGAGTTTCCAGATGTCCCTCAATATCTGTCAGACTGATGGGCATTTATGCCACCCTGTAGTTCTGACTGGCCTCTTTCTCGAGCTCGCGTGCCCCTCCGAAGCAGGTGGATGGACAGGGCCATGCTGCAGCCCTCTGCAGACCTGAGAGGCCCCAGCTGTCCCCTGGCTCACTGAGGGGCGTGGATGCTCCAGACTGCCCCCACGCTGCATCGTCACACTGGTCCTGGGCCTGGAGTGGAGTTGTGCTTGGATGGACAGGCATGGATGGCTGTGGAGACGCTGGGCTGCTTTCCATTCCGGCTGATGGCCTTTCAGAGCAGGGGCTGTGTCCTCAGGCACATCTGCGTGGAGCCACCACAGCCGTGTGGGGCCGTGTGTGTGTTTGATGTGGCTTCTCCTGGAGTTCAGCTGCCAGAGTAGGCGAGGAGGCTCCCAGGAGGAGGTGGGAGGGCTGGCCCCGCTCCCAGGCAGGCTCCTGTGACGCAGATCAGGCGCGATCCAGCTGGGTCTCTGCCTTCCTTTCTTGGCATTTCCTGAGTGCCTGCCCATGTGTGCAGTGGAGTGGGGGGTGCCTCTCATACTTGTGACTGAGATGACAGGGTCTCCTGCCCTGTGCTGTGTGACCTTGGGCAAGTTACTTAACCTCTCTGTGCGTCTCTCTTCTTCTAAGTGGGGATGATGAGAGTACATTTCCTTATGGTGTCAACTCACAGGGTTGTTTGAAGATTAAATGAGGTAATATTTGGAAAGTGCCTAGCACAGCAGCTGATACAGCAGAATGCCTTATGTTTAGCCTTCAAGGTCATCCTTAGAGGGGTAGCCACGCGCGAGCCTTCCCAGGCCAGCTGTCCTGCTAACAGAATGGCCCTGCTGAAGGGCTTTATGTGCGCAGTCCAGAGATGTCTGTTTTCCTGAAGGAAGGGGACTTGGACACCTCCCTGTTTAAATCAAGGGCTCTCTGAATGCACAGCACAGGCCTCCAGGTGTGCTCCATGTGGCGATGTCCGATAGCACCTCACTCGTCCTCTGTGTCCATGACCCGTGATGGACAGAACTATGCAAGTGTTTCTTGAGCACCTCCTACCTGCCAGGAACAGTGTGCTAAGGGTGTTATGTGCACTCTCCCGTTTAATTCTCCCAATAGTCATATGAGCCAGTGAAGGAGACAGCTATAGAGTGTATAAGACACCCTGTAAGTAGTGGCTTGGGGACTGCAGAACAGTCTCACTACAGAGCTCCAGCTCTTAGCCAGTTGTGCAGTGCAGTGGCCTGGCCCATGGGTGGACACCCACCTCCGCAGCTCTGGTACCCTCAAGCCAACAACCTTGCTTCTGGCATGGGAGATTTCTGACTTGTGGGACTTTGAATCTGCTTCTCCCTTTTTAGTGATTTAAACGTGGTATGGTATGTCTCCTTCTTGGAAGGTAGGTGGCTTGTAAAGAAAACCAAGCCGCCAGTCTTGCTAGAAGAATTCTTGTAACTACTTTGGCTTTAACCCGGGTATGGCTGGTACCTTCTACTCAATGGACCGTGAGTTTGTCCCATCCCCCTGGATCAGATTTTGTTGCTGTGTATGCGGTATCCCTCTAAACATAAGGCTATCACTGACCTAGAGATACTTGACAAGCTGTCACTGAATAAGTGAGGAAGGCTCTCTCATGCAGAGCCTGAAATACTAGCGTGTTAGTCTTTACACCTCCCCCAGGTGCTCTGGGCTTCTGCAAACGTGGCAGAGTGGAGCATGGTCCCAGGAATGATCTTGGCCTCCTTGGGGCCGTCCTATGCCAAAGTCAGTATTCAGAAAGAAGATTTAAGATTTGTTGAGTGGCCCAGCCAAGGTATAAATCCAAACTGTCAGTGCAGAACCTGCACCATGAATAGCTGTGCTGTAAGGCCCTGATTTTCTGGTTCAGAAAATGCTGCAAACTGCTGTTTAAACTGAGTTGGACCTTGAAGAGGGCCCACTCTGCAGCGTCTGATTTTTCTGCTAATGGAGCCAGTACCCAGGGTGGGGGGGAGGGATCTGCATCCACAGTATCCCTCTCAGATATGGAGTTGTCCTGGGTAAAACATCCCCCTTCCCTGGAAGAGGACAGGCAAAGCTTGGCTTGATCCTGGACCAGTGTCTTCTTGCTAACACGTATGCAACATTAAAACCATCAGGGTTTGCCATATCGACTTTGGGAGCTTTATCTGCTCTATACCTGCAGGAGGCCACATGTGGCAGGAGAACTGGTGTGCAGGCGAATTTGGCCCTCACCTATGCCCCACCTCCAAAGACCTCTAAGGCAGTGGGTATGCAGACAGGGAAGAGTAGAGAGGGCAGAGATCCTGGGGCTCCCCTCCATGAAGAGCTTCCCTCTTTTTTGTCTGGCCAGCCTGCTTGTCTAACTCTCATTTTGTGGTGTCCAGGGGACTCAGCCCAAGATGGTGATGGAGTACTGGACGGGGTGGTTTGACTCGTGGGGAGGCCCTCACAATATCTTGGATTCTTCTGGTGAGTGCTTGCGGTGACTACATCCAGAATGTGTGCTACTTAAGAAGTGAGGATGAGTTTCAGTCACCTGCTAACTAATGTAAGCCATAGGGGGTGCAAGGCTGCTGGGATTATCTGTGTGCAGAAGTTGGCTTTGGATATTCCTGAGTCATTTGTCTTGACACTTGGATGAATGGGAGGGCTTTTAACATTGCTTGTTCGTGTTTTTGTAATTAGAAGGGTAATGCATGCCTATTGCAAACATCCAGAAAATACAGAAAAAGTATAGAGAAGAAATAAAATTCCCAGAGCACAGAGAAAACACTTAGCTGTTTACCACGCAGGCAGTTCTCTCTGTATCTCTGCCGACAGCTCTATACGCACACACAGATAGAGACAGATGCCATCACACTCCGCTGCATGTCACCTGCTTGTGCCAGTTAATGCACATACGGACAGCTTTCTGTATGACCAAATACAGATTTACATGACTGTTTTAAAGAATGTGAAGAGCCCCATTCTAAACCACACTTTGTGGACACAGTCTCCCGGGTTGTTTCTGGTGGTTCTGTTAAGCGCACGCCATCCCGGCGAGCATCCCGGTGAGCATCCCGGAGCCTGCGCTCTGCGCACCCGGCTTTCCCTGGGATGAGCGGCACAGGGGCTCCTCGGCACCGTGTAGATGTGCATGCTCGCCCCTCAGCCCCCGGAAAGACGGCAGCTTCAGCCGCTGCTGCTGAATGGGTGCACCCATTTCCCACAGATTCAGCAACACCGAGTATTAAAATAACTTTTAATATTTGTCTACTCAGTACATCATTGTTTAGTCTGCATTTCTTTGATTTATATTGATAAAATATATATTTATTAACCATTTGTTTTTCTCCTTTGCTATGATCTTGTTATGTCATGGTTCATTTCCTAACAAAGGTAGAATAGGAGGTGTCAGAGTTTTCTCTCTAAGGATGCATCCCATCTTTGTGCACTTGATACACCTGGTCAGGCAGACTCACATGGAGACTGTGCTGGCTGGAAGGCCCTGGCCGACCTGGGCTGCAGGTGGTCCACATGGAGCTCAGAGACTTGACCAGGATTGACAGACAACTGGAGGCTCGAGCTCTGGGGCCATGATTCTGGCCCACACTTCCTCCTCCACCCCTAATCTTCTGTGATTGGGGTTTTATGAGAGCTAGAAGGACAGAGTGACAAAGTTGGCCTTGAGGTTTTGAGGTGGGACTGGGAAAGAGGAGAGTAGTGAAGGGACCCCGGCTCATCTCAGACTTTAACTCACTCTGCACATCCCCTTTCTCCCTCCTCCGGCAGAGGTTTTGAAAACCGTGTCTGCCATTGTGGACGCCGGCTCCTCCATCAACCTCTACATGTTCCACGGAGGCACCAACTTTGGCTTCATGAATGGAGCCATGCACTTCCATGACTACAAGTCAGATGTCACCAGCTATGGCAAGTATTCATCAGCACTGCTCTCCCTGGTCTGCCCTGCATGGGCATGGCTGGGACTTGCTATGGAGAGGCCCTCAGGGTCAACTTCTGGCACCTTCGTGTCTTTGGCAATAGAGTACCTGGAGAAGGTACTTGCCTGGACAGTCATGTTACACTCCCAGAGGAGGGAAGCCTCAAGGGAGGTGGTGTGCCTGTGAGCTGGTCACTCTACAGAGAGGCCTCTTTGGCAAAGGTTGGCCTGAGGAAGTGGAAGGAGACCGCCCTAGGGGGACAGGGAGGGACGGTGGCCTCCCCTCCCTGCCCAGGCCCTTGAGGAGGTGTGATCCTGCCTCCTTTAGGTTGAGAGTCCCAGAAAGTAGAAATTACACCTGCAGCTAGAAATTTAGGGCCATGCTGTGATCATGGACAGTTTGTGTTTTTTTGAATTTGTGAGAGAGTTATCACTCTGACACCCAGGCTGGAGTGTAGTAGTGTGATCATAGCTCACTGCAGCCTCAAATACCTGGGCTCAAGTGATCCTCCTGCTTCGGCCTCCTGAGTAGCTGGGACTACAGGTGTGCACCCCCACCTCTGGCTAATTTTTAAAATTTTTTGTAGAGGTGGGGGTCTCGCTATGTTGCCCAGGCTGGTCTGGAACTCCTGGCCTCGAGCGATCCTCCTGCCTTGGCCTCCCAAAGTGCTGGGATTACAGGTGCGAGCTGCTGCACAAGCGATCCTCTTGCCTTGGCCTCCCAAAGTGCTGGGATTACAGGTGTGAGCCACTGCACAAGCGATCCTCCTGCCTTGGCCTCCCAAAGTGCTGGGATTGCAGGTGTGAGCCGCTGCACCTGGCCTTATGGACGCTTGTTGTAGTTGCCTGGTCTTTCATGTTTACAGTATTTTGACTGAATGGCTCAAAAGTGTCTTGCCTCCCCAATGGCTGAGATGAAGACCTGTGGCCCTTCCAAGCTTCTCCCTGTTCTTCGTGCTACATGTGCTGTGCTGGGGACAGGAATGACCATGACAGGGCCCGGTGTCTTGCAGACTATGATGCTGTGCTGACAGAAGCCGGCGATTACACGGCCAAGTACATGAAGCTTCGAGACTTCTTCGGCTCCATCTCAGGTACCCAGCAGACAGCAGACTCAAGTTCCAACTCAGGCCCTCGCTTCTGCTCTCAGACCCCTAAAGAGTTACTTCCTTACTGTCCCACCTCGACCCCAGTTGATCTGCGTGCAAGAATATCCTAGACAAGGACAGGGAGGTGTGTGAGGCTGTTTCCATCTTGCCGGCTTCACCTGTTACAGGTGTTAACGCTCCTTATCTCCTGTGGAGGACGGGAGAACGCCCTGGCTTTCCCCCAGGCCTGGCCTTCCTCCCTGGCCTCAGCAGGTGCTGAGAGCTAGCCTGTTGTTCCTCTTGGTGCTGGGACGCAGGAGCACATCGGGTCTGTGGATGGGAGCCGGGTGGGGAGGACGAGCAGGCAGTGACATTTGGGTCCGTTGGGGGTGACCCTGTTTTCTGTGTTGCAGGCATCCCTCTCCCTCCCCCACCTGACCTTCTTCCCAAGATGCCGTATGAGCCCTTAACGCCAGTCTTGTACCTGTCTCTGTGGGACGCCCTCAAGTACCTGGGGGAGGTGAGTGCTGTGGGCAGTCATCGGGAGGTGAGTGAGTGCCGGGGGCAGTCGTTGGCAGGGAGGTGAGTGCTGGGGGCAGTCGTCGGCGGGAGGTGAGAGTCGTCGGGGCAGCAGGGCCTGGAGCCCCTCCAGACAGGGAGTGTGGGGGGAGGCAGGCCAGTGCCTGGTGGCTCTGGGGTCTGCTCTCCGGCCTTGGAGCTCAGAGGGAAGAGGACAGACTCATGCTGGAGTGTGAAGTGGGAGAAACAGAGGTCCCTGAGGAACAGCGGCTGGCCCCGTGGGCCTTTCCTTCCTCCAGCCTCAGAGAGGAGAGTGAGGGGCAGAGGAACAGGCCGTCCCCTCCCCAAGAAGGGGGTGCCTCCTCCGGCGGACTGAGGCTGTGATGTGTGTCCCCTGCCTGCGGACTGCACTCTGCTGGTGCACACCCCTTTGCCCCACTCCTCTTCCCCGTCACCCTGGAGAGTTGTATGTTTAGTGCAATGAGAAGTCAAAGTAGAAAACACCCACCAAACCTCCGCTTCCACCCCATGTGCCAGCCCCCAGGCAGAGTCTGTCTGTGACCCCACTCCTCCTGAGCCTGCCCACCCCTCCATCTCTTCTGTACGCAGCCAATCAAGTCTGAAAAGCCCATCAACATGGAGAACCTGCCAGTCAATGGGGGAAATGGACAGTCCTTCGGGTACATTCTCTATGAGACCAGCATCACCTCGTCTGGCATCCTCAGTGGCCACGTGCATGATCGGGGGCAGGTAGGAGCTTCTCTTCTAAATTCCTGTGACCTTCTGGTGAGCAGCTCTGCAATAGGCGTCTCATGCCCTCCCCTCAGAATCAGCTCTTACCAGTGTGTGACAATGGCCCTTCTGAGTCAGCTCTGTGAGCCTTCAGGGGGCATTCATGTCTGCTCTGCCCACTGGCCCCTCGTCTGCCTACAGGCACGCGTGCTGCCCTTCTTGGCCTGGAGGAGGTCCCGCTTACCCTCCTCCTGTTGGTCATGGATGTTCCTGCCTGTTCCCTTTGGCAGGTGTTTGTGAACACAGTATCCATAGGATTCTTGGACTACAAGACAACGAAGATTGCTGTCCCCCTGATCCAGGTTCGTTGTTTTTGGGAGCTGGGTGATGGCTAGCCCCCGCTGCTTCGAGGAAGTCTGGGGGCAGTCACTGAGGAAAACCTGGGAGACCCGTGGCTCCTTACCCACAAGCTGTAGGTGGAGAGGGCGAGTGTGGCTTTCTGCCCAGCTGGGATGTACACTCCCATCCCCAGAGCGTAGGGAAGAACTGGGGTCCACAAGCAAATTCTGAGGGGCAGCTGTGGCCTTCTGACAGTCATCGTTAGCCCCGTGTTCCCGGCAGGGTTACACCGTGCTGAGGATCTTGGTGGAGAATCGTGGGCGAGTCAACTATGGGGAGAATATTGATGACCAGCGCAAAGGTGGGTCCCAGAATGTGTCAAAAGAAGAGTGGCCATGCTGGACACACAGGTGGCTATTGCTTCTCTATGCTAGCAGGCCACCAGGCCATGGAGGCCTCTTGCAGGGAGGTGGAGGCTGGGTTGTCCCATACATGAGGCCAGTTCTGAGTGGGCCAGAGAAACTCCGCTGGGCTGTGGCCCCTGTCCTGTTAGCACTGCACGCGTGCATCGTCTGCGTGCTCGTGATAAACACTGTGAACACTGAGCTGGCCTCTTGTCTCCCCTGGGCTGCAGTCGGTTTCTGCAAGGATGTCTGCTTGGGGGGGCGGCAGTGAGGAGCAATGAATGTGATTTCCAGGAATCCAAGGAAAGGCACAAGACCCCTGCCTTCTTGGGCCTCCACACTGAAGTTCTCTTCTTGATCCATCTTGGGAAAGCTTATCTCAGATGTTGGGGGAGGAGGATGCGGGACATACAGCAAACAAAACACCTGTTGGTAGCGTACCCCTCTGGGAATAGGCCGCCAATTTGCTTTATGTTTCCTGGCCTACTAAATCTTTTATGCTTTAATTTAGCCCTTCCTTTTTTTTTTTGAGACGGAGTCTCGCTCTTTCACCCAGGCCAGACTGCAGTGGTGCAATCTCGGCTCACTGCATGCTCCACCTCCCGGGTTCATGCCATTCTCCTGCCTCAGCCTCCCGAGTAGCTGGGACTACAGGCGCCCGCCACCGTGCCCAAATTTAGCCCTTCCTTTTTAAAAAAAATCTAGCTAAATGTGGGTGGTTTCAGGTAAGTTATAAAAAAAGAACTCAGAACAAAATGAATGCGACTGTGGTGAGCAGCACCGGTGACCTCCCAGCTCTCTCACGGTGTCTGCGTTTGTGACGGAGGAAACTTGAAGAGCTCTTATTGGTCCACATTTCCTCCGAGAGCCGTCTGGTGGCCTGCCAGGAAAGCCACGTGGCCCAGACACTGGGGCCTGGATCCTGGGGATCAGGGCCCTTCTAGATGGGCCTCAGAGCGGCATCTAGCACCACCCAGGCCCACACTCCTTTACCCTAGACAGCTCCCTCTCTGGGCCTGTCCTCACTTCTGTTGTTCTCCTGGGAGTTGGAAGGAGCACCAGCCTGACCATTGTTCCTAACTTTGCTTCCCTGAGCCCTTGTTGAGGGTCCCCTGGGCCCACACTGTGGAGTCCTGTCCTCTGGATCACAGTTCAATGTTTATAAGTCACAGACCTCCCTTGAGAAATGCGCGTGCCCACATAGACCCGCACCTGCCATTTCGGAGTCTGTAGGCCCTGCAAAGCCTCTCCACAGTCCTCGGCCTCCAAATTCCCAAGCTAGCCACTCAGCAGCTCTGTAATCTGAGACTGGCAGGGCTGGCCCGGCCCCGGGACACTGATGAGTGGCTCCTCAAGAGGACACATCTCTTCCCTGTTGGATGCCCGAGGGAGGGTGCCATCTGCTCACAGTCCAAACACTCCTAATGCACAGCTTTAATCCTAGGTGGCAGAGATGATTCTGGCTGAGTTATTAGGTCTGTGTAGCTTGGGCCCCACTGAAACTGGCCCTGCAGCTAGGCCAGAACCCTCTCGGTCATCTGGAACTTCCTTCAGAGAGAGGCCAGAGGTTGTTCTCGCCCTGTAACACCTCAGCTCTATATCCTTCCCATGGCAAATCTTAGGGTCTTCCTCCTTCCCGTCCCCCACAGAATTGCTAGGGAGCTTTGCTTGCAAGCGAACGGCTTCCCAGGGAGCGTACACTTCAGTACCCCTCACCCCAGCTTCTCAGGGAGCGTACACTTCAGCACCCCTCACCCCAGCTTCCCAGGGCTTCCCCTCGTGGCCCCGGCCCAGCTGACTCGGCCCCTGCCTTTGGGCTACCCACGTGTCCTGCCTCCCTCCCACAGGCTTAATTGGAAATCTCTATCTGAATGATTCACCCCTGAAAAACTTCAGAATCTATAGCCTGGATATGAAGAAGAGCTTCTTTCAGAGGTGGGTCCCTGCCCAGCACCAGCCCTTGCACTCACAGGTATAGTGCTGTGTGGTGGGGCCCAGGGGTCCCTGGTGCACCGTGGCCTGGCCCGCACCCAGGTGTGAACGCCTCCAGGGGCCAGATCGGCTGGCCGAGGTGAGGGGTGGCACCCGCACTAGAAGCCGCATTTGCAGACTAGGAATTCCCAGCATCCTACCGTGCTGCCATTCTGTGTCCTGGTTAAGAGGCGGGGGGCCTTGGATGGGGAAACGGTGTCAGGGCCTTTTATTTTGCTTTATTGTGCTGGTGGATTGAGAAGGGCCTCCTCCCTCTCCTTCTCTGTGTTCTGTCCTTAGGTTCGGCCTGGACAAATGGAGTTCCCTCCCAGAAACACCCACATTACCTGCTTTCTTCTTGGGTAGCTTGTCCATCAGCTCCACCCCTTGTGACACCTTTCTGAAGCTGGAGGTTGGTAACGCCCTTTTCCCTGCCAGTTTCTCCCACCTGCCTCCCGCCTTGGAGGGCTCTGAGCCAAAGCCACGAGCTTGGCGAGAGTCGTTGGTGGCTTCTGTGCCCAGAGGGTCTGAGAGGGCCGCTGGGGCCTCCCTGGGCCAGAGGAGTGGGTTCCCAGCAGAAGAAACACCTCATGCACTAGGGGGACAGGAAATAGAGCATCCCACCTGCCCACCCTCATGGCTGTCCAGACACAGCTCGCTTTGGTCTCCTGGACCTGAGAGAAGCACGCATGCATGTCTCCCTCCACTTTTGCTGTGGCTCTCGTGGTAGATGAACACCCTTCCCCTCTGTTTCAAGGGCTGGGAGAAGGGGGTTGTATTCATCAATGGCCAGAACCTTGGACGTTACTGGAACATTGGACCCCAGAAGACGCTTTACCTCCCAGGTCCCTGGTTGAGCAGCGGAATCAACCAGGTGGGAGCTTCCAGCCCCTTCCTGTTCCCCATGACGCCCTGCCCACCTGCCGTCCCAGGGAGCCTTCGGTCAGGGTGGAGGGGCGTGTCAGCGGGTTCTTCCTCCCTCCTCCTCGCTGCAGACGAGTTGTTGGTCCCTGTCCCTTCCAGCCTGGTTCCCAAACCCTTTCCTTCTGACCCTGCCACCTCTCAGCACCTCCCCTGGCTCCAGGACAGACGTCAGCTGCCCTCCCAGCCGGGCCCTCTCTCCACAGGTCATCGTTTTTGAGGAGACGATGGCGGGCCCTGCATTACAGTTCACGGAAACCCCCCACCTGGGCAGGAACCAGTACATTAAGTGAGCGGTGGCACCCCCTCCTGCTGGTGCCAGTGGGAGACTGCCGCCTCCTCTTGACCTGAAGCCTGGTGGCTGCTGCCCCACCCCTCACTGCAAAAGCATCTCCTTAAGTAGCAACCTCAGGGACTGGGGGCTACAGTCTGCCCCTGTCTCAGCTCAAAACCCTAAGCCTGCAGGGAAAGGTGGGATGGCTCTGGGCCTGGCTTTGTTGATGATGGCTTTCCTACAGCCCTGCTCTTGTGCCGAGGCTGTCGGGCTGTCTCTAGGGTGGGAGCAGCTAATCAGATCGCCCAGCCTTTGGCCCTCAGAAAAAGTGCTGAAACGTGCCCTTGCACTGGACGTCACAGCCCTGCGAGCATCTGCTGGACTCAGGCGTGCTCTTTGCTGGTTCCTGGGAGGCTTGGCCACATCCCTCATGGCCCCATTTTATCCCCGAAATCCTGGGTGTGTCACCAGTGTAGAGGGTGGGGAAGGGGTGTCTCACCTGAGCTGACTTTGTTCTTCCTTCACAACCTTCTGAGCCTTCTTTGGGATTCTGGAAGGAACTCGGCGTGAGAAACATGTGACTTCCCCTTTCCCTTCCCACTCGCTGCTTCCCACAGGGTGACAGGCTGGGCTGGAGAAACAGAAATCCTCACCCTGCGTCTTCCCAAGTTAGCAGGTGTCTCTGGTGTTCAGTGAGGAGGACATGTGAGTCCTGGCAGAAGCCATGGCCCATGTCTGCACATCCAGGGAGGAGGACAGAAGGCCCAGCTCACATGTGAGTCCTGGCAGAAGCCATGGCCCATGTCTGCACATCCAGGGAGGAGGACAGAAGGCCCAGCTCACATGTGAGTCCTGGCAGAAGCCATGGCCCATGTCTGCACATCCAGGGAGGAGGACAGAAGGCCCAGCTCACATGTGAGTCCTGGCAGAAGCCATGGCCCATGTCTGCACATCCAGGGAGGAGGACAGAAGGCCCAGCTCACATGTGAGTCCTGGCAGAAGCCATGGCCCATGTCTGCACATCCAGGGAGGAGGACAGAAGGCCCAGCTCACATGTGAGTCCTGGCAGAAGCCATGGCCCATGTCTGCACATCCAGGGAGGAGGACAGAAGGCCCAGCTCAGTGGCCCCCGCCCCCCACCCCCCACGCCCGAACAGCAGGGGCAGAGCAGCCCTCCTTCGAAGTGTGTCCAAGTCCGCATTTGAGCCTTGTTCTGGGGCCCAGCCCAACACCTGGCTTGGGCTCACTGTCCTGAGTTGCAGTAAAGCTATAACCTTGAATCACACCCCCTCTGGTGATAGTCTCTGGTCATGTGTGCCACTCTTGCCAGAAGGGAAGGCTGTCTGAGAGCTTGGTTTTCTTGGTCAGGTTCCCATTGGGCCCCACTTGCCGCCTGGGGGTCCAGATGGGGACCGTCCCTGGGGTGGGTGGGCCATGATCCTGGCCTCATATTCCCCTCCTGACCCCGACTTCCCTTCAAATGTCTCTGGATTGGAAGTGCCCTGGAGAGGACAGTTCAAATGCAAATTCATTCTCATGCTGGTGGGCGGGGGTAAGAATCTGCCAGGCAGTCAAGGGCGCTCCATATGAGTTAACTGCGGGGTTGAGTTTTGCTTCACAAACTACATCTGGCATCTACTGCCAAAACCAAATTATCTCCAGTAAGAGTCAGAAAGTCAAGTAGCACACACATCCCCGGCACAGCGAGAGCTCTGGGAGCCCCGTGAAGGTGGGCTGGGGGATGGTGAGCCGTGGAGCTCACTGAGGCCAGCAGGCTTGCTGCCCGTGTGTGGCTGCCCAGGGGGAGTGCAGGGGACATTCGTGGTGTGCAGCCCAGCAGCTGAGCCGGGTCAAGGGCTTATTAAATGGAGCTTATTAAAGGAAAGCTTGTGGACAGTGGCTTGGGAACAACATGGGGCAGAGTCCCTGGTTTTGCCCAAACTCACCAGTTCTTCTGGAACTGCCTCGGAACGACAAGCATGGGGCTAAGATGTGGATGAGACTCGGGCTACTTGGGTGTGGCCTGAGCCACCTGCAGGGTCTTCTGCCCCGCTTTACCTGAGTGTGTGCTTCTGCAGAGCTGTGTATGAGCTGGTTCCGTCAGAAAGTGATGGAATGGAAGGGAACCTTCCTGCAAATCCTCCTGTAAGGTGGAGAAGCCCCTTGGATCACACTTCCACGCAGACCTGAGCAGGACACACTGTGGTTTCCTAAGGTGAGGTCTTCCTACACCAGCTTCTTATTCTCACCCTTATTTTCTGCCAGTTAATTGCTCAGCTTCTCTATCAAAGTACCTCTTGGCAGAGCTTATTCTCCAGCGTTGACTAAAGATGTTTCCATTATCTTCCACACGGTATGGCCTCATCTAGGTCTCTTTGGAGAATCCCTCTTCATATCCAGCCTCTGAATGCTGGGGGTCTCTGGCCCACTCCTTGGGCTGTTTCTTTCCTCTGTCCACACTCACTGCATAGGGTCTCACCCGTGCACCTGTGGTTTGTAAACAGGTTGGACACCCGCGCCCGCCGATGCTGGGCTGCACCTGAGCTCCAGGTGTGTGGGGGCGCATTTTCTTCTGCATGTGTCTAACAGGCACCTGACACAGAGCTCCATTTCCCCACATTACCCCTCCTGCACGCAGCCCTGTATCTGGAAATGGCAGTGCTGTTCTGTGTCTCGGGCTATTTTGGACCCCTCTCTTTATCTCCCACATCCAATCCAGCAGCAGATCCTCCTGGCTCTGCCTCCTAAACTTGGCCAAAATTTGACTGCTTCTCTCTGCCCCAACCCCATGCCCCCACTCAGCCCACTGCATCTTGGCCTGGATGATTCCAGGAGCCACGTCTCCACCTGCCCTTGCCCTCTCCATTTATCCTCCGTGGAGGAGCAGGGCAGTTCTTCTTAGAGATGGATAGATTATGTTAGTCCTCCGTACTGGACCCCCTATTGCCTTCTGGTTTCACCCGGTGCCTGGGGACTCCCTTCTCCCACGCCCACCACATCCCTCACTGCTGTTGCCCCCAGCAGCCCCCGCCCCGTCAGTTGAGCCCGATGGCCTTCCTGCTGATCTGTAAGCAGGCTGAGCAACGCTTGTTCCGCCTGGTGGAGAGTTCGTTCTTCTTGGGCCCGGGGAGCTGCATGTCAGGGTGTTGCTGCTTCGCTCAAGGGTCACTTATCACGGAGGCCTCTGTGGTCACCCTACAGAGCACTGACCCTCTCCACTGCTACCTCTGTCTCCCCGACTCACCCTCATCCTCCATACAACAGATTGCATCTGAAATAATATGCATTCGTTATTGCCTGTCTCCTCTCGTCAGTGGGTCAGTTCTTTGAAAATGAGAGCCTTGTTTTCTCACTGCTGTGTGTCGGCTCCTAGAATGATGCCTGTTCATAACAGGCACCTGATACATACTTGTTGGGTAGCTAAATTAATAAATGAGAACAAAATAAGGCAGGGCTGAAGAGGATTAGGACTGTTAAAAACTGTATTTGACTTTTAATTTTGAAAGCAAATTAAATACAGTTAAATTAAAACAGACCAGATGCAGCTGCCTGGGTGCCACCCTCACCCCAGCCTCTGTTCTTAGAACTCCTAGCCCCTGGCCTCACTCCTGTGTGGTGGGGCTTGCCAGCGAGGGAGCAGGGAACAGACTGGGTTTGGAAAACAGTGGTCATCATGGACCCATTTCTGATTTATAACAAACTCATTCCCAATAAAGATGAAGGCTGCAGTCCACCAGGGTTATAATTATAAATAAATATACATGCAGCTAAAAGAGGATATTAGGTGAAAACAACTGACCTAGCATCTGCCCAAAGAAGTCCCCATTTTGTTGTTCATTATCAAAGTCCTGAAAATGAACCCTAGGTTTTTGGCTAAGAAGGTGGCCTCAGACCAGCCAAGCTGACCTTGGCACTTGGCTGGCTTCTGTGAGGCAGTAGAGTGCCCACACATAAGCTCACCACCTGTGCCCACCTCCTCCCTTCTCTCCCATGCCACCCCACTTGCTTCCAAGGGCTTGGTTTCCAAAGTGACATCCAGGGTGTAAGAGGTTGGGGAAAACGTCCTGCAAGGTGGCTCAGGGATCTGATTCCATCAGATGGTCTCATGAATACTGTGGGAGATTAAATCCATCTCAAAATAGGCAACCAATGCTATATTCTGAATGTTAGGTCTCTGGACTGAGTCCCACCCACCCACCCACTCAGGAGTGGGTTCTGAATGGCCCTCAGACCTCTCCTGGTGAGTCTTAATGGGGTGGGAGGCTGTTAGTTAAAAAATAAACACCTCTTCAGTAGGCTGGGGCCCTTTCCTTTTCCTCCACTTGGGGGGAAAATTGTGCTTCCAACTTGCAGGAGAATGAGCCGGATCACCACTAGAGAGCCCGGCTGGGCCAGGGGGTCAGAGCCCTTTCCAGTGGGCCCCAGAGGCCTGGGGAGGGCAGGAGTTTGAGGCACACTGTTCTTTCTCCAGGATGGAAAGTGGACAGCTGGACATGAGGTGGGCTAGCTCTGCATGCTCCTGACTTAGGGAGAAATAACATTTTCTTTCCCTTTTTTGTGTTTAGAATAATTTCCAAAGCAGTGTGCTCAGGCCTCCCTCCTGCTCAGTGTCCCAGCAGCCCCTGCCCCCTCTTTCCCAGCCCCTCTGCTACTCCAGAGTCCCTCCTCCTCAGACCAGGGGCAGGAGGGAGTTAGGGAATGGCCTTGGCCTCCCTCCTCTTTCCAGGCTGCAGGAGGTCCCACCTTGCCCACCACCCACCGCCTTGCCCACTGCCCACCATGGGCTCACTCCACCCTGAGGTCTGTGGCTCTGAAGAGCTGCAGGAAAAGGCGCTTTCCCTCCCCAGTCCAGTCCAGGCGAGGGGCCTAGCAGCCGAGGTGGGCGGTGGGGAGGCAGTGTGTGGACAGTGGGGCCGTGGGGTTCTTAGTCCAGGTCAGGCAGTGACCTGTGCTGGCTCTAGAGCCTACCCCTTTGCCACTGCTGGAGGAGAAGGGGTAAAGGAAGAGGGGCCGGAGGGGGGGACTCTGCTCCCGCCACAGCCTGAGGTACAGGGGGTGCCTATTAGGCCCAGGCTCCCCCCATGCAGGGCTGGGTGCCTGTTGGGATCCAAGACAGCCTTATGCTCTGTAAACGTGAACCAGAGGAGAGCCACAGAGGTATGTCTGATTTGGGGGCAGCTCTCGGGAAGAGCAGGGGCCCAGGAGAGGAGCAGAGCGCTCGTGATGCCCGTGGGCTGCTCTCTGGTCTTCAGAATTCCCTGGCTGGGTGTCCTGTGTGGTCGTGCTGAGCCCAGGGACAGGGAGCCAGGGAGGGCCATGCTCCACTTGACTGCGGGGTCTTCTTATCTCCCTCCCGCCCTGCATCACTGCAGGGCCAGTGTGGGCGCCCACTGCACCTGCTCCTGCAGCCCCGTCAGTGCGGGGAGCTCTGGGGAGGTGCGCTGGAGCACCAGCTTGGCTGGTGCTGGACACCCCACCCTGGCCATCAGGTCTCTCGGGCCCTGGTCACGCTGGATGGAGAGAACAACAGGTCTGGGATTTCTGTGCTTAAATTCTCTGTCCTTTGTTCTGGCATCAGGCTGGGCTCTCTCAGAAGCCCCCAGAATAGAAAGGAGGGTGATGGTGATTCCTTAGGAGTCGGCCTTGGAGGGACCATCAGCCGTGGGGAGAGGATGGAAGGCCAAGAACAGGGTCTGAGGAGGAGGCTCCTGTGAGGGGAGAGGAGGAATGAGTGAGGTGTCGGCTGAGGGTGGGGCCGGGGAGGGAATGGCCAGGCAGGGCCACCAGGACCTCTGCAAAGCCCAGGCCCCCAGGTCCTGTGGGGGCCTTTCTGAGGGGCAGGTGGGGAAGGTGCTTCCAGTGAGGGCAGTGAGGGCAGGAGGCAGAAGTGAGGCTCGGTACAGATGCATTCTAAGTGGCGCTGGCCAAGGTGACTGAGTGACACCCTGTGGTCCTCTGCGGGCAAACACAATACAGAAGCTATTGCTTAGCTCCAGGGCAAGAGGACAAATGTCTGTCTCAGGCCTCAACCTCTGTTTGGCATAACCTAGAGTAGGGAGTCAGGAGTACCAGCTGCTTTTAAGAGACAGGATAAGATCACAGAAAAGCCCCTGAAAATGCCTGGCTTTGCCAACCACCCAGCACAATTCACTCGTGCCAGTGTGTCACCTTGGAACATTCATTTAGCTTCTCTCAACATCATTTCTTTGCTTCTGAAGTGTAGGTGGATCCTGTGGCCTACTTCCAGAGAGGGCTTTAAAGACTTGAATAAAAATAGCCACACTGATGAGATTTAAGTGCCATGAACTGTTCTAGGTGCTCTCAGCAACCTACTTCACAGATGAAGAAACTGAGGCCCAGAAAAGTCAAGTCAGGTCAAACAGTGAAGAGCAGGGGTCCTGGGAGCTGAGGTGGGCTCTGGGTCCGTGCTGTCACTCTGCGCTACCTCTCACTATGACAGCCGTGGGCTCATTGCTGTGGAGCAGCGAGTCCGTGAGTCCTCACCATGGCCACGTGGTGAAGGAATCCACAGGGGAAGAGGCAGACTTGGGGGGACAGACGCTGGCCAGCGAGAGTCTGAATGGCAGTGCCTTGTGGGGTGCAGGCGTCACTGCCAGCAGAAAAATCAGCAAGATGTTTGGAAGGTGACACCCTCTGAAGAGTCTGGTGGCAGAAGGACCCAGCTGCGTGGGTGAAAGTTAATGCCTGGATACTTTCAGGTGGCCCAGTGGGAAGGGGACTGTGGTGACGACGCCCTCCACTCCTGCCCACATCTGCCCTGTCCTCCACAGTGAAAGCCCAAGAGGAAAAGAATGAGACAGTTGATTCGGCCCAACCTGGTGCCGCCCTGCCCAGTGTGTGGCCCACCCTCGTCATGCCCATACCTGCATCCTGAGGCTCAGATCTCCACCGAGGGGTCAGTGAAGCCCTTCTTGCCCTCATTCACCAGCACTGGCTTCTCTGTCCGTGTGTGCCACACCAGGATCTGTGTGCCCAGAGATGCAAAACATGGTGGGACAGGCCCCTGACCTCACTCTGCTGCCTCCCTGCTCCCTCCCACACTGTGTAAACATTTCTCCTGCCCCTCCTTTTCCTTCGAGAGTTTTTCAATTGTTCCATCAAGATTTTCTCAATTGTTTTTTATTTATTTTCTGTGGCTCTCGACTACCCCCTCATTTTTGCTGTTTTTACATGTGATGCCTTCGGAATACCTGCTGGAAATGGGAAGTCTAGAACTACAGAAAAGAGAAGCCCCAAGACTTCCCAAGTGTGTGTGTGTGCATACGTATGCATGTTCATGTGCATATGTGTATATGTGCATGTCTGTGCATGTTCACCTGCATATATGTGTGCATGTGTGTGCATCTGCATGTGTGTGTGCGCACATGTGTGCACGCGTAGGCATGTGTGTGTGCATGAGTGCTCAGCAGGGAGGTGCTGGAGCACGGCTGTTCTGTGGGAGGTTATAACTCCCCAGTGGCCATTGCTCTCCCTTTCCCTGCCTGTCCGCAGTGTCGCTGCCTTACAGGTGATACACTGCCTTCCTGGGAGGGGGTTCCAGAAAGCCCAGGCTATTTTGAGGCCTCTGTTTCCTTCTCCCGATCTGTAGGGAGGGTCTGGATGTACTTGAGACATTGCATCACAGCTGTCAGTTCTGCGGAGGGTCTCACCTTGGTGCAGTTGGCTGCCTTGGGCTCCAGGTCGTTGAGGGTGACAAGTTCTCGAAGGAGGCTGCTTTCCTGGTAGCCTCCCTTCACACCTCGCAGCTTGAAGTAGGCCTGGCTTCGCTGCAGAATGAGCCGCAGGTTGACGGCAAATCCAGCCATGTCTATTGCAAATGGCCGGTGGGGGTCAAACACCGTCTTCCAGCCGACCACCTTCCCTGCCCCGTTCACCCGTGGGGCCTCGTACCGCAGGCCACCCACGAAGGCGACGGGCCACACGGACACCCTCCTGGTGCTGCGCATCTACAAGGGGGGGGTCCAGAGTCAGGGCGCCGGCACTGCAGATGAGGACGGCCGCGCGTGCCCAAGGGAGGCGACATCCTTCAGCCACCTCTATCTATGCCCATGGCCAGCCGCGGCCACCTAGGGGGTGTCCAGTACAGCCCTGCCCCCAGGACCCATCCCATGGGTTGGGCACCTGAGAAGAACCTGCCCTGGGCTGCCGGGGACACCTGACCTCTCAGACGGCCTGGTCTTCCCCTTCTCAGCGTGGCCCTGCTGCTGTTTTCTCCCTTGTCTAAAACCTTTCAGTCTCCCCGCTCTAGAGTGTGAAGTGACTCCCCTTGTCCCCGAGACTAACACAGCCCATATACTCAGGCGAGCTCCAACTGTTCCACCTAAGAGGTTTCTGGTAGTCACGCAGAATGACCTACTCACAAACCCATTCAGGAGATACCTCTAGGGCCAGGAATATGGTTTAGGGGCTCCAGAGCCACCTGTCTTCCCCCTAACTTGTGGGGGATGCTTTAGCCCGCAGTTCCATCCCTTTCCCTGGCTCTCTGCTGCCTGCCCCGCTCCCAGCCCGGCTTCCCGGGTTCCCCCTGCGCGCGCCTCCGCACCCACACCCCCTTCTCGGGAAGCCCCTCCACTCCCCGCAGCCGGAGGTCCCGCTGCTCACTGTCGGGCCCTCCCTCACCTCTTCGAAGAGCTCCAGGCTGTAGGTGTTGTCGTCGTCGGCGAAGTAGACCACGCCAGGCTGGCTGGAGTTGCGCGGGAAGGTCTCGCGCAGCCAGCGCAGGGCCAGGTTGCGCTGCATGGTGCCCCGCGGGATGCGTGGGTCGCGGGCGTCTCCGCGCAGCTTGTAGTTGCGGGGCGTCTCCACGTGCAGGTGCGTGTAGTTGAGGCCGGTGTCGCGCAGCAGGCGCGCGGTCAGCGGCGTCCGGCGCGGCGCATCCTCCACCACCAGCCAGTGGAGGTTGGGCACGTGCAGCAGCGTGTTGGCCATGCGCGTCAGCTCGGCCTTCTGCACCGGGCGGCTGTAGGTGGGCGTCACCACGTGGATGGTGGGCAGCGTGTCGGACCATGGCGGGGGCCGCGTGTACACGTACTCGGTGCGCACCACCTCCACGATGTCGCGGTCAGACGTGCAGTACTCCCTGGGGTCGGCGCCGGGCGGCGTTTCGCGTCGGGGGTCACTGCCCTCATCTGCGGAGTCGGGAGACCGGCGATGTGGGAGGAGAGCGCCGGCTACGGCCCTGGATTCAGAGCGGGACGCCACCCACCCTGCCAGGGCACCCTCCTCCTCCCCCGCTGCAGGGGCTGCTCAGACCCCCGCCTTGCCTGACCTGTTAGCTCTAAGGTTGAAATCTGCAGCCCTGGAATCCTCTCTGGGAGGGTCCTAGCTCTGATGACACAGACATAACCTCTTCCTTCCCACCTTTGCAGCCCTCTAGCTATTTGAGCGCAGTTGCCCATATTCCAAGATTGCATCCTCAGTTCCTGAATGTGCTGACTTTCCTATGAAAAGGCGTCCCGACCCTCCCCTCCCTAGCCCTACTCATCTGGAGGGAGCTGGCCACACTGCCCTGTGCAGGGCTGGGCTAGCAGAGCACGTGGCACTGCCCCGCTGTGGTGTGGACGCCACAAAGCCCCAGGGCCGCAGCACTGCGGCAGCAACCAGGGCCCACTGTGGGCCCGCAGGAGCCTGAGGCAGCTCCCGGAGTTCTCAAGCCCTCCAGTCAAGCGGGGCCTCTTCCCTCCTGGCCTTACGTAAGGCATTCTCTGAATCTCGGTGCAGAACTTCCTATTTCACCGCATTTTATTCTCGTGGGTTTTGCCCATAGTTGCCAAGGTATATGTAGATCTAGCAGTCCTAGCAAGAGGAGAAATCAGGGCCATTGGGATTCTTGTTTTCCATGCGTCCCTTCTCTCCAAATTCTGTCCTTCCATCGGAAGGGCTCATGCACCAATGACGGTGTGGCCCTCCTGTCCTAGCTTACCGTCGGGTGGTAAAGGTAAGAAATCCCGGTGCCTGGGCTGAGACCCTGCCCACTTCTGCCGTTACGAACCCTGTGCCCTTGAGCAAGCTGCTTAGCTTCTGGCGCCTCAATTTCAGCAACTGTAAAATGGAGCTAATAATAGCATCGAACTTATCGAGTTATTATGTGGATTAATGAGTCCACAAGGGCTGAGAGCACCGCCAGGCACAGTTTCCTCTCTTGCGGAAGGGCAGTGGCCAACTCTGCTTCCTTCTGGCTTCAGGCAATCGGTGGGGACAGAACCAGCAAGTCACACCAAAGGGGAGGACCCCGGGCATCAGCTCTTCTGCTGCCTCCCTCCGGCCACTGTCATCGGCAGCATGTGGGGTGTGTGGCACGCTAGCGTGGAGCTCATCTGAACGGACCCAGGAGGCCTGCTCGTGGCTCTTCAGGAGTTCTCATGGGCAAATGGCACCAGGCACACAGCAATTGCTGAGGGTCGGGGGAGGAAACCAGCACACACGCAGTCGCTCAGAGGGGGCTGCTTAGAGGAGTCTGGGGTCAAACTGTGAGAAGAGCAACGTGGAAGAAAGCGGGATGGGTGTCTAGGGTTCTGACCTAGACAGAGGACTTAATTCATCCTATGGGCAGTCAAGTTTTGGAAACTGAGGCCTTGAGAGGAAGTTTGGAGCCACTTTGTCCACCTCTCTGCCACCCAAATCATCCCAAGGCCGCAGAGGACCTGTGCCCTTGGACAGTCCCCATACATTAGGGCACGGCTACTGCGTGTGCTCCTGGGCTTCGCCCTTCCCATTGGCTTCAGGGCGTCTGCAATTTTGGGTCCTAAAGGCCTCCTGGTGACCCTAACTTCACTCAGCTGCAGCTTTCATTCGCTTGCTCTTGGCATGCTCTGGGGAGACAGAATGCCAAGTCCCCAGCCTCAGGCAGCACCATCAGTGCTTAGCAAACAGCCTGACGTCTCCAGCGCTGGAGCTCTGCCAAGAACGCAATCGACACGATATCATGTCGCTTTATATATAGTAGTTTTAACCCCTCTGGAGTGATGTATTTGCAAGATAACAATGATTCTGAACTGACAAGCACAGAGAAGAGGCCCTAGGGTCGGGAGGAGAGGATGATGTCAGGAAGACAGGCGCCAAGTGCCAGCCACGGGCAGTGGGCTGCCGCAATGTTGAGCTTGGCCCTTCCTCATGGAAGCTTCAGGAACAGCTATGGGTTTGCAGGACTTGGTATTTGACTGTGAGGAGCAGCACGACTTCAGGCTGTGATTTTTGGACACTGCCTGCATCTTGGGGTTACAGGCACTCACCACCTCTCTCTGCATGGGCTTGGTGCTGCCTTCTTGTTTATCACACTGCCAGGTGGTATCATGCACGCTGCAAACGAACAGCTGCCTGACCCCACGTGAGCCTGTGCATGTAAGTGGGGGAGGGGGCAGAAAAGCACGAGACAAAGTGCTGAAGAGCTGGGGCAGCCAGCTGTGGGGTGCGTGGCAGGTTTGGGAGTGAGAGGGAAAGGCGACCCAGGACCCAGAGCCAGGGGAAAGGAGTTCTACCCCTAGTTCTTCCACTAGTTCTTCACGGGACTTTTCCTCTCTCCAGCCCTATTTCCACCAGGTAGCACTAGATCAGGGTTTCCTACACAGGAAAAGAAGAGAGGCAAACAATATACTCTCTGTGAAAGGGTTTAAAACACACTGCAGGCCAGAAATCCTATTCCTCCCCCACCATCCACTTCAGAATGGTCGCTTTCCTTGCATGTCATGAAATGGCATGTGAAGTTGTACATGCGTGTCTTTCTGTGTATGTGTGTGTATTAATGATGTTTGTTTTTTAAGTTTTTCTGTATTTTAAGATGCGTCGACATCTTGGGGGACTTGCAGATATGGGGAGGGACTGCCCCTCCCGGGACTAGCTAATTCCTAGTGACAGTACACACCTTGCCTGCAAACACACTTTTCATATGCAAACTACCTGATCTAGAGCTCATACCCACTACCACCTTTATGGAGCTCTCCCACCCAAGCCAATCTTCCGCTGCCCTAAACCACCCCAGGGCGATACCAGACAATTAGAAACCACACCCATATCCTAAACCCACTGACTTTCTTCAGACTATGCAATTCTGGGCCAGCTCAGCTGCCGACAGTGCTTCGCCCTTCCCTTCCTATGAAAACCACTTTCCTTCCTACCAAAACCACACTAAAGACTCCCACTCCCTCCACTTCCCACCTCCCCCTCCCTTCACTTCCCACCTCCGACCTCAGCACTTCCCCAGGGGGCAGGGCGTGCCCCCTCCTCTTGGGTGCTGAGAGTAACAAGCTCTTCTTTCAAGGCAACTGTCTTGGTGTCTGCCAACCTACCATCCCAGGCATCTTAAAACTGTGTGGGTAGCTTCCATTAGCTTCCCATTCCCAAAGGGGTGCAAGACTCATGAAGGGGCCTAGATGATCCCGTGGTTCCTCCTAGCTGCTAAGTGAGTGCAAGCAAGAACCCTGCGTGTCAGCTGTGGTCACTGTCACTACCAAGGCCCAGCTGGGCAGGCAGGGCATGCGTGCGTGCTCACCCTTATGTACCGCGAGCAGGGGTGCGAGGGTGCTCTGGTGCCAGACAGTGATGAGCAGAGTCCAGGGCAGCACGATGAGGACGATCGCTAGGATGTCCCGTCTCTTCGGCATCTCCAAGGCTGGCTGCACCCACGGCTCCTCATTACCTGAGTGGCGGTAAGTTCAGGAGAGGGGCGGCCACGGGCGGCGGCAGCACAGGGGAGAAAAGAACAGGCATGGGCCGGGCCGGCCAGGCATGGAGAGGACAGAGCAGCTGAATGTTGGCTAGCAGGTCTTACCAGCACTCACAACCCACCCATTGCGGAAGCAGGTTTGGAGAGTCCGGCCCAACTGGAGTCTGAGAAGGGGTCGCTGTCCAGGGGCAGGGGTCAGGAACCCTGGGGGGTGGACACCTGCAAGAGAGAGCAGAAGCGGATAGCCAGAGACCCAGGTATAGGAATGGATGCCAGCAAGGCTGGGCCCTGCTCTGGGACACACAGCATCGGGGGTTCCACAATGGAGCCTCAACTGTCCATCACCTGAGGACCTCTTTTGTCTGCCTGTTAGAGTGGAATGGGCTCTGTCCTTCCCACAGGCACAGGGCCATGGCTCTGCTCCATTTATGAAAGTCAGTAGGGTGCAGGGGTCAGAAGCACAGACTGCAGAGACACCAGGTTTAAATCCCAACTGTGCCACCCACAGGCTGTAAGACCTTTGCCAAGTCATTTCCGTTCTCCATGCCACAGTTTTCCCATCTATAAAATGGGGCACTGTGGATCCCTACCTCATAAGGTCATTCTCAGAATTAAACAGGGTAACTCCCGTGCAGCCCTAAAATGCCAGCTACTTATCAAAGCCTGGATAAAGGGGTGAGAGGTTTTATTTTCTCTCTCTCTTTTTTCTTTTTTTTAACCATATATGGACCACGAATTATTATATTAAAAATAATTTCAACATTTTAGATTTGGGGGCACATGTGCAGGTTTGTTATGGGTCATATTGCATGTGATGCTGAGATCTGGAGTATGATGAATCCCGCTGCCCAGGTATGAGCATAGTACCCAACAGGGCGTTTTTCAGCCGTTCTTCCTTTGAGAGTCCTCAGTGTGTATTCTTCTCATGTTTACAGTCATGAGTACCCAGTGTTTAGCTCTCACTCATAAGTGAGAATGCATCGTGTTTGGTTTTCTGTTCCTGTGTCAATTTGCTCAGGATAATGGCCTCCAGCTGCATCCAGGCTGCTGCAAAGGCCATGATTTTGTCCTTTTTTATGGCTGTGTAGTATTCCTTGCTGTATATGCACCATGTTTTCTTTACCCAGTTCACCACTGATGGGCACCTAGATTGATTCCATGCCTTTGCTATTGGGAATAGTGCTGCGATGAACATACAGGTGCAGGTGTTTTTTTTGTGAAACACTTTATTTTCCTTTGGATACATACCCAGTAATGGGACTGCTGGCTAGAATGGCAGCTCTGTTTTAAGTTCTTGAGAGATCTCCAAATTGCTTTCCATAGTGGCTGAACTAATTTACATTCCCACCAACAGAGTATACGTGTTGCCTTTTCTCTGCAGCCTCATCAGCATCTAATATTTTTTGGCTTTTTAGTAATAGCCATTCTGACTGGTGTGAGATAGTATCTCACTGTGGTTTCAATTTGCATTTTGGTGACAGTCTTTTGAGGACAAAGAAGAGATGTTTCTGGGATGGTCCCTGGGGGGAAGTACGAGAGTGCCTTCCTCTTCCGTGTCAATAGGACATCCTTGTGGAGCACCGCTCTGTGCAGGACAGAGCACCAGGTGCTGGGCTGGGCAGCAGCAAGAAGAGGGGTCCCCGCAGGGGCTGCCACATTGAGGGGAGACAGTCCTCCAAAATGAGAACAGCAGGGGGCCCAAGTGAGGAGAATGAGCCACTGGGATTCCTCAGTCCTGCAGAGGGTCCACTGGTAGCATCTCTGGGAACCGTTCTCTCACATGGCAAGGACACTGGGCGAAGAGACCTCCTGACCGCCTTGGAAACTGTCACATCCTCTTCTCCTCCCTTTTCACTTCTGTGCTGAGCACCATGCATGATGCAGCAGGGACCCGTGGGGGTGGTGGGGAGGGCAGGCAGCCTCGGGCAGCCCAGCCAGCCTCACTGTGCCCACCCGTCCCAGTGCCCAGTGTTGGATACGGACAGTACCTCACCTGGGGGCCATGCTGCCTGCTCCTGCCCCAGCTCACGTGTGCTCACCATTTCAGGCAGAGTCGAGTGCTATGGCCGAGGAGGGTTTTTAGCCCCTGAGTTTCCAAAATAGCGTGTTTTCCTCTCCTCACCGGGTCCTCTCTCCAAATAGTTCTGACGCCTGTGGAAGACCAGGATTTGTCTTCCATTAAGGAGCACTGTGGTTTCCCGGGACGGCCGGCATCCCCTCCATTAAGGAGCACTGTGGTTTCCCAGGACGGCCGGCATCCCCTGCCCACACCCCGCCATCAGAGGCCCACTCCATCCAGAGAGTCTCCCCCACCCATTCCCCGGGGAGTGGAAGACCCACTGGGGTTCAACGTCACAGGCACGTAGTTCCCCTAGTGGACATTCTAGGCCGTGTGTGTCTGTGTCCGCCCGTAAACTCCTCTTTGCTGGCCCAGTGAGGGACAGAGCCTAGAACCCCACACGGGATGCCTGCTGGGTCTTGTGGTCTGAGATGCAAGTGACTTCATGCCACATCCCCCAGATTTAGCCTGTCCCTCCACACCCAGGCCACTGCTGGGGCTGCATGGGGCTGCGTGTCAAGACACGTTTTGGTTCTTTGGCCAAGACACGTTTGGATCTTAGGCCACATCTGATGAAGGATGGGGAGGCTGGGCCTGGCTGGGGCTTCAGAAATGTCCAGGAAGATTTCTTCTGTGTTCTCAGAGACTCTCGAAGGAGCTTTCTCAAGTGCTCCTGGTGTTGGTGCAGGTTCTAATACCAGGATGGAGAAAGCCAAGGAGAGAAGATGAGTGTCCTGCCAGCTCAGTCCCTGTGGGCCACTGCCTTTCCTTTGGGGCAGCCTCTCAGCCCCCGCTTGCACTGTTGTTTATACAAACTTCCCTATAGCATGAGAGATGTCCGAAGATGAGGCTCAGCTCTTCACATGCACCTGCTCCTGCAACGTCACAGCAGCCCTGTGCAGTAGGCATGGCTGTGGTCCCTGTGGGTTCATCGAGGCCAGAGAAGGGGAGTAACTTGCCTGAGGTCAACCATTAGGAAATGGTGGAGCTGGAATTGAGTCCAGGCCATCTGGCTCTATGCTGTCATCGGGGGCATAGGATAAGAGGTCCCAGGCCTCCAAGCCTCTCGAACCTGGGCCAGGCGCAGGGTGGGTAAGGGGCACACACAGGCCAAATGCTTCCTCTGGCCTGGACCACAGCCACCCTCCTCTGCAATGGCTGCCCCCACTGCAGGGCCCTAGCACCTGCTTGGAGGCTGAAGCAGGAAGGAGGGGCGGGAAGGGAAGAGAGGGGAGGATGGGGCCTGTGGGCAAGGGTGCCGTGGGGTGCCTTCTGCTCCCATCCAGTCTTTTTGGTCAAAACATCTATGAGAGAAAAGGGAGGGGGAGAGAGGGAGAAAACCTCTAAAAATAAACTCAGCAATAAACCCAGTTGTGCATTAATTACTCTGGAAGCCATTATGGCTTGAAAACCCCATAACTTTAATGGAGGCTATTATAAGCATAGTAGCAAAATCGTGGAGCTAATTACCAGGCAGTTATCAAGCAGAACACAGAGAGCCCCCAGCCTGGAGAACGCCAGCTGGCCGGCAGGGGGCAGGTCGTGGGATGTGATGCCTGGGCTGGGCAGGGGCTTGGGGCCAGGCAGCGGGTGGGCTGCACCTGCCCCCAGCTCTGGGCCCCAGTCTGAGACGGGGCTGCAAGGTTGGCCAGCACTGGTCCCCTCTCGCAGCCTGCTGCTTCTGCCTGGGGCTTGGAGGAGGGCGGTGTTTGTCTGTGGTCGCAGGCTGTCTCTAACAAGGACCCCAGAATGGCTTCTAGGACCTTGGGTCAGGCAGAAGAATCAGCACAAAGGTGCAGGAGTGGCTTGGCCACACCCAGGAGAGCCCAGGAGATGGAGGCAAGCACGGGGAAGAATGGGGTGCTGGAGGAGGAGATGGGTGGAGGCACAAGGGGGACTTCGTGGAGAGGCAGGACGCGGCGTGGGCAGTGTGTGTGAGTGTAGGGCCCAGGCCTGCCGTGGTCACAACTCCCATCCTGACACTTGCACCATATCTGTGACCAACCTCAGATCTCAGGCGTCTCGGCAAGTAGAGACACAAAAGGCTGTGCCCTGCCCTCCCCGGGTGCCCTCAGAGCCTCAGAGGGAAGCAAGCACTTCCCTGTGGGAGAGTGGAGGGTGGTTCCCAGATGGGGAGCAGAAGCTGGGGCAGCACATGGGAGTGGGAGGGTGGCGGCCTGGACGTGTCCGGCAGGTGCTCCACGGGGACCTGGGTCATGCTGATTGCCCTCCTTGACCTCGTCTTTACAATAGGGAGGTTGAGCTGGAAGTTTCAACGATCCTGCCATTTTAGCAACTGGAGGTTACCATAGGGCTCTGCGAAGATGAAGGGATGTCCTATGTGAGGAAAGTGTAGCTCAGTGGGCACCTAGGGCCAGAGGCGAGGCAAGAGCGCCAACAAAACAGCCTCCGTGGAACTGAGTCCTGACTTAAGGGCCAGCACCCGTGGAACTGAGTCCTGACTTAAGGGCCAGCACCCATGGAACTGAGTCCTGACTTAAGGGCCCGTGGAACTGAGTCCTGACTTAAGGGCCAGTATGCCTATGGAGATCGGCCATACTGGGAACACCTCTCTGCAGGAATTTGTGGCATTTGGTTTTGTTTTGAGAGACAGGGTCTCACTCTGTCACCCAGGCTGGAGTACAGTGCCATGATCACAGCTCTCTGCAGGCTTGAGTTCCGGAACTCAAGTGATCCTCCTGCCTTAGCCTCCCAAGTAGCTGGGACCACAGGTACCTGCCACCATGTCCAGCTAATTTAAAATTCTTTTTTGTAGAGACAGGGTGTCACTATGCTGTCCAGCTGGTCTCAACCTACTGGGCTCAACAGATCCTCCTGCTTTGGCTTCCCAAAGTGCTGAGATTACAGGTATGAGCCATGGCACCTCCAGAGAGGAATTTGTCTATGGGTTTTAGGGTGCTGTGCGCTGTGAATAAGGACTAGGGGGTGTCTGGGACTCAGATGGGAAGGCTCTGATTGACCCAGGCTGGGGCAGAACATGTGAGGCTGGAGCATGTGCAGGGGTGGTTCAAGGCTGGCCAATTGTAAAAGCATGGAAAGGTTTTCTTCTGAGCCTGCAGGTGTTCAAACGAAGGCCTCAGCAATGCCTCAGGCCCTGAGGAGAGGAGCTTATTTAATTTCACTCAACAAATATTAATTGAGCATCTGTAGCAGGCAAAGCACTGTGTTGGATTCTGTGGGCAATCCAGGGTGGGGAAGCTTTGCTCAGTCCAGAGCGGAAGAGACGACACAGCTCGCTCCAGTGCAGGTGACGTGTGAACGCAAAATGTTCCCAAAGGCCTGCATGCGTGTGCGTGGTAGGTTACAAACAAGCTCAGACACTGTCCGAGGTACTCATCCCTGGAGGACGAGAAAGGCCTTTTTACCCAGTAAGATGGGAACAGTAGTTAAGTGGTTCATCAAAAAAGTCCATTAAGGCGAAGAATCTTTCCAAATGATACATACATGCCATACATTTCAATGTAAGTAACTCGCAGAGCCAGTTGTCCCATAGATGATGTTTCCCCAGGACTGCACAATGCATGCTAATTTTTCCCAAATCCGAACGACCCATCCTTGCTGGCTCTCAGCACTTCCGCTCAGCCGACACGGGGTCAGGGAGGTCTGTGCTGACCGTCTGACATCAGCCACATCGCAGCATCCCGCTGCGATCTCGTTTTGATTTCTTCAAAGTGATTCAAGGGCTGAGGAGCACTTGGTGAGCAGTCTGAGTGTAGCACCCTTTAGAATATGACTTTTCCCTGCCAGCCTTTACCTAACTTGGAGAACTTTTTTCTGGACTCACCTTATGAAATTTTCATAGAAACAACACATTTACTTCAACACGCTATTTCAACAGTTTACATGACATTCTGTGATGACAGTAGCAAGCGAGACGGTGAGTGCTGTGAACAGGCTGGGAACCGGCGTCACTGACTCTTGAGGGCGTGGGCTCAGTGGTGACAGCAGAGGGAGCCCCAGGCATCACACGGCGCCGGTCAGTGTGCTGTGCGGACCGGGTGCAGGACACCAACCTGCTGGTTAAGACAGCTGCTGTTCATATCATCTCTGTCACCCAGGAACCCCAGTGCCCCCAAAGAGAGGGAGGGACAGGCTTTGTCCCACAGATCTCCAGGTGCCCCTAATGGGATCAGCGGATTAGTATTGATTCTGCAGGCGCTGCTCAGGAAACGCCTGATGCCACAGCTAATCAGCTCCCAGCCCAGTCAATCCATACTTCATTAACCTAACCCCGGCCCTCCTGCCCCCAGCACCACCGCCTCCCGGGCCCACCACAGCCCTGCTGGGGGGCAGGACACAGGCACTGACCTCACACCATATAGGAGCCACTTTCCCAGGCCCCTGCTCCTCCTTTGCCCTGGTCACCGACTGCAGAGGGCTGGGGAGGGGCCCCATAGCAGATTCCACTCTGAATCTTACATTGAAACAGTAAGACTCCCTTTTCCATAAAGCCCAGTCCCTCGATGTTCAGAGCAGCCACAGCATGAGGCAGACACACAGATCTCGTCCCCATTTTGCATGTGAGGACACCAAAGCTCAGAGAACCTGAGTGATCGGCCTAAGGTCACTGCGTTAGGTGTCAGCAGAGCTGCTCAAACTCGGGCCTTGGCCTCTGTGTCCAGTGCCACCCGTGCCCACACCACGTCCCCCTGCAGACCCTCCCCTGGCCCACCCTCGTGCCCACCCACTGGGCAACCCTGCTCCAGGGCCAGAGCCCCCTGACCTTTCATCCCCTGCATGGCCTACCTCAGTGGTCGGGCCGAGTGCCCCCAGGAAGGCACTGCTGCTCTCCCCCCACCCTGCCCTCGCCTTGCTCATGGAGGAAGAGTGGCAAGCTTGGGCCCTGGGATGTCTGCACTCTGCTTCCCAGCCTGGGTCACTGCAGGCTCACGCTTGGGACTGCTGATGGAAGGGCAGCGTGAATTCCAGAGCTCAAACCATCTTGTTCCCTTCTAACTGGGAAAACCCAGCCAAGGACTTGGGCAGAAGGAAGTATTAGTTTTGTTCTGATTTGGTGCAGAGAATATTTTCACGCTTTGGTTTTCTTCCAGCATCAGAAATGTAATTCACTGACTTTTTTTAGGTAGTTCCTTTGTTTTTCTTTTTTTCAGAAATAGTCTTTGGCTTTGATTTTGATTATGATTCAGTAAAAAATGGAAACTGGGGTTTGGCTTAGTATAGTACTCTGCAAGTCAAAGTCCATTCTGGCTAACTGCAGGAATCTCAACCGAATACACTGTTGGCCCCGGCTGGTGTCACTGAAGTTCCCTGAATCATGTAGCTAGTGGTCTTCAGGCAGCAGTTCATCCACTCACCCCAGAGCCTCCATGCAGGAGGCCCTGAAGCAAGAATTGGGGCTTCACCGTGTGACGACATCACTTGCTGCTGCTCTCTGCTGGGGCACGCCCGGGGGCGGGTGGGGAAGCGGGGATGGGCACACAGATGCTCTGCAGGGGGACGGACAGCCGGAGAGGGAGCGGCAGCTGGAGAGAAGGCTAGCTGAAGGAAGCAAACCTGATAAAGGATTGTGGGACGCTGGACAATGGTGAGCCAGGCCCATGGAAGACCCCAGAGAGGAGCCATCCCACAGCAGGTCATGATGGGTGATGGGAGTGGGGGTGCTTCTGCTTGGCCGAGTGGAGGAAGGCGTTCGGCAGGAATGTGCTAACCATGACCGGACGATGGTGCACAGAGCACCACTTGGCCACTTGACCCCTGCCTGCGTGATAGGGATTACTGAGGGTCATGCTATCTTTGGGATTTGTGGGACTGGCAAGTAGTCCTTGTACAGAACCCTGGAGCCCAGCCTGGGATTGGGGGAGAAGTCTGGTATTGAAAGGTCCTCGCTCCCCAACCTCCTTTGCCCTCCTTCCTTGCTACCTTTCCATCCTTGCCCTAGGCCCATTCTAAAAGCCAGGCCCACTTTTGGAAGGAAATGTCCCCACTCCCAAGACAAGTATATTCATTTCCTATCCTATTGCTATCTAACCAATTCCTACACACTTGGCAGAGGACAGCCCCCATTGGCTCTCTTCAGTTCCTAAGGGTCAGGAGTCCAGGGTCTCAGAAGGCTGCGAAGTATTGGCAGGGCTGTGTCCTCATCTGGAGGGCTGACTGAGGAAGACTCTGCTTCCAAGCTCACTTGGGTGGTGGTGGGAATGCGGGCCATGGCTTCCTGCTGGCTGTTAGCTGGGACTGCCCTCAGCTCCTGGGGGCTGCTTGCAGATCCTTGCCACATCGGTTTCTCCAACATGGCCACTTACTTCGTCAATCCAGCAAGGAAGGGATCTAGAGCCAATCTGCTAGCAGATGGAATCTTACAGAGCACAGTGTAATCCTGGGAGTGATGGCCCAATGCTTTTGCACAGTCTGCTGGCTAGGAGCTGGTCACGAATGCCATCCACACCAAAGGTGAGGACTGCACGAAGGCATGAGCACCGGGGGGTGGGGCTTCCAAGGATACCTGAGAGTCTGTCCCCCACACCAAGGCAGATGGGCCATGTCTGGCCCTCAGCTCCTCAGACCCTGCCTAGTCCCATAGCTACTGAGGGTGACGGCAGAACCCAGCCACAGTCATAGCCTTCTGCCACCCCCCTGCCACCACCTCTTTGCTCTCCTCTGTCCTGGAAGAGCCATGCATGGAGGGGCCCTGCGATGCAGAAAGGTTCTGAACCCCACAGCCAGACGACCCTGTGCACCTGCCAGCCTCTTTCTGCCTCTGCTACGGGATTCTGGTGAGGTAACCTCTCTGGGCCTTCATTTTCCCATCTGTAAAACGGGAATAAAAATACTGCTCCTACCACTAGGCTGTCAGGATAACTAGAAAAAAAAAAATCAGGCAAACCGTCTGCCACATAGTTGGGCCAATAAAGAGCAGCTGCTGTCACTGCTGACCTTGCAGCCTGGAAGGGCCAGGAAACGGGTCTGCTCGGCCTGGCTTCCTGCTGCCTCCTTCCAACCAAACTCCGGGCTGCTTGCTGGAGGGCAGATGGAAGCCACGGACCTGAAAGCCCCACGTCACCTCCAAAGAAGAGGCAGGTGGAGAGGAGAGGGTCTGGGATCGTCAGAGGAGAAAACACCAGCACGAGGCCCCTGACGGCGTCCTTTGATTTCCCTTGGCCTCAGCTTCCCCATCTCTCACACGGAGCTGCTACACCTCTTGTTGTCTGGCATGTCCCATTGTGACCTAACACACAACCTCAGATCCAACCACCATCTTTCCTCTGGAAGCAGCTCTCATCCAAGCCCCCTTCTTTCTGTCATGGTCCCGGCATGAAAACCTCAGGGCTGCCCTTGACTCCACCTTCTCCCTGCATCAGCGGGGCCTCAGCTCCTTCCACTGCTGCCCCGGCCTAGGGCTCCATCCCCTAATCCTGGGCCAGGTCAAGTTTTTACCCACAATGGCCCTTATGGTGATCTCTCTGACGCCTGCCTTTCCTCCTCAATTCAGAGTCCACACACTGTCAGACCCTCCAACCCCAGCCTGCGACCTGCTCAGATCCTCCTGTGCACTCCTGACTGCAACGTACCCAGCCTGGCACTCAGGGATGCCTGCCCTGCGCCCGCCCACCACTCCCACCATGTCCCTCCTGTTCTCTCCTGTTCCCTGGCCATCTCTGCCCCGCCAGCTTCCGTCCCTGAAATTCCAACATGGCATGCTTTTCCTCGTCCTGTGGTGAGATGCAACGTGGCCCATGCCAGAGGGCAGTGCCCCATTCCCACCCAGAGCCACAGGGGGGGCCAGAGGGCAGTGCCCCATTCCCACCCAGAGGGCAGTGCCCCATTCCCACCCAGAGGGCAGTGCCCCATTCCCATGCCAGAGGGCAGTGCCCCATTCCCACCCAGAGCCGCGGGGGGTCCAGAGCCAGGGAGAGGGTTCTCAAGTTGAGTCAAGATGCCCAAGCGCAAACCAGGCCTGGCCATTGCAAACCAGCACCTGTCTCGTTTCCTTCCAGCTGTCAACTGCTCCCTTGCCTGGGCCTCCATGCCCTGCCTGCTCCTCTCTGCCAGGACTTGGCCAGGGTACAGTGCGTGTGGGGGTATACCTGGGCCTGAGTGGCAGTTAGGGGGCCCCGCAGTGAGGAACAGCAAGCATGGGTTTGGTCCCGGTGTCCCCTCCCCCTTGCCCAGCACTCTCTTGAGGCTGATGATTTGGGGAGACGCCAGTCTGACCACAGCGACTCAGGTGCCTGCTCCCTGCCTGCTCCCTGTCCTCCTCAATGCGTTGCTTGGAATTCGACTCAAGAAAACCCCTGGGGTTGAGTATTCTGTTCTGACAGGGCATCGAGGCTGTGCTGGCCACCACAGAACTGCCCGCCTGAGTGACTTCACAGGGCAGCTGGCCTGCTGCTTGACACCCATGTGCATGCGTGTGTGCATGTGTGATCATGGCCGGCACCCCGTGAGTCAGCACACGTGTATTCACAGGCACGTGTCTGCACGCTCTTAGCTGGGTATCAGTGTTGCTCTGTGCCCTGTTGACAAATCCACAATTGGGTCCCTGTTCAAATAAGAGAGTAGCTCACGTGCCTGTCCTTGGCACCCAGTGGCTTCGGATCCTGGAACATAGATGGGGTGAGGCCAAGAGGCCAGTTCTACTCTCTCTGCAGCCCTGGGGTTTGCGGGGGCTGCTGCTCCTAAACCTACTAAACACAACAGCTCACACGCAGTACTGATTTATGGCTTCCAAAAGGACTGCACGTTGGTTATCTCATTTAATGTTTAAACCCTTGTAATCCCAAAGGTTTGTTCATGTTTTACAGATGAAGAAACTGAGGCATGAGGGGGTTGAGTGACTGTCTCAAGTGTCCCAGGTCCAGATAGAAAGCAGCCATCCCCTTGCACTCCTCTGGGCAGCAGTGGCCAGGCAGGGGTCCTTGCCGTGCCTCTGTCCCACCTCTCCTGGCCCTGGGTCCACTGCTGGCTCCCTCCCGGGCCCCCTCCTGCCTATGGCCAGCTGGCCCCCGGCCTCTGGGGACATACGGGTTTCTTCCTAGCTGTGTGCTCCGGGCAGGCCTCTGTGCTGCAGCTGCACACCCGGCTGGCAGCTGAGACTTCCCTGCCCTTGTTCATCAGAGCTAGTGTGACCTTACACTTCCTGATCCAAACCAGGATGCTTTTGAAAAGGCGATGAGCTGATATGATAATGGATCAACTGCAGGTCTGTTCTGGGTGCGGTGGGTGGTGGGTTCTCCAACCAGAGCCCACTGCTACCTGCTTGCAGGCTGGATGGTTTCTCTGCTTTGCTCCCTCCCCGGGGGGGCTCACTGCAGCCTTCATGAGCTGGTGACCCCAGAATGGCTCCTCTCGCCTGCATGATGGGAGCAAAGGGGTTCTCACTTGCTCCTGTTCAGAGGTTTCCCCACATCCCTACCCGCCTCCAGCCTCACCTCACCTGTTGGAGACAGGTGGGGTAGAATCAGCCGTGCACATCATTCCAGCTCTATGAATAGACCACGCCAGGATTTGGGTCCTGCCCTTGGACCCTGGTTCCAGCAAAACGCTCTTAACACACCAACCAACCTGCTCCCGTTCTGAGAGACTCCCCAGTCAGCCAGCAATGTATGCACCCTAGGAGAGGCCTGTGGTTTGCTCAGGACACCCATGGGTGGAATGCTGCCTCCAGTGGGCGCACACCCACCACAGGGCGCCTGCTCAGTGGGGGCCAGGCCCGTAGGGCCCCAGAGTGTGAGGCACATTCTGCTACCCAGTGAACGGCAGGGTCCAGGGGCAAGCCGTCGAAGCTGCTGCTGCTAATAGCACTGACCTCCCCTTTTGCCAGGCTGCCCAGCAGTGGCAGAGGGCAGTCCAGAACCCAGAAAGGCTGGGATGCCCTAGAATCCTGGACCCTGGAAGCTAGGAGGGCTGTGACCCTCGCCTCATCTGACCCTCTCTACAGAGGAGGCCCAGCCCAAGGTTGCACTGCTTGGGATGCTGAGTGCCGGTTGCAGCAAGGGTCTCTCGTGATGGGCTGGATGAGTGTGTCCATCCACAGCATGGAGCCTGGCACAGGTCATGGTGACTGACTTGGTACCTGCTGGAGCCCAGCACAGCCTGGACATAAGCAAGCCAGGTGAGCAGGTGGGTCTGGCCCTGGAACTGAGTGTCCAAGGCTTGGGTTAGCTGAAACAGCCCTGCAGAACCTCTCAGGCTGTGAGCAAGGTGGGGACATCCCAGAGGGAGGATGTGAGCAGCCAACTGCCCCACAGTACTGCCTTCCTGCTGTCATGCTGCCCTAGGCTGCTCAGTTTCCCTTGGCGCTGTTGTCTCTGTGGTTCTGGGTGAGGTGCTGGCGAGGGGAGACTCTCCTGGGCTCTGTGCCTTTGGCATTCCCTCTCCCACTCTGAAGCCTTCCCTGGCCCTGCCCCTGCCCCGATCTGCTCACTCAAGGTGCACACACTGTGGGACTTCCTGCCCTGGGCCCTGCCTTTTGCTTGCCGGTTTTCACATTTGCACCCTAGCCCCGAGCCAGAAGCTCCTCCGGGGGCGCCTGGTCTTACTCACCTCTGCATTCCCACACCAGGGCCCAGAGCCCAACCCAAAGCAGGAGCTATGCCAATATCCCTGTGACTCAGTTTCCTCACCTTTAACTCTCACAGGGCTACTTTCAGATCAAATGAGGGAATCAACGGAAAACACCTAGCATAAGGCCTGGCACACAATTGGCACTATGAATGTTAGATCATATAGAACACAGTGGTGAATACAAACACCACCACCTCCACCTTGTTTTAAGATTCAGCGGATGGCTAGCCATGTGCAGAAGAATGAAACTGGACCTCTGCCTCTCACCATATGTGAAAATGAACTCAAGATGGACCAAAGATTTAAATGTTGTAAGACTTCAAACTATCTAAGAATCCTAGAAGAAAACCTAAGGAACACCATTTTGGACATCAGCCTTGGGAAAATTCTTATGGCTAAGTCCTCAAAAGCAACTGCAAAATACAAACAAAAATCAACAAGTAGGACCTAATTAAACTAAAGAGCTTCTGTGCAGCAAAAGAAGCTCTTAACAGAGTGAACGGACAACCTACAGATCTGCATCCAACAAAGGTCTAACATCCAGAACCTACCAGGAATTTAGACCATTTAAATGCAAAGAACAAATACCCACATTAAAAAGTGGGCAAAACACATGAACAGACACTTCTCAAATGAAGACGTACAAGTGGCCAACAAATATGAAAAAATGCTCAAGATTAGTGATCATTAGAGAGATGCAAATCAAAGTCACGAGACACCATCTCACACCAGTCCGAATGGCTATTACTAAAAAGCCAAAAAACAACAGATGCTGGCCAGGCTGTGGAGAAAAGGGAACACTCGTACATTGTTGGTGGGAATGTAGATGAGTTCAGCCACTGTGGAATGTGGTTTGGAGGTTTTCAAAGAACTTAAAACATTTGACCCAGCAATCCCATTATTGAGTGTCTACACAAAGGAATATAAGTCGTTTTACCGTGAAGACACATACACTCATGTTTATCGCAGCACTATTCATAACAGGGAACTGATGGAATCAAGCTTGGTGCCCATCAGCAGTAGACTGGATGACGAAGACGTGGTACACATACACCATGGAATACTACGTAGCCATAAAGAAGAATTAAATAATGCTTTTTTTGCAGCAACATGGTTGCAGCTGGAGGCCATTATCCTAAGTGAAGTAACACAGGAACAGAAAACCAAATACTGCTCACTTATAAATGGCAGCTAAACATTGGGTACTCTTGGACATAGAGATGGGAACAATAGACACTGTGGAGTCCTAGAGGGAGGAAGAAGGGAGGGGGGAAGGGTTGAAAAACTACCTACTGGTTACCATGCTCAGTACCTGGGTAAGAGGATCAGTTATGCCTCAAATCTCAGCATCACATAATATACCCGGGTAACAAACCTGCACATGTACCACTGAATCTAAAATAAATGCTGAATTTATAAAAAATTTAAAAAAAAGTAAAACTCAGCTGAATCCAAGTGCCTGGGAGAGGAAGGGCAGAGGAAGGAGGCACCTTGGCCCCTTCCTCATGGCTCAGTGGCGACCAGCCTTCGGGCAGCCTTTCCAGCACATTCTTCTCTCCCCAGCACGAGGCGGTGCTGTGGCTTGAGCTCAATGGAAACTGGGCACACCAGCATGCAGTTGTGACAAAAGGGTGTGGCCTGGGGCGGGGGGGGGCGGGCAGCCTGACCACTGTCGGGAGGCGGGGCCCCTGGAACCTGGCGCTGTGGCCCTGGCTCCCTCTGTTCCTGCTTGGAGGACGTGCCCCTGCACAGGTGGACCAGGCGACAAGGCACTTTCTCATGCCTTTTCCTGCTGTAGCCTCGGTGCAGCCACCTGAGATGAGGTGGGCACCCATCCTGTCACCCTGCTTCTTCAGGTGGGGAGACTGAGGTTTGGAACTGACACACTGAGCTAGAGTCAAGTCGCGGGTATGCCCCAGTGTGCGGTTGCTGCTTCCCTCCCGTCACCCTGCCCAGTCTGGTCCTGTGTCTCTGCCCAGCTTCCCAGAAAGGCACTCAGGAAGGACCGGTGATTTCAGAGATTCCCCATCCCTCTTCTCTTCTCCTGCCTCCAGAGCTGTCAGAGAACTGACTTGTCCATGGGGCTCTAGGGCCAGCGAGCCCTGGGCACTGTCACTCCCTGCCCCGTCTCCCCAGGATGCAGGCTCAGGCTCCTGGAGAACTTTCCTTTCACCACCTCCTACTTCCAGGGCTCCCCCACCTCCCTCTGTTACACCTGCCCTGCCCCTAAGGTCCCTCCCTCCTCTGGGGTGTCAGCTAACCCCCCTGCCTGAAGAAGAAACAATTAACATAAAATGTTGAACTGGGTCAGGCACAGTGACTCATGCCTGTAACCCCAGCACATTGGGAGGCTGAGGTGGGTGGATCACTTGAGGTCAGGAGTTGGAGACCAGCCTGGCCAACATGGGGAAACCCTGTCTCTACTGAAAATACAAAAATTAGCCAGGTGTTGTGGCAGGTGCCTATAATCCCAGCTACTGGGGAGGCTGAGGCAGGAGAATAACTTGAGCCCGGGAGGTGGAGTTTGCAGTGAGCTGAGATTGCGTCACTGCACTCCAGCCTGGGCAACAGAGCGAGACTCTGTTTCAAAAAAAAAAAAAAAAGTCGAAGGGGCTTGGGTAGGGGACTTGCCCCCTGAGCACATGTGTGAACCAGAGTGGGCAGTGTGTGCCCTACACAGCAGAGGAGGTGTGGGTGCGATGATCCCGCGGTCCTCAGTCTCAGTGCCCCTGACAGTGGAGTGTGCTGATACTATCTCTGGGTTTCCCAGGCTACCTATCACACAGTGAGCACCAGGGCGGCTACGGATCCACGGTCCACCACCGACATGTAGCCCAAGGCACAGGCTCAAGACAGGCCTCCACATACCTGGGGGAGGGGATCTCCAGGCTCTCCTGGGCTCCCATCCCCAGGTAGACTCTAGGAGTACCCGGCCGATTTCTTTCTCGGGGTCCCGGGAAGGCAGCAGGGATGAGAGCAGGAGGCTGGCATCCCTTCACACCGGTACGTTTGCCTGGGACATGCTTCCCTCCCTCATAGTCCCTCCACTTGCTGAGTTGCTTGGCCCCCAGGACCAGGCCAGGTACACTCAGCCCAGGGGCTTCACACTCAGGGCTGGGCACCACAGGGTGCCTGGGCAGCCCTGGATGCAGGAAGGGAGCCCCAGAGGCCAGACCAGATGCCAGGTAGAATGGGGTGCCTCCTTCTTGATGCTCCCATGACACTGTGACATAGCTTCCCTCTGGGCAGAAGTATTTGCTGGGTGGCCCCTCTGCTCAGACATCTCCTGAGTGGGAAGGGCAAGTGGGGAGAATTGCCATTTATTGAGCTTTTGCTCCACAGCCTGACATCAAATAACCTGTCAACCAGATGACTGGATAAAGAAAATAAAGAAAATGTGGAATACACATGCAATGGAATATTATTCAGCCTTAAAAAGGGAGAACATTTTAACACATGCCCTGACATGGACGAATCTTGAGGACACTATGCTAAGTGAAATAAGCCAGTCTTAAAAGGACAAATATCACAGGATTCAATTTCTATGAGGTATCCAGAGTAGTAAAATTCATAGAGACAGAAACTAGGATGGTGGCTTGTGGGGGCTGGGATGTTGTGGAGAATGGGAGTCATTTAACGGGTACAGAGTTTCTTTCTTTATATATATATATATATATATATATATATATATATATATATATATATTTATTATACGTTAAGTTCTAGGGTACATGTGCACAATGTGCAGGTTTGTTACATATGTATACATGTGCCATGTTGGTGTGCTGCACCCATTAACTCATCATTTAGCATTAGCAATATCTCCTAATGCTATCCCTCCCCTCTCCCGCTATCCCACGACAGGCCCCGGTGTGTGATGTTCCCCTTCCTGTGTCCAAGTGTTCTCATTGTTCAATTCCCACCTATGAGTGAGAACATGCGGTGTTTGGTTTTTTGTCCTTGCGACAGTTTGCTGAGAATGATGGTTTCCAGAATGGGTACAGAGTTTCCAATGGCCGAGATGAGACAGATCTGGAGATCTGTTTCACAACAATGTAAATATACTCAGCACTGCTGAACTGTGCACTTGAAAATGGCTAAGATGGTAAGTTTTATGTTATGTGTTTTTTAAATAACAATGAAAACGAGTCTGTCATTCATCCAGAACATCCGTTTAGACACAGTCAAGGACAGCACACTCCTCGGAGCCTGCACCCTGGGCTTCAGTGAGCATTCACGGCTGGGTTGGGTGTCTGTGTGTGATCTCAAGCATGCACCTTCCTGGGAATCACGGGGTGACAGGCACCAGGTATGCCTGCGGGAGGCCCCCCTCCAAGGCTCCAGGTACGCCACTCGGAAGAGTGTGCACGCCCCACTGACAGCCTGCAACCGCCTCGCTGTCCTCAGGCCTGGGGAGCCGCAGAGACACAGTGCTGGAGCACTTGTTCTGAGAGAGAGATTTATGTGTGGGAGAAGAAGCTAATATCGACAGGCGATGAGTTAGGAGAGTAATACTTCAGCTACCACGCAGAAACTCTCTGACCGTGAGGAAAGCAGCTCGCCCGGAGGCTGTACTTCAGCCCAGGCAGGCTGGCAGAGCTGGGCCGGGCCTGTGTCGGTCAGCTGCAGTGTGGGTGCAACTGGCCGGTCCCTTGGCCTCTCTGGGCTCAGTGTCCTCCCCGTGCCACGAGCGGCCGTCTCTCCCACTCTGTGGTCTGTGGATGAGGGAAGAGGAGGGAAGAAGAAGGGCTGGGGCAGGCAAGCAGGGCTGGGGGGGTGACGATATTGTTGATATGCACCTACGGCCTGCCAGCAACTCCACGGGGGTGGCATTTGCCACAGCCCTGCCTCAGAGGGACCCAGCACCGGCACTCCTTGGGGGTCAGGACTTATCTTCAAGGGTGTCAGAGCAGTGGTGACCTCCTTAGGCTTCGGAAGACGCCCCCAAGGGGACCCCCCATCAGCTACGGGGACCCAGAGGGCTTCAGGTCCGGGCTAGGTAGGCACCGGGCAGCCCCAAACCCAGGTCTGAAGCCACGGAGGGTCCACTGATGGTCACCCGCCTGGTGAGGTCCTGTGGTCAGGGTGCGTAGACACACTCTGGCAGGCTAGCAATTCACGGGTTTCATTAGTTTGTCTGTATTTTTAATTTGCCGCCTGTGGCCTGAAGGAGCTGACCTTCCCCAGGGCTCTGTCAGGGATAGTTGAGGTTGGTTTTCCTGGGTCCAGCCGTCTGAGGGAGAAGAGAGGAGGTGAGGGGCCCTGGGAGTCTCAGCGTTGCGCCCCGACCCCGGGGGTGGCAGCCCCCAGCCCCACACATCTGCCTGCCAGTAGTACCAACAATCTGCCCGGGAGGGCACTGGGGCATGCAGCCTCTGCCTTGTGTGAAATTGCTCTGTGGCCCCTAGACAGGAGCAGGGCTGCTCTGGGTGTCTGTCCCCTCATCTGTGAAAAGAAGGGAGTAGCCCAGGGTTGCACAATCCAACTTCTGGGAGAAGGCTGGCAGCCAGGTAGCCTGGGGTGTCCAGCACCAGCCTGGCTACCAATGGCCAGCTCCTGCCCCTCAGGCCAGCCCTCACCTTCCACCCCTGGTGGCTTGGTGGGCAGGGTCCCTCCCTCTGGCCTCCGGCTTGGGTCGCTCTGTGGAAGTGATTTTTCCAGGTGAGGAAACGCTCATGCAGCCCTGTCCCTCCTGTCTTAGACGAGGAAACTGAGGCCCCACCAGTGTCTGTGGCACAGTGAGTTGCAGACGCAGCTGGGACCAGCGCCCGGGGGGCTCGTGGCAGCACAGTTGGCCTCTGAGACCTCCAGGCTCTGCTCCCTCCACTAAGCCCACAGCAGCCTCTGGGCTCTCGCCCTCCAGACCAGGGAGGGGTGAGCCCAGGCAGGGGCCTCTCACATCCCTTCCTCCATCCCTGCTCGACATGGTGCTGGCTGGTGGCAGCTAACCATGCCTCCTTTGCTGCTCTTATTCTGAAAGTGTGGGGGCTTAGCAGATGCTTTTTAGTGACAAAACAGAATTTCAGTGGCACTCACCTCCAAAAAGCATCAGCCCCTCTATCTGGCTGCGTCTGCACAAAGCAAGGTTGCTTTCCTCATCTCATTCTAGCTCCCTGGGCTTCAGTGAGCACTCAGTCAGGAATAATCCCATCCTAGGGGAGGAGGTGGAGGCTCAGGAAGGGTCACAGAGGTAGCCAGGACTTGTGTTGATTGGGTGGGTGGGGGGGCGGCCTGGCAGAGTGGGCTTTTCAATAAGCCTTTAAGTGAATTGTTAAATAAATGAATAATAAAAATGGCTTTCTATTTTCAAATAAAAAATAAAAAAGCTCTTGCTGTTGCATGCTCTGAGTGATTAGCATGATTAACTGTAATGACTCATTTCCTCCTCAGAAACATCCTATTATTACCCTCATTTTAAAAGTGAGAAGTCTGAGGCACAGAGAGGTTAAGCAACGTCCTGAGGCCACACAGCTACTAAGTGGCAGAACTAGGACCTGAATCCAGCCAGTAGGACCTGGCACTTAGCCACCCTGCCAAAACACCTGTGCAGGCTCCGGTCCACAACACTCTGCCCACTAGAACTTTCCGTGCCCAAAACACCTGTGCAGGCTCAGGTCCACAACACTCTGCCCACTAGAACTTTCCGTGCCCAAAACACCTGTGCAGGCTCAGGTCCACAACACTCTGCCCACTAGAACTTTCCGTGCTGCCGGGAACGTTCTGTATCTGTACCGCCCAAGATGGCAGCCTCTAGCCACATGTGGCTGTTGCCCACTTGAAATGTGGCTGGTGTGACTGAGGAGCTGCTCAGGGTGGGGACGGATGCAGCCCCCCATGCCCAGTGTGGGGCTCTAACAGTTTCTGAACAATGGACAAATGAGTAGCCCAGGGTTCAAAGAGAGACTCATGGCCTCAGAGGCCAGATTGCTCACCTGCCACAGACAGAGGAAGCAAGATGGGCAGAGGGGAAGGAGAGGACCCCAGCCCACATAGCCAGCCAGAGAGGACGGGCAGAGCCAGGCCTCCAACTACAGTGCCATTGGCACTCCCCACGCCGTGCCGTCATGTCTCCACTCCCCCATCCCTCTAGGTCTTCTTCCTGTGAGCAGAGAGCTGGCTCACATTTCCCACGTATGAGAAGAGAGAGCTCCTGCCATGGCTCAGAAGACTGAGCCGTGGAATCCACAGCCCCCTGGGCAAGGTTAGTCCTCAAATCCAGTCAACTCTTGATCCAGACTCATACTCTCCACTTTTGCGCTTATCAGAGGTAAAGCCTTAATCCCTGCCAGGCACTTGGCGCGGAGGCTGCCTCCTGCCCTGCTGTCAGCTGGTGTGTGCGCAGGGAGCGCAGGCTCATTTTAATATTGGCTGGAGCTAAACCTCATTAGAAAAGTAAATTTGCTGTAGCTGCAAAAAAAAAAAAAGCAACCCACATAACCCTTCCAAAGCTAAACAGAAAACACTAGATTTGGACTTTTGGATTATTTGATGTTTCACGTTCCCAGCACCTGGTGCAGAGCCTCCAACACCGTAAGTGCTTGGTCAGTGTTGGTGCAAGTGAACTGAATTTTGGGGGCTCTCTGACCACCCTGTCACCTTTCAGCATGGATAAGAAGGGCTCACAGATCTGGAATTTTGGTGTCAAGATTTTTTTTTTTAGACGACCATTTGCTGATAAATTGGAAGGATTACATTTAACAATAATTAGACACGAAAGTATTATTTTGTGTTTGGCAAGGACGAACTCTGAGCCAAGGCGGGCTCTGGGTTCTTTGGGTTGGGATAAGGAAGGGTGGGTCCAGCCCAGAGTCTGGAGGTGTGAGGACTCAAGCGGGTGAGGAGGGAGGTGGGACAGCCTGCACCGATTCCAGTGGGGTGAGGAGGGAGGTGGGACAGCCTGCACCTATTCTAGTGGGGTGAAGAGGGAGGTGGGACAGCCTGCACCGATTCCAGTGGGGTGAGGAGGGAGGTGGGACAGCCTGCACCGATTCCAGTGGGGTGAGGAGGGAGGTGGGACAGCCTGCACCGATTCCAGTGGGGTGAGGAGGGAGGTGGGACAGCCTCCACCGATTCCAGTGGGGTGAGGAGGGAGGTGGGACAGCCTGCACCGACTCCAGTGGGGTGAGGAGGGAGGTGGGACAGCCTGCACCGATTCCAGTGGGGTGAGGAGGGAGGTGGGACAGCCTGCACCGATTCCAGTGGGGTGAGGAGGGAGGTGGGATAGCCTGCACCTATTCCAGTGGGGTGAGGAGGGAGGTGGGACAGCCTGCACCTATTCCAGTGGGGTGAGGAGGGAGGTGGGACAGCCTGCACCGATTCCAGTGGGGTGAGGAGGGAGGTGGGATAGCCTGCACCTATTCCAGTGGGGTGAGGAGGGAGGTGGGACAGCCTGCACCGATTCCAGTGGGGTGAGGAGGGAGGTGGGACAGCCTGCACCTATTCCAGTGGGGTGAGGAGGGAGGTGGGACAGCCTGCACCGACTCCAGTGGGGTGAGGAGGGAGGTGGGACAGCCTGCACCTATTCCAGTGGGGTGAGGAGGGAGGTGGGACAGCCTGCACCGATTCCAGTGGGGTGAGGAGGGAGGTGGGATAGCCTCCACCTATTCCAGTGGGGTGAGGAGGGAGGTGGGACAGCCTGCACCGATTCCAGTGGGATTGGCTCCAGGGCTGGCCTGACGCTGCTACTCCAAATTCTAGAGCCATCCTCATCCTGGAAGCAAGGGGGTGAGGGTGTATAAAATAAATAGATTAAATTAAAATTCATCTAGTATTTCTTCTAAAAACTGGTGAGATGACAGTTTCCCAATTTATAGACTGCCAGGAAGCCGGGGCTTAGAGAGCTCTGTTTTTTTCAAAGTCTACTCGGCTAGCCACAGATGGAGATGAGACTGGACCTCAGACAGCCTGGCCAAGGGCCTGTCCCCACTGCACTTCTTCCATGTCCCCTGGCTAGTCTTCAGTAGGGTCCCCAAAGGTCTTTTTGCCTGGGGGCCTGGGGAGGGGGTGCATGACTTCTCTTCTTCTCCTGAGTGCCAGGTTTCCCCAGACCCCACATCCTTCCCCACTGCCCTGCATTCCAGGACCAGGAGGGCTGGGGCAGGGCCAGAAGATGGAGAGGAGCCCTCAGCATTGTGAGATGCTCAGGGGTGAAGGGTGTCCCTGAAAGTCCCTGCAAGCTCTTGATGTGCTTGACCTCATAGCCTGGCCTCCCTCTGCCTTTGGGCTTCTGTCTAAAAGACCCTCACATTCCTGAGAGCCACAGGAAAGCACCTTCCTCAGTAGAATGTCCAACTGCTCTAGTGAGGGGCCTCCTGCAGGGGTGGACAATTGCTGAGGTCGATGTAGGGGAACAGGGGGAGGCCCCCAGCCTGCCCCAACTCACCACTCAGTCAGGGAGGCCCTGACTTCTGCCTGTGTGCCTCCCTCTGCTGTCCGCCAGTGCGCCTCCGTGCCTTTGTCTCTTGTCTCACTGCCTCTTTCTCTGCCTCAGTCAGGCTCTCTCTCGGATTCCTCCTCCTCCTGAGCCCGTTCCTCTCCTCCTCTCCATTCTCATCAGAGAGGAACACTCATCCCTCTCTTCCAGAAACAATGGAGCACCATGCTCCTGTCCGCTCAGCCTTTCGGTTGGTGCATCCTCTTCCCCATCTCACACTCCCAGCTCCTGGCCGGCCTCATCACCCTGTGCTCCACACCTAGGAAAAGTATATCTGACTTGGTCCCCTTATCCCCGAGAAACCACTAAGAGAACCTTCAGGTCTCCCCAGAAGCCGAAGCTGAGGAACTGGGCTTGCCCCAGGGCATCCTCCTGTGAAGCTCCTTGGTCTCCGCCACGGGCTCCAATCCTGTTGCTGGAGCTTATCTCCTCAGTGATTTACCTGCCCCCTGCTTCTGGTGGAACAGTGAGTAACTGCCCAACCAGAAACCTACACACACATATTCAACACAGCGCCTGCAAGCTTCCAGCTCACCTGGACCTGGAGTGATCCCCAAGCATCCTGGGGTCAGGCACAGAAACAGGAACAGCGAGCTCCTGGCTCCAGTGCTGAATGGGGCACAGATGCATTAACTCTCCCAGTCCCATTAACCTTAGCAAGTATTTCTGCTTCCATGAAAAGGGGAAGAGGGAAAATGTCTCTAAGCTCTGGAACCTTTGGCAGTGCTGGGCATGGACTGGGCAGAGTGAGAAGTCTGTCTGAAGACCCTGGGAAAGGGTCTTCACCCCATGGGAAGAAAGGGAAGGCTTGATGTTTGGTCCAGTAAGGCCATTAATGGTCACCAACTGAGCAGACTCTGGGAGGAAATGTCTCAGTCTCTGCAGTGGCTACCAGCAGAGGTAGGGCGACATAAGCACAGAAGACAAATCTTAGAAAACCCTAGAACAACAGTCCTGTGCAGCCACATGCCCCACAGCCCTAGTAACTTAGGGAGTGATGTGCCTCCCATTTCCACACAAACACATCCAGGCATTGCACAGTGCTAGGCCCTACGACATCCGTACCCCAACATTTTCAACAGTGCGTGCTACACAGCCCAAGCTCTAGGCCCCATTGGGCACCCCACCTATGCAGGTGCCCATGCACTGGGCTAGCAACTGTCAGTAAAGGTCCCCTTCCTGTATGTCCAGAGTCCTTCAGCTCCAGCTTCTACAAGAATCCATGCAGCTAGGCCTGGCTGGGGGAGGAAGGGGACAGGGAAGTTGGCCAAGGCTCCCATGTGTGTGCATGTGGGGGTGGTTCTTGACCTTAGCTGCTTGGTACGGGGCTGTCACCTCCTTACCCTGGCACTGTCGGACCTGGTGGCTTCCTTCTCTATTTCCTGCCTCAACTCTCAGCCTCCTTTTTCTGGAAGTTGTGTGCTCTGACTTTGGAGGGATTGGGACCTCAGACCTGAGCCCAGGTGCAGATGGGAGGGTGGTGAACTGGTCGCGCCTCCTTCCTCCTTGCTACACCGAAGGTCCCAAGGGCCCTTTGCCACCCTTGCTACCCCTGGGTCCCTCAGCGCGCCCCGCAGAGCTCGGGCCCCCTCAAGAGAGTTAACTTGGCAGTGCCCAGGAGCCAGAGAGCGATCCAGAGAGCGCTGTTGGGCAGCAGGGGTGGGGAGGTGGGGGACGACTGACCCCTGACTCCTCATCCGGCCACCAGAAACCACCTGCTGAGGGGGCCGGGAACTGACGACTGAGAGCCCGGGCCGATTGTTAGAAGCTGCTGAGAACCAGCTCTTCCCCTAATCCCGGTCGACGAGGGCAGGCTGTGCCGGGTTTTGTTTCGCAGCCCCTCGGCAGCAGCGCCTCCCAGCCCGAGCTCGGTTCTCGGCCCCCTTTCCAGCTGCCCCCAGCGCGCGCAGCGCACACACACACACACACACACACACACACACACACCCCAGCGCGCGCCCGGGAGGACATGGCGTGGGCACCGATGGGGACGCAGAAAGGGGCTCTGTGCGCGGCGGGGCGCCCGCGGGGGCGCGGGGAGCACTGACCTGCGGCGACGAGTCCGGAGCGTCTCCGGTGCGGTCCATCGCGGGCAACGGCCCCTACGCCCCGGCCCCGGCGCCCCTAGACCGCTGCCCTGGGCCGCGTGCGGCTCCCTCCCCGGGGACTGTCGGGCTCCGGGCCCCCGGGGGCCACTTCATAGCCGCGGGGTCCGCGCGCCCGCCCGCCCCGCCCGGCCCCGCCGCCCCGGCCCGGCTCGTTCTGGGCTCAGCGAGGCGGCGGCCGAAGGCTGGGAGCGCGCGGGAGGGAGGGCGCGGGCAGGGAGGCGGGGGGCGGGGGGCGGGGAGGGGGAGCGGGGAGGGGGAGCGGGGAGCGGGCGCGGGGGCGAGAGGGGCGAGGGGGGCGCGCGGCCGGAGCCGAGCCGACCGGGCCGGCGCAGAGTCCCCGAGGTGGCGGCGGATGCGCCGGTGCCGCCGCGGCTCTGCCGGCGCCTCCCGCCCCGCCCCCACCCGCTCTCCGCCCCCGCCCCGCCCCCGCCCCGAGCCCGCGCCAGCGCCGGCGGGACCCGAGCTGCTAATGGTCGGTACCAACCTCGCCAGCCTAGGCGGGGGCGCGAGGAGGGAGGCCGGCGAGGGGACCCCCCCCCGGGATTGGTATCACCTCCCCACCGCCCCCCACCCTCCCCCGGCACCGTCCCCCGCGGAGGCGGCTCCCGCTTCAGGCGGCGGAGCAGGGGTGGCGGGCAGGGGCCGAGCGCACCCCCAGATCTCGGCTCTCGAGAGTTAAAGCTCGGCCCCCGCCTGCACCCCCATTCCACCCCGCCTCCATCCTGGCTGCTCCTGGCGCCCAGCTTGGCAGCCTCTCTCAAAGGGTGATTGTTTCCGGCCGGGCTGCTGCAGGAGGGCGGGGGGCGGCGCTCTGGGACCGAGAGGCCGAGCTGGGAAGCCGGTGGGGGATGCGGCTCCTTCCTTGGCTCCAGGCACCCCGGATGGGAGGTGGCCGGTGGGGGCGGACGGTGCCGTGCCGGGGTACGGGGTCTGCTGCCCCGTGGAAGGGCACCTCGAGCCGCCGCGCGTCAGCCTCACCCCAGCCTCCCCTTCCGGGCCGGTGCACCCGGCGTTCCGGAGAGAGGCCCGGGAGGCCTGCGTGGGCGGACGGGCGCGGGGAGGCCGGGGGCAGCGGGATCTCCAGGAGTTTCCCGGGCCTCTGCCGCGGTGTGTTGGTCGGCGGGGGACGGAGGCCAGTGAGTGGGCGCGCACTTGGACGTATGTGGGTGCACTGGTAGGGTGCCTCTGTGGAGCTGTATATTCCAGATACTCCTTCAGCTTGTCGGAGACTTTGAAGCCATCCTTGCACTCGTTTTAGAGGTTGGCATCTCCCGGTGCTCTTGGACACCTGTATTCGGGCCACACCCGCTGTGTCCTCTTCACAGCCCCAGGAGAAGGCCACCTCCCATGGCGGGGTTCGCGGCGGGACCAGGGACTGTCGGTACTTTCTCTAGGGTCTCCCTCCTTCCCGGGAAACCAGTTCCAGCCCCACTGCTAGGCACTGCTTAACCAGAGCTGTGCCCCCGTGCTATGGGCTGGGGCTGAGGACCACGGGCCTCTTTTCCATCAGCTTTCCTGCCCTGTTAGGACCAAGCCGGGCCCTGCTCTTCCCACTGAGGATGTGCAGGTGGGGAGGGGGCAGAGACTCCAGAATCAGCCCCTTTGGTCAAGATTTTGAGGGGAGGAAGGCACCTCACCGTCCGTATCATGCCACAGACATGTGAAAGTGTCCTTAGTGACTATCTCTAGGGATAACTGCTCCTCCTTGTCGTGCGCTCTTTCATTGTTGTGCTTAACAGCCCCCTTTGCCGGCAAGAAACTTCCTCTGAATCTAACCTCAGTACCTCCTGCTGCGGTACAGGAGCATTTCCCCCTTCTCTTAATGAGTGGAATCCCAGCCAGCCTTGCTCCGCCTTCTTCTGCCCCTACTACAACCCTCTCTTTTAGACTCTGCTAAGAGACCTTTCCTAAGTCGGTGTTCTCTGGTATTTTCCTAGTCTCCATACTCTGCTTCTCCTTAGACTCCACACCAGCTGAAGGGAGGGGAAGGGCAGGTGCAGAAGCAGGATGGGCGGGGGTACCAGAGAGCACCAAGGAGGGGCCAGGCCGTCCAGGAGGGCACATTGCCTCCCTCCTCTGCTAAGCCAGCCAGCCGCAGTCACACAATCACCAAATGGGAGGACAGAAATGACCGTGAAGACTGTCTCGTTCCAGACCCTCATTTTACCAACAGGGAAACACACCCATGAGGGGTGATCTCAAGAGAGCTCAGGGACATGGCGACGAGGAGGCCTGGGTTTCAGGCCGATTCTGAAGGCACTAGCAAAAGACTTCCCCTCAGGGCTGGTTTCAGTAATGAAACAGAGGGTTGGACTAAGTGGGCTGTGGTCCGACTTGTCCTGCTGGGCTGTGGCTCGGAGATGCTGTCTGCAGGGGTTCTCGGCTTTACCTCAGCATTCTGGCAGGAACAATTGTGATAATAAAGCCGCTTTCAAGGGACCTGTCTTGCATCTTAGTTCCAGGCTCTGTTTACAGAATTTTTAGTATTAATTTTTAGAGCCAATTTAAAACAATAATAGGAGATTAAAATTAGCATGATAAGGCTCAGTGAAGAGACAACAGCCTGCCATTCGTTTTGGTGGGAAGTTTTGGCAACATCCCAAGTGTATGGACACACACAAATGTACTGACATCTACGCAGGCACAAAACATGCTCATAGAGGCAGCTACACATGCAGATTCACCCACATGAACACACACACACACTCTGAAATACATCATGTGCACATGTAAACGCTTGCACACGGATGTACCTGAAGCACCTGCACCCACACAGACACACGTGTACACACACCATCCCCCGGGTCAGCCACACTCCCACCCCTGTCTTCCTGCTTGGCCTCTGCAGGACTGTGGAAATCCTTCCCTCCCATGTCTGGACTTGGTGCATCCTCACAGCTTGACCCTTGCTCCAAACATCTGGAGCACCTCTAAGGTCTCCCTGAATGATTGATCTTCCCCTCCCCCTGCCTTCCCTGCCAGTAGTGAGCCCCTCTTCTCAGAGGCCCCCAAAGCCTAGCACCAGCATGTTTAGTATGCAAAGCCCGGGTTTGTCCTCTGGGACAAACCGTTATGTGTTTATTGTGTAGTTAAGCAGGACGGGAGCCCTGCCCCCGCTCTGATCCTGGCCCACTTCCCATAATCTGAATCCCAGAAGAGTCCTGTAAAACCGTCATCTGCAATGCAAAACCTGCAAAACATCTGGGATGGTCTGTAGGTTTTCTCCAAATCACCTGTGCCCTAATTTAATATGAATAACAATTAGTTTACTCTTATCAGTTAATTGTTCCCCTCGTGGGTTCTGTCTGCCCTGGCCTCTCTTTCAGCAGGAGTTTTGGTCTGCTCCAGACTCCTAATGATACTGCCTTTTCAGCCGTGCCGTCCTTCTTAGCTACCACCCAAGAGAGGCAACGCAGCTGCGCTGCTTGCCGCCCTGGCCTGTGGGGCCCAGGCCCTCACCCCACCCGTCTTAGCCAGTCTGATTGTTGGGGGCCATCCAATCTCCCCTTGCCTTCACCAGGAATCTATAGCAGTGATTTTGCTGATGTGAGTGGAAAGGTCCCAGTGGGATTCTTCAGTGAGGAATCCCACCCCACAAGGTGCCCGTCCTCTCCCGTCATTGCCCTGGCAAGGGTGACAGCACATGCACATGCATGGGCACACCCAGATGCTGCCAGAGAGCAGGGGGAGTGAGAGGAGGAAGAGCTGCCCTCTGCCTCGGCAGGCAGGGTGAGCTCCCCAGGGACCCAGCCATGCTATCAGGCGTGTCTGAACTGTTCCCACAGTGGCTCCTGGACGGATGTGTGTGGATGTGCTGTTTTGGGTGGTGGAGTTCATGGCCCAGATACAGAAAGAGGAGGAGACCTTTTAACTCTTCCCTTTCATTAGGTTTCTGGTCTGAGCTTTGGATCTTGAACACCCTTGTTTGTCCATAAAAAATTGAAAATGGTCATGTGGTCAACAGGTTTCCCTCTGCCCTCCTCTCTTCTCAGAAGCCAGGCCGGCATCTTTCCTGAGCTGGTGCAAAAAGGCTGACTCCTGCTTCTCTCCAGTCTCTGCCTCCAGGGAAAGGGTGCAGTTACATGGCTTTAGAACACTTCAGTCATGTCATTTTGTTTTGCCTTCTTTCCTCTGTGGCTGAGGGAGGGATGAGAGGTGATAGGAGCAGAGCCCTCAGACTTAGGGGAGCATCTCTGAGGCTAACCTGGGACCGTTCTTTGTCCTCTTGCAGAAGTGAAAATAACCCAGATTGCCTTTTGACCTCCCCACTATCCCCTAACTACTCTGCAGAGCCCACACCTCCAAAGTCTCACTGAAGCCTTTCCCAACCTGAGCTCTGTGGCTTGTGCTGTCTCCTATAGCCCTCCCGACCCTCAGGCACCTCTGGCAGTGAACTGCTCTTCCCCTCAGTCCCATAGCACTTTATCCGGACACATCTGGAGGCTCTTACCCATCTGTGCATGCTTTCCTGTGTTCAGCTAATATTTACTGAGCTCCAGTCATATGCCAGGCACTGTGCTGGGCACCAGAGACATGCAGTAAACAACAGCAATTAGGAGTGTTAACTTCAATTAGGCCATTTATATGTATGCACCAGGTTAGGTTCCAAGTCTTCATGCACGTTAGCTAATTTCATATGTAAGGTGTTATTTACAAGGTACTGTTTGTGACAAGTTTCGATTATAGTTTCCATTTATAGGTCAGGAATCTGGGGCGTAGTATTTAGGTAATTTAATTAAGGTCACATGCCTAGTAAGTGACATAGCCAGCATTTGAGGCAGGCAGCCTAGTTCCAGGACTCAGGCTCATCGTCAGAGCACAACTCAGGGATTATATGCTAGTGGTCCATAGATGGGCAAATGCACAGAACAAACAGAGGTGGAGGAGATACAGGAAGGGAAGAAATAGGGTCAAGAGCTGGAGAGAGTCCTGGGAGGGTAGGATCAGGGAGAGGCTCTTTGAAGAGGCCATGTTTGAGCCAAAACCCGGGGGAATATTGGCCCAGCAAGGAGGACAGCGATAGGCGACCTGAGGGGTTTGCGGGAGGCTTGGTGTGCTTGAGGAACACGTGCAGCAGGTGAGGCTGGAGAGTGGAGAGAGAGGAGAGAGCCATGGGGAGCGGAAAGGACACTCTCTGCTTGGAGTTTGAGGATTCATGTGCGTGAGTGACCTCCTGCACTAGCGTCTTCCAGAGAGTGGCTGTTCAATAAATATGATGGATGGAGTCGTCTAATTTCCTGCCCAAACTCCCCTCCGTGGCTTGGGTGATGGGCAGACATCCTAGACCTTTGGGTATTAGTAGAGCATCTGCAGAAAGGACTCCTTACCCTTTCCTTTTGGGATTTGGAAGAAAGAAAAAAGGTGCTAGGAGTCCTGCCACATGGATGTGCTGATTCCATTTATTCATTCATCAAAATTCTGAGCAGCTCCGATGGCCAGGAATTTTGATAGGTGTGGGAAAGACAGAAATGAAGGGCCAGCTCCTGCTTATGGTCCCATGGTTTTCTCCAGCCTGAGGTTTCAGTGTTTCGCTTCTAGTGTCTGCCCTTCCCCATGTGCCTACCACGGATTCTTCTGTCTACTGTCTGCCCTTCCCCATGTGCCTACCACGGATTTTTCTGCAGGGGAGAAGAGCCGGGCAGAAGGCTGAGCTGTTGAGAAGCCACACTGAGACCTGGGCAGGGGCTGCTGCAAATGTCAAAAACTGGGAGAGGCAGAGGGGTCTCCTGTGGGCAGCAGCCTTCAGAACCTTTTTGTGATCACCCAAGGGGTTGGGGTACAGCGACTTTTTGGATGGAAGAGGAAGAGAAGACCATAACACTTGTTGGTGAATTCAGACTTACAACAGTGGTTTTTGTTCAGGCATATTCTGAAAGAAAGGCTGCATACTGAAAGGTTTGAGAAGCGTAATTCAACATATTGGAAGATCTCGCTCCTCCATTTCAAGATGACTCAGGCCGGTGACTTTCTTTCTGTTCCCCTGGAGCCAACAGGGTGGCAAAGTTGGGAAGAAAGACACTTGGAATTACTGGACATTGATGTCCTTTGCCCAACCTGCATGTGGTCTGAACTATGTGTTATGCCAGATAGGAAAAGAGATAACTCACATCAAATACTTCCTGGCAGATTCCTGGCTGATTGTGGGAAGCTGGCGGGACTGAAGAACGTTTCCCTGTTGGCTTTATGAGACAAGAAAGAGTCTGGCAGGATTTCTGGGAAGTGAGAGAGAGGAAATATGGACCCGTGAATAGAAAGCATGTTGAGTGTTAGGGACAAAGCTCCTCCCTCCTTAGATATTGAGAAAACATGATGGAGCTAGGCCACTGGAAACCCTGGGTACTGCTCTCATCAAAACATGAAACGGTTGGTCCTTCACTGAGATCCCAAAGATCGAAGTCCTGGGCCTACTGCCCAGACAATTAGCTCCCAAGCCTCTGTGGCTGCACCCATGCCTGGAGCTGGAAAAACTGCTTTTTATCTGATTACGACTTCCTGGCTGAAAACACTCAGGGGCTCTGTAGGGAACTGGTGATCTGTCCTCCCATAGCCTAGTGATAGATTAAGGGTCTAGGGAGTTAGGGAGAGCTTTAATAGGGCCCCCTGGGTTTGAGCACACATCTGACAGTTGTAATCCTCCAGCTATGTTTTCTGCAAACGGATGGTCATTTTGGGCTTTCTGGTCTCTAATCCTTCATTCAGCAAAGCAAACACCCTAAATCCTCAATAATGTAGGTTTTACAGTCTCATATATACATATCCATGTTTCAGCACCGAGGCCAGCTCCACTCATGCGCGGCATATGTTCCCGCATCTGGATGTAAGCAGTATCAGGACTCTGGAAGCCGAACTTGGGTTTGGCAGGAAGGCATCGCATTGTGGAAGCCAGGTGACATCCACACGGAGCCCTTTTTCCAGGCATTGTCATTGTGTTTCTTTGAAAGAGGCAGGACCTTCTTTAAAGTGACAGCTAGATAAGGCATGTGAGTGGAAACTGTACTATTTGGGGAAGGACTGGAGAAGGTTAAGAGGACTCATGTTCCCAAGGAGGGGGCTGAGCTGGATCTGGGATGGCAAATCAGTTTTATCCTGGATGCAGATTTCAGTAAACTAGTTGTAGCTGGGTGAAATGTACTGAAGCTACATCTGTGGTAAGGAGCACAGGGCACCATGACCAATTAGTGATGTCTGCCTTGAGTGGGTGGCAGGGTAATCACACACACACACACACACACACACACACACACACACAGAGAGAGAGAGAGAGAGAGAGAGAGAGAGAGAGAGAGCAGGGGGGCCATTTCTGGTTGCTAGGTGATATTTAAGATCCTTTTAACTTGTCATATTATATGTCTGTAAAAATCAATAGTTCTATATGTTCTCATCTTTCAGTTCCTCCATTTTTTGTTTGCTCACTTAACCACCATTTACTGGGTGCCGCTAGATGCTGGTTACTGGGCAGTACTTCTTACTTACCCTCGATGAGCTTACGGTCTAATAGGGAGAAGGGACAATGGAAGAGTTACAATGCAGGGGGATAAAGACAGTGTTCTATGGGGCTGATGGCAAGTTCCTGGTGTAGAGAAGGTATGATGGAGTCCTGGTTCCTGGTCTTCAAATCAAGGTGCAGTTGTCTTTGTGTGATGGTGGCCCAACTGGCAGAACTGAAAGCCGATTTCCATGAGTTAGTTCTGTTGTGCAGTGAGGAGGTCCCCGGCTCCAGGCCACCAGTTGTTTGATAAACCTATGCAAGGCTTTGTTAAGTGACATTTGCCTGTTGACGTAGCTGGGACAATCACACAGTCCTCTCCTAGGCCTGGCCTGGTGTGGCCAGCCACAGACCACCTGGAGATGTCCACACTTGCTAGATAGGAAGGCCCAGCAGAGCCTCAGTGTGAAACCACCTTGAGAGCTGCAGTGTTGTTTTGCCAGGGAACTGGAATGTCCACATTCTAGACTAAGGATTAGGGGCAGGATGGGAGTGTCCTGGCAGTGAAAGCACCTGGGAAGACCACTAGAGATGCTTCTGGAAACCTAGTGTGGGTGACTTCTAGGAGTCTCCAGGACAACCCACTTCTAATGACCTATAAAACCACCATTATTATTGTAAATCTCAGCAGATTGATTTGTGATAAACCAGGCTTGAGAAACCTTAGGCAGTGGGAAAGTAGATATTTTAACTTTACAACTGGACATATTGAGGATCCCGGAGGAACGAAAGTGGCCAGGCCACATCTTAGGGCCTAGCCCTCCAGCTCCTTCCTCCACAGGCCTAGAGAGCCAGGACATGACAGCATCAGGGGGCCTCCCAAGGCTGACACTGAAACCCCATCCATTCATGCCAGTGGTGAATGGTGAATCTCTCTGCCTCTTTTGAAGATCTCACAATTAAACAGGCAGAGGAATGTATTTCATAAAATATGCATACTGTTTGCTTTGTACAAAAGCATTTTAATGTCTTTTAGCTCGTAGCCAAGATGAGCAATAGGAGGAACAATCTTTCACTGCACATGAAAATCAGTCACCAGGCAGTGGTGCCTTTGTGGAGGGATGCCTGTCATCACCGCCATCATCCCCACCACCATCCTCACCGCCGTCATTCTTACTTGCCTGTCATCACCGCCATCATCCCCACCACCATCCTCACCGCCGTCATTCTTACTTGCCTGTCATCACCGCCATCATCCCCACCACCATCCTCACCGCCGTCATTCTTACTTGCCTGTCATCACCGCCATCATCCCCACCACCATCCTCACCGCCGCCGTCATTCTTACTTGCCTGTCATCACCGCCATCATCCCCACCACCATCCTCACTGCCGTCATTCTTACTTTTTATGGTCAGGGCATAGTTTCACTTCAGTTCTTTGGATGTTCAGACTGTGTCTTGTTCATTAGATCGGCTGCTTTGCCTGGCACGATGTCTGCCACACGCCTGATGCCTAATGAACATCAGCTATTGTAAACGTTTATTAAAAGTCAATGAATTATGTTCTTTTTTGTCACGGAGTATAATCCCATGAGATGAGGAGCAGTAGGTGCCATCATCTCCCAATCGTGTATAAGGAATCGGAGACAGACACGTGTATTGTATACACTGGTGCACTCAGGGGCATTGACATGGGCCCTGTCTTGTGGTCTGGCTTGGTAGAGATATATTATCCTGCTCTGGTCATGTTTTCCCCCAGCAGCAGAATCTGGCCCTTGTCCTCCCTGCCTCTCCCTCTGGTGCTGGCCTGGGTGCCTCTCCACCGTGAAGCTCCCGCGTTCTATCAGACCAGCCTCACTCCCGTAGATAGTGGCTCCTTGTCAGTGCGAGAGCCAGAGGAGCAAATTCTTCATTACTGCATGGAGCTGACATGCAAGAACAATTGGACTAAATTGATTGTATTTTCCAAATCATCACCCGGCTTCTAATTCTATCTGTGAGATGGACTAATGTGAATGAGAATTAGCTTCTAAATTGAGAATCCAGGCCCTTGACCAGGAAGGGAGAAGGGGCCCTCCTGCAGTCCAAAAGGAATGAGGTTTCCAGGCTTGTAGTAGACGCAGAGGCCTTTTTTGGAAATGGTCTCTGTGTGACAAGGGAATAATGTGGTCTCTGTGGGGCCTGTCACTCTCCTCTACTGTACTCTACCCTCCCACAATGGCATCCATGCTTGGTGATGCCATCTCAAAACCAGTGAAGATGACCAGTGGGCATGAGTTCTGGCTCCCTTCCGCCCTGGAGGAAACTGAGGCAATGGCAGAGTCAGAATTTAAAAATCTTATACCCTCAAGTTAGAAGGAAGCCTGCAGGCGAAGGCATCCACACTCCTACAGAATACTCTGTTCTGTACGACGTCCTTGAGAAGTGGCCATTCTGCTTCTGCTTGAACCCGATGGCAGAGATCCTTACTGCCTTCTAGACAACCCATCCCATGTTTGGTCTGCTCTTTTTGGTGAAAAGTTCTTTCTCTTTTTCAAAACTGAAACCTGCCTCCCTTTGACACTTTGGGCTGTGTCCTCTTGAGTAGTACCTCTCATACTGTAAAGCACTTAGGAATCTTCTGATTCTGACTAGAGTCTGAATAAAGTGTAGATTCTGATTCTGGAGGCCCCGGAGGCTGCATTTCTGAAGAGTGCTCGGGTAATGCAGATGCCTCTGGTCCACAAAGCTCACTTGGAGTGACCAAGCTTCCTGGGCACCAGACAGGATCTAAGTGTGAAAGCAGCATCATGTCCACCCTTTGATTTCTCTTTACCAAGATAAGAGTCCTACATTCCATTAAATTCATAGTAAAAAAGTCGTATAAATTCATTGGATGTCAATTCTGGGTGAAATCTTCTCCAGAAGGAATCTTGTCTGTAATTTGATTTATTTTACAAAAGAGGAAATGCAGGCCCAAGAAGGCCCAGAGAGTTGCCTAAGGTCATGAAGCTGGTAGAGCTGAGAATAGCTAGAGTTAGGGTTTGCTGACCTAGGATCTTCTCTTAAACAGTGCCACCTTTGGATATTGGCAGCAGGAGCAGCAGAAGAGAGAGTGATTGACTGCAGTCCCCCCGCTGCTGTGTGAGGCAGGAGCACAGTGGGGCGGTCCTCTCCTGCCAGGGAAAGGGGGATGGTGTCAGACAGATGGGTGAGAGGAAGGAGGTATCCATCAGAAGAGAGTGGGATGCCCATGGGGAGTGGGACAGGGAAGATGCAAGGCTACTGGGGACTCCTGCTGAATAGGAAGAGTAAACGAAACTTCAGGGAAGAAAGTAGGGGTTGGATCCTTCACATGAATCAGAGGGAATGGGCAGCTATCCCTTCTATCCCCACAGTACTCGGCCCTTATCCCTGTCTACCCCTGGCCCTATGTGCAGAATTCCCTGTTGAGTTCCATGTTTTCATACCTGCATCTTGAGGGCCATGTTTTGTTCACCACTGTTTCCCAAGCACCTAACCCAGGGCCTGGCCTTCAGTAGGTACTTAATACATATTTGTTGAGTGCATGAGTGCCTAAATAAATCATTAGAAGTAGGCAGTCAAAATCCAGGACTGTACAGCCTAATTAAGAAAATCTGATTACTGTATACATAGCAAATATCTTAATGGGAAAATGTGGTAATTAGACCTGGGATAACCAAGACTTGGGTTTTGGATGTGCATGGTGAGGGAAGTCAAGGACTCAAGGGCAAGGCCTAGGTTTGTGCACTGGAGAAGGAGGGGAATAGTGGGAGGAATAATCAGATTTCCTAGGAAAACCCAAGGGTTCTGTTTTGGATGTTAAGTTTGAGATGAATATTAGCTAATTCAGGGAAGATTCTAAGTAACAGTTGGATACAGCTGGTCTCCCTGGACCCAGAGAAGCTGCGGGAGGTGCTAGGGGTGGGCTGAATCCCTCCCCACCGCCGAAGCTGAGAGAATGCTGCGGAGGCTACCAAGGCGTAGAAGCAGAGTGGCTTCATCCTGGAGTCCCTGTGGAGGGCGGGTGGCTTCCCACGAGGACTCACAGCAATCACAGTTCGCTGCTGCTCGAGGGAATTCAACAGCCTGCCAGGGCCCAGAAGGTAAATGTGGGGCATCTGAGGAAAATAAAACACACCTATGGGGACCTTCAGCAGGACAGAGGAGAGCAGCTGGAACACAAGAGTAGGTGGCTCTACTCGAGGACACAGAGAACAAACTAACTGTAGTGATTATGAAACTAGAGCACGAGAGAGGTTAAACCACAGCACAGTGAAGACTTTCTGGAAGACAAAGTCCTGCTTTCCAAGTTGGAAAATTCAGTAGCTATGTTAAAGGAGATGGCAAGTACAGAGAAGTAAATCAGTGCCTTAGAAGATCACGTGGAAGACAAATCTCAAATATGCAGCAAAAATGAAGAGTTGGAAATTAGGAGGAGAAATAAGATACTTGGAGGACAGATTCTGGAGGTTTCATATGTAAATAGTAGGCATTCCAGAACGAGAAAAGTGAACAGATGGAGAAGCAATAAATAAAGAAATAATACAGGAAAATCTTTTTGGGTTTGCCAAATACTTGTGTCTGAAGGTTGAGAAAGCTCACTGAGTTCTAGGTGAGACTGACATAAACATACCGCAGAGGCGCAGATTGGAAAATGCACAAAGCATGCCTTCATCCTCTCTGGTCTCCCTGTATCCTGGAGACGAGTGTCTTTATCTAGGTATGTCAAAACTCTTAATACAGGTTGGAGAGGAGCTTGGGGAGAGGTTCCACGGGTCCCATCACTGGGGTGATGGGATGATAGGGGAGAGGAGGGGCTTCAGACCACAAGCTGCCAGGAGTGACTGGATGCAGGTTGATATCCATCCATCCGTCCACAGAAACACACAAAAAGCCAAATCTCAAATGCACGTTGGAGAGGAAGATGTGTTAGGAGCCAGTGTCTCGGTTCAAGCTCAGTCTCGGAGGACTGGGAGCCATGGGCTTATTCCAGACACCTGGGCCTCTTCAGCAGAGGGCAAATTTGCTTCCAGGTGCATGGCTGCCAGTGGTCCTGAGTGGCCCAGTAACACATCACAGCACTGCGGGCAATGGGGCTTAAGAGCTGAGCCAGGATTCCACGTGCCGGCCCATCGCGGTTAATGTATCAGGACAGAGATGCCACAGCATCAGTTTGTGTCTTTCCTAATATCAAGGTACCAGGCAGAGCTCTTTGGAACAAAATACATGGGGATCACAACAAATTTATCAGACAGAGCAGGGCCTTTACCAAAAGCTCTAGTACTGCGGACATCCTGAGAGTGATGTAGCTGCTGACTACCTGGGATCTATGTGTTCCTGCAGCCCAGAATGATTGACGGTTTCAGGAGCAGGAGTGTAATGTTAACTGGGGACAGATAGAGTTGGGTGCTATGGTGAAAGGATCCCTTGGCTGGGCATTCAGAAGTATCACTGTGGTCTCTCCAGCAGGAAGACTTGGGTCGACCCAAGGGTGGCCTTCTGCTGTGCTTTTCACTGAGCTGAGAGCATCAGGGCAGGTCGGGTGAGTAAATGAATACCGACACGCAGTAGTATGCAATCTGGCCACACAACACAGACTTGGAGAGCCTGACAGAACAGAGAGGTCATCTGATCTACCACCCTCCTTCACCTCTTGGACTCACGTATAGGGGTCACAGGCATGTTGGCTAATGTACATATCAGCCCCTACGGTTTAGAAATCACTATCAAGAACATTATCTATTACATCCTTGCATTACTTCCATGAGAGAGTAGGGGTGGGGATTACTGTGCACCCATTTTATAGATGGGATAATTGGGAATTGAGAATCTTTTGCTGATAAAGGAAATAAGAAACTGTAAGGATGAGTGGGCCCCAGTTCTTCACTCCTCTGTGTGTTGGTCCACATCCTTTGACCCTGCGACTGACTGTGCAACTTCCTTTGGACATTGCATGGGTGGAGGTGACCACGAGCCTGTTCTGACATCAGGCCCCAAGGCCTCCTGGGTTTCCACCTTGTCTTCCTCCTCTTTGCTGTGGGAAGAGTTGTTGTGCCCTCAGCCTGGGACCCAGAATAAATACACGTGGAGCAGCCCCCAGCCTCCTGGCAATCCAGGGTCTACAGCTGGAAACTGAGCTGCCTCTGCTTCCCTGCTGATCTGTGAGAACAAACGACTATTGTTTTACACTATTGAGAGTTTCTGAGTTTATTTTTGTTATGCAGAATTTTTATAGCAATAGCTAACTGAGGCTCTTAGAGACAACATGTCACCTCACCCCTTGTGTGCAAAGGAATCACCTGAGGTACCTACTAAAACACTGACTCACTGGGCCCTAGTGGATTCTGATCACTAACTCTGGAGAGGGATCTGGAATCCTATTTTGTGTTGCTCATCTGTGGTTCTTTGAGGTTGTTTGCCTCCCACACTGAAGGGGAAGACCTGTGTTATTTGTCTCACATTCACCAGTGGCTGGTGGGTATGTGGCGCACTTTCAAGAGCAGGACATTTGGCAGTCAGAGTCGAAATATTTCCCCCGTGGCCAGGCTGCAACAGGTGGAGAATGAGTGCGGTGGGGGATTGCGAGTGGGTATAGCCTGAGTATTGAAACTTGGGACCCTCCTCTATGTGCTGTGAAGGGCACAGCTCTAATCTCACAGATTGTTCCGAGAACTTGGTTGATGCTGTTCTCTCAACTGCTTGCAGCTGCCGCTTCCCGGAGTGTGCCACCCCTCCCTGCACACACACATGCCCGCTCGCTCGTGCATACACACACAGGCAAAATGGCACTTTTCTTTCTGCAAAGATCAAATTGGCCTCCTTGTTGCCGGCTCAAAGCAGCTGTTTATTTGTTGTTTTCGTGTTTTCAACTGTTGTGATGAGGTTTGCTTCCTTCTCCTTTAACTGAATTACGTGTCATTTAGCTCTTCAGCGCAAGCCACAGATTGAGCTGGAACCTTCTGTCATGTGGGGCTTCAGATTTCTCCTCCTCCTACAACCCAATTAGATCAGCACAGCCATCAGGCACTGGGGCCCTGAGGCTCCTCACATGGTGTTTCTTTGGCTAGGCCTGTTGTCCTCCCTCCTCCCTGGGAGCTCAGCTTTGCAGGGAGGACCAGGCAGGAAGCTGAGGTTGCCGACAGAAGCATATTCTCTCTCCCAAACTTGTCCTCAGACCCACAGCCTGTGGGTGGCGAGGAATTCAAGAACTTAGATCTGATTTGCCTTAGTTTATAGGTCCAGTGGTGACATTTAGTTGGACCATGTTAGTGTTTAGTTGGGTAAGTGAGAAGGAGAATAGAAACAGGATTGCCAAAGACATGGTGAGGATACATACATGGCTGGAGGCAGCGACATGGACCAAATGTTTTCAGAACCTTTCTTTTACGACTTGGGACCCAAGTTCCATCAACACCAAGTTGGAGGGGCCAGAGAAGCTAGCCATGGGCACATGTTCATTTTCCTGCTGCTGAGCCCTGGACTTCACACCTGCCATTGAGTCCTATTTCTGTCTCTCAGCAGGACTATACCTAGACCATCAGTTGGGTGTGGAGAAATCCATATTGCTTTTATAAGTGATTGGCTTGCTGTGTGACCATTGGCAATCATTAACCCTCTCTGAGCTGGAATCTTTTTAACTCTGAAGTGAGGTGGGTGGGCTGGATGAGCTAGGTCTAAGATTCTTGCTGCCTCTAAATGCCTGTGATTTGCATGCATGGCTGTGTCTAAACTTAGTTACTTCTTAGTTATTCTGCAGTGAACTAGTTTAGCATCACTGTGATAAAGAACCTTGATCCTAAGGTAAATGAGGCATAGTGCTGGGCTTGATAACATTCAAAGGGAACTGGGCAGACTCTGGAACCAACATCCTTAGACCTCAGGTTTATTTGGCAGCTGGTGTGCCTGGGGACTGTGGGGTCAGGAGACTGAGAATTGCAGGGAGGGCATCAGGGCAGGTTTCAGCAGCAGGGAAGCCAGCCAGATGGATTGCCAATGCTGGGGAAAGTTGGGGTAGGCTAAAATCTTGGCAGGTGGGGACTGCTTGGTACAGAGGCACCCAGGAGAAGGTCAGCCTGGCAGGCAGCGGTTGCAGGAAGGCCAGGCAGCTGTGAAACAGGACCTGCCATAGGGACTGAAGTTTCCTAGTCTGTGGAAAGGTCACAGTAAACGTGAGGAAATGAGTGCTGAGCAGCGAACAGAGACGGGGCTCCCATGGAAGGATGAGCATGAGCTGCCACAGGTCCACAGTGTCCATAGTGCATTGGGCCTGCAGGTCCCCCTATCCCCACCATCCCAGCCTCTCATGAGGCGAGAGCATCTTTAGGTGTGGGGACCTCACACTCTCCAAGGCAAACATTTTGATGGCAAGGCCCAGGCACCTTCCCTTTCGTGGGTGTCTGTCGGCCTGGGGTCCTCCCGGGCGAGGCAGGACTGGTCCTCCCTAGCATGCTGGGTCAGGTCTGCAGGGGCATTGGACATTCTCCTCCCCGGCCTCCCCTGCACCCAGCACTTCAACAGGGGCAGGGACGTATCCTGCTAGGAGCCAGAAGCTCACTGCACTCTGCTGAGCCCCACCTAGGTAAATCGCATCTCCTCACAGCAGGATTAACTGATGCAGGAAGATCATATACTTTTCCTTCTTAATGAAAACTCTGTGAAGAAATAAACCCCAAACAGAATTCTGAATAGAGCAGTGCTATTTCTTAGAAGCAGAAGCCAGTGCTTTCTCTTTGTAGCAGGAAAGGAAGGAGGTACATCCAGGCCGCTGTCAGTGGTGCCCCTCCATTCCCTGGGTCTCATGTGGAGCTCAAATGCTCAGGACAGCCTCTCCGAGGGCCTTCAGTGGGTCAAACTCATGTCCAGCCAACTGAGAGGGACCTGAGGGAGATGAGAAAGCAAATTTCTTCTCTCTGTGGAGCCTCTGGGGCAGGGGTAAGGGGCTGCGAAGGAGCCTGTACCCTTGTGGCCCACTGCTGTTGGTGGGGTTGCACGGTTGCTGAGACCCCAACTGGTGGTGAGGACCTGGGGTTCCTCGCAGAATGTTAACCGGCGACGCTTTATCAGTTTTGCTGAGGGTCGCTTTACAGCCTGAATCAGAGCACCAGGAAGTTCACTGTCTGCCTCCGCCCTGCTCCACGGAGATGCCTTTTCCTCTTGGTGGAGCTACAGGTGCTGCATGTAAAAGGCTCTGTTGATTCTCGTGATTGTATTCATTTCAATAACATGCATTCCTTAGACAGGACACCATTTTCCAAACTTTGGTCTAGAAAACATGGTCACCATAAGTAGAACTCAAAATTCAGGAATTTTCTGGCCCAAGCAGGGCCTTGGCCCTCCCAAGGTGAGGTGGGTGCCCCTAGGTTCGCCCCTCCTGCTCCCTCCTGCTCCCTCCTGCTCCCTCCTGCTCCGTTTTCACTCCCAAAGCGAGTACCAGCCACTCTACCTAGGTCCTCAGCACATGGACATCCAGTGGAGCTTGGGTTTGCTGGAATTTGTTTTCAAGGTGAGTGCCTACTATGAGCCAGGCACTGGAGGCCCAAACAAGAGCAAGATTCAGTCCCTGCCCCCCAGGAGCTCACTGTCATGTATGGCAGAGGACTAGAAATGGAGAGATCATGCAATGTGGCAAATTTGCAGAGAGGCTTCTGAGCACCTGGAACTGAGTCTTCAAGGAGCAGCTATACTGGAGGGGGGCCTGGGCACAAGAGTCCTATGCAGGGGGAATGACAGATGCAAGACCCATAGACCCAAGGGGCATGTCATCTACATTTAACTTTTTTTCAGAGAGTCAGGGAGTGCAACTTCCACCTCTGATCCTATTTTCCTAGAAAATAACATTGCAGTGAAAAAAAACCATCCCACAAGAGTCCCCTGGTTCCAGCCCAGAGGCGGCTGCCCAGCTGTGAGAGGCAAAGCCAAACCAGAAAATAGCTCGTCTGCCTGCTGCCCAGTGATGGAGAGCACCCCGGGGGAAGGTTAGCACGGGAGCATCATCATTAGATCAGCAGACAGTGGCTCCGCTCCCAGGCCCAGGCAGCCTGCTGGATCCGCTCTAATGATGGGAATTGGGCAACTAATTACCATGAAGTCACCCCGTATGCAGCCACACGGCAACTGCAGGCTCCGTGGAATCAGTAGACAGGTTCTCCTCTCCTCTGTTCTTTAACAATGAGAGTCTTCACTTGCCTTTTCACGACACTTTGCAGTTGATAAAGAACGTTCATGACCGCCGATTTCTTATTTGCTGTGGGTATTATTTTTCTCATTCACTGGTGAACAAAGGAAGGTTCAAGAGGGGATCAAATTTACATTGTTAGGAGGTGGGGGAGCTGGGATTCGACATTGTTTTTGGACCACATCTCTTTCTGGTTTATCTCTGTGTCTGGCTTGGAAAAAAAGAAAGGAAGAAAATAACATGTATTGACTACCTTCCATGTGTGAGGCACTTTACCTCTGCGAACTCGTTTAATTAATAACACCCATTTTATAAGTTAAGAAACTGAGGCTCAGGGAAGACAAACGATGTGCTCAGTGTTGCACAGCTGGTGAGTGGTGAGTGGAGACTGGGCTTCAGGGCTGTCCGACTGCGCCTTTCCTCTTCCTATGGCATCTCCACCCAGCTCTCCGCCTGTGGGTTGAGATTCTATGGAGCTCTCTTAGGTCTGTGCAATTGAGCCTTGCAGGGGGGTCTGTGATTTTATTTCCTTCATCCAGCACCATACTTGGTGGGTCCTCTGCAACGTCTTGTCTGCTTGGGTACATGGTGGTCTCGGAATTAGAATTCACCTGTGCAGCAGCGAGGACCCTTTTTCTGGACATCCCCGTGGTTCTGCTGCTAGGATTTGTCAGGGCGTGCGGGCTCACCTGAAAGGCCACTGGCCTCCCTGCAGTGTCCATGGCTAGGGCCCTTGTCATCCAGCCTTGGTCCCAAAGACCCGTAGCCAGCGGGAGACCCTTTAGACTCCCCCGTCTTTCTCCAGCTTGTACTTCAGTATTGGGAAAAAGCACCAGGAGGCCGATTCAGTGTCTTAACAAGTGTGTCATCTCCTGCAAGTCTGGGGTATTCGGTTTGACCTTAGAGCCACAGATGGTAATGCAGAACTCAGATCGTATATTATATAATTGGAGTTATACAATTGGGCCAGTAAATGAGGCCTCCCAGAATTTGTTAGTCAGTAAGCAAATGCAGACATGATAGTTTGCAAATTGGCTGGTAAAAACCCAGAGAAAAAAGGAATTTCGGGACCACCTGGTTTAAACTCTTCACTTGGCAAATGCGAAACTGAGGCCCGGAGAGGGGAGGGGGTGCTTCTGCATGTGCCGGTGACACACAGGCAGGCTGAGATTAGGGTTCATGTGTATGGGTGTCCTTCTTTCTTTAGTTGAAAAAATTATGCCATAATGTTGCTACTGTCTACATCTTGCTTCTCATCTTCATTTTGGCCCAATTTACCAAATTAATTCAGATCAAAATGTTCATTCAGATTGTAAATTAGCTGAATAATTGCTGTATGGATCTCATCCTCACAGCTCTGTCAGAGAATCCCACAGCTTCAGAGAGCCCTCAAAGCCAGCATGGGCATACTCTGCCTCCAGGGGTAAAAGCCCTGCTGGGAAGGAAAGGCCGAGTGCTCCCCCATTACCCACACGTCCCACCCAAACACCACCCAGCACATGCAGGGAAAGCCTGAATAACAGCGGGAAAGAGAAAACTGGAGATCGTGAAGATGTCGATTCTTCCAACATTAACTTAGAAGTTTAACTTTTCCTTAAACTGTTTTTTTTTTTTTTTAGGAGAACAAAAAGATTTGAAAAAATAAATGTTAAGTTTATCTAAAAAATATATAGGTGAAAATAGCTAAGAATTATGACAGAGGAGTTGAATGAGGGGGCTTGCTTAAACATATGTCAGAACATATCATAAATCATTACTGACCATGGCAGTGCGGCTGTTCAGAGAGGTGAGAGATCTATTGAGGGTCACCCAAACAACCATCCTTTATACAGGCAGAATGGCAACTCAGTGGGAGGGAGGGGCCCCTGAATATGTACCACAGGGAAAAATGGCTTTTTCTTTGCGAATAGAAAATGTTAGGACCCTGATTCATACCACAAAGCAAAAGGGACTAGGGGAGAAAAAACATATTAAAATTAGAGGTGAGAATTTAAGTCAATGCTTGCCTCTAGGTGTAAAGGACATTCCAGGCACGAATATGATGGAATTAGTGATGGTGAGCATATTTTTAGCATATTTTTTTCATATGCTTGTTGGCTGTGTGTATGGCTTCTTTTGAGAAGTGTCTGTTCAGGTCCTTTGCCCATTTTTTAATGGGGTTGCTTGTTTTTTGCTTGTTAATTTGTTTAAGTTCCTTATGGCTTATGGATATTTATTTACAACAGATTTGGCTATATATTTTTTAAAAACATCAGTACATCAAAAGGATCCTACAATGAAAAGGCAAAGGTTACAACTATCAAAGAAAAATAATAAATTATGAGAAGGGTTCTTACTTATTATATTCATAAGAAAAACATTAAGGGCCTGCTATAGTTTGGGTGTTTGACTGCTCCAAATCTCATGGTGAAATTTAATCTGTACTGTGGTGGTCTTGGGAGGTGGGGCCCAGTGAAAGGTGTTTGAGTCAGGAGGGCAGATTCCTCATAAATAGATTATAGCTCTCCCTGGGTCAAGTGAGTCATCCCTCTGTTCGTTCCTAGCAGAGCTGGTTGTTAAGAAGAGCCTGGTATCTTTCCTGTCTCTTTTGCCTCCTCTCTCTCCATGTGATCCCTGCACTCCAGTTCCCCTTCACCTCTGCCATGAGTGGAAGCAGCCTGAGGCCGTCTCCAGATGCCCGATCTTCCAGCCAGCAGAATCCTAAGCCAAATAAACCTATTGTATTTTCAAATTACCCAGTCTCAGGTATTCCTTTATAGCAACAAAAATGGACTAGAACAGACCTCAGTAGGAAAATGGACAGAAGATTATATACATACAATTTGAAATGCCAAGGACTAAGAAACATAGTAAAAATGTAAATTCTTTCCAGAAACAAATGTGTTAAAAATGAGAAACTATTTTTATGTACAATATTAGCAAAGATTTAAAAGACGTACTTTTAATTGGTTTCAAGTGTTGAGGATTACTAGTAGTCTTCTCAAATGGCAATTGCTGATGGAAGAATAAATCACTGCCTTTAACTGAAACATTATGAACACACATGTTGAAGCTTTTATACATGTTCAATTTGATTAAATAATTCTCCTTTCTTTTTGAGATTCATCCACAATAATGTTTACCACAGTGTTATTTATAATGGCCATATGTTGAAAACAATCCAAATGTTCATGCCTTCTTTAAATAATTTATTCAATAAATACCAAGATCTGTTATGTTCTAAACACTGCATTAGACGTTGGGGACACATTGGTGAATAAAATGTATGTAGTTCCTGCTCTTCGTGGAATTCATCGTTTAGTGGGAAATACAAGCAGCAAATGAATTAACAAACAAGAATTGTCCAAAAATTATGGTTGAACAATGGTATTATTGTTCAGTATGTTCTGTCATGTTATATCCTTCTAATAAAATACTATGGGACCATTAAAAGTGATGTCCATAAAGAATGACATCTGTCCATCCATCTATCCCTTCATCCGTCCAACAAATGTTTATTGAATACTTAATACACAGCAAGAACTAGGGCAGGCACAGAGGATGCAATTGTCACCACAAACACAGCCCTCACATAAGCAGGAAACCATGATCCTGTTGCTAAGGACTGTGATGGAAGTGACAGATTTAATCCAAGAATAAACTCCTAACTCTGTGGTCACAGTCCCAGGTGTCCTAAACTTTGGCTCTCGTTGACCTTGTCCTCTTCTGGAATATGCTCCCCTTTCCACAGGTTACTCCTTATGACCTCCCCTTCTTCGTGTAGTCTTTCCTGATCACCCCAATTCAAACAGGCGTTCTTCTCCAAATTTTCTGGCACTTACCAAGTGAAACACTCATTTGACATTTATCACATTTTGTCCTTTATGGCCAGTTATTTGTTACTGTGTTTGCATTGCCCTTGCCAATGTGATGATAATACTGTCCTCTTTCCATAGAACACTCTCTTCTCCCCTTTCCAGCTGTCCAACTCCTACTGAACACTCCCAGGCGCAGCTCAGTAGTCACGCCCTTCCCTGGGCACCCACAATGGCTTTTTGTGCATCATAATTTGAGTCAATTAATCAGAATGTATTCCCTATAAGGCTAGAAAATCTATCTGCCTTGTCTTAGCATCTCTGGAGATGTCTAGCTCAGTGTTGGGGTCAAATAGGTGAGGCCATCAAATATGGAGTCAATGAGTGAATAAGGAATGAATTGAGGGCATTTTGAGGATGTCTTTAACGTGTTATAGATTACAGGTTGGCCATGTTATGCTTTCTTTTCATATTGCATACAGAGTACTATGCACATAGCAGGTGCCTAATAAATATAAATTGCTTTATTAATTGTGATATATGTAATGATAACTTTGTTATTAACATTATTGTTCAATACTGCCATCCCTGCAAGTAATCTGTCACAAAGAAGCAGGGGCTTGGTCCATTTCCCTCTCACCCTTAGAGAGGAGAACTTCCTTCTGGGGCCATGTCTGTCCAGAGAAGACCCTTGTCTGCATCTGGGGGCAGGGCCCCTTACTTTTGTGCAGACTCGGTCCCCAGGCGGGCGCCTTCATGACACGCCTCACAGGAGGCATGACTCCCACCCAGGGCGTCACTCCGTGTGGCAGCCGCAGGTGGCAGGGGCAGACGCCTGAGTCTTCCTACAGTCTGTGCACCTGGATGGCACGTGTACCTGTGGCCCGTAGAGACATATTGGAGCAGCAGTCAAATACCTGAATAGTCCTAGAGGGTGGAGAGCCCATTACTAATGGAGAATGCCTATTTTCCCATCCGACTTACCTGCTAAGACAGGGGTCTGAGCTCAGGACCTAGTATCAACCTAGGTGGTTTCTGCCGACTCTTTATCAGGAAGCAACGGCTCCTACTTCCCTCCTCCTGCAGAGTGGCGTGGTCTGCACCCCACAGTACCTCCTCCAAGCATCTCAGCAAGGAGAGAAAAAAGGCACAACAAAACAAAACCCAAATATCCAGTTTAGCAGAGCCGCGCTGTCCAACTGGCTGTATATATCCTGACTATTTCGGTCCCTTGTCTTTTCCCCCTGAGTAAAGCTGTTCTTTTGATCCCAGCAACTCTGAGAGCAGCACGGCACTGAGATAACTTTTTATAAAAGTTGCTGGGGCATCATAGCCACAGAGAGGTCCAGCCTCTAAGACAGCGATCCTGCTGAGAGAACATCTCCCAGGCTTTCTCTTCCATCCTTGGTGCATGGGGCTTGGCTCTTGTGCCCGGTCAGAGGCAGTGTGTGAGGTGGGTACAGGTGCCCAGGGTTCCCAGGGTGGTCCCTGGGTGGGACCTGGCTGGTAGTCTCAGCCCTTTCTGCTCCTGGGAAGGGTTTGGGTCATGCCATTGTAATGTACAAAAAATCCTGTTGGTTGGGGGCGGGGGGCAGGCACCGTGGTTCACACCTGTAATCCCAGCACTTTGGGAGGCCGAGGTGGGTGTATCACCTGAGGTCAGGAGTTTGAAACCAGCCTGGCCAACATGGCAAAGCCCCATCTCTACTAAAAATACAAAAATTAGCCGGGCACGGTGGTGGGTGCCTGTAATCCCAGCTACTTGGGAGGCTGAGGCAGGAGAATCACTTGAACCCAGGAGGTGGAGGTTGCAGTGAGCCAAGATCGCACCATTGCACTCCAGCCCAGGTGACAGAGCGAGACTCTGTCTCAAAAACAACAACAATATCAACAACAACAACAACAAACAAAACAAAAAAACCCTGGGGATATATCTGGGGGCCACCAGAAAGGGGCTCAGGGTAAAGGGATGAGGAGATGGAGTGGGAGATTGCAGTGCCTGGGTGATGGGAGAGAGCAGGGGAGGGCGGGTCGGGGGAACCACTGCTGATTTCATAGGGAAGCAGCTGGGATGGGGCAGAGGAGCGAGAACTAGGATGTCCCATATACAATACAATTGCATATTGGACATACAACCCAGACAATTCCTTCTTCTATCAAATCCACCATCCTGGAGAGTAAAGCTGAAAAGCTGATGACATAAAGTCTGTCTGGGATCAGGCATGATTCTGCGTGCCCAAATGGAGCACAGATCCCTTCCTTCCCAGGGTTCCAGGCTGGCTCCTCAGCCAGGCTCATGGTGTAGGGAGCTGGTCTTTCTTGGCCCTCACTGGGACCTGGCTGTCCATGAGTGGGTGGAATTCTGAAGCCTACCTCTTCTGGATCCCTTTGGCTACATCCTTTATTCATGGGCCATGCCCTTCCTTCAAAGGCTTCAACCTCACACAGATCTGGGCTAGAACACGGGCTTGCCCCATATGTCTTGACAGCTCACCGAACCTTTCTGAGCTTTTATTCTCTTACCTATTTAATGAGAGTGGTGTGTGAGGGTCCACCAGGTAATCTGAGTGATGCCCCTCGCTGCCTCTGTCCCCTGGGGGTCATTCTGCCCAAAGGGGTGCATAGCGTCAGGACCACCAACTCCTCCCAGAGCACTGAGGTCCCTGCTGCCCAGTTAGTGGGTCCCAGGGAAGCCACGTGGCATTTGGAGTGGCATTCCAATCTTGCACTTTCAGGGCCCCCTCTGTGGTTCTGAGAGGAGGAAACAGCTCTAACCTTGGTGATCCCGACTGTGCTGGGCCCTGGGTTGTGAGGCAAATGGAGGGCAGAGGCCCTGGGGGAGGACACGTCCCTCACCACAGTCACTCCCCAGTGCAGCAGTCAGGGGATTTCCCAGGGTGCACTGGGCCAAGGGGCCAGACTCTGAAGTTCATGGGGTTAAGGTCTCCCCGCCAGCCAGGTGACGGCAGCCTCCTCGCCTTGCCCAGACAAGAAAGCCTCGATCTAATCTCACTCTGAACTTTTCCCAAGGCTTTTGCTACGCTTTGCTGTAGCTCCAAAGCCGCATTAGTGAGCACCACGCTCCTTTATAAATGGTCTGTGACCCCAGAGGTCTGCTCGCTGAGGGAGCTGTCTATTTCGGGCATTGTGGGTGGAGGGGGCATCTCAGAGGCTTCTGGAAAATTCCTGATGGGATTGTGTCTGTGTTCTGTCTCAAGCCTCCAATCAACAGATCAGACAGCTTGTACTCACAGGCCAAGGACACGTGGAAAGAGGCTCAATTTTCTAGATGGGTGGCAACAGCCATGATCTTCTGTCCTCTGGGTCCCCACAAGCCTGGATGAACTCAAGATCTGACTCAGTGGCACAGTGAGGAGACCTTTGAGGCCTCAGTGACCATCCTTGGACTTCACCTCTCACGGCTTTCAGGCAGAGAGGCCCTCCCATGCCCACAACAGGCTGAGCCCAGCCTTCCTCGGGGTTTGCTTCCAGGCCTGACTTTTACTCCCCTTTCTAAGTGGTAAGTAGCTTGGTGATGGTGGCTGAGAAAGAAACAGAGAAAAAACATACCTTACAGGCAGAACTGTCATAGTTCTCAAAAGACCAAAGTCACAAGGGCCTGTGGGTGCCTGCACGGCTGCCCAGAGGGAGGGTGACGCCAGCCACAGGCCCATTGCCTTTGTAGGCCAGGGTCCTGCAGTGCTGGCCCGCAACGCTTGATGGGAGGGGGCGGCTCTGTCTACGTGTGAAGAGCCCAGGGTGGCTGTAGCTTGCAGCGGATGGCATTCTCAGTTTGCCCGTTACTCCCCAGACAAATCTCCCTCTGGCCCCTTTTCCTTTCTGTCTTCAGTGGGGGTCGGGAGGCGGCAGCCCCAAAGACCTCTCCTTACCACCTTGTCTTTCCCATGGAGGTTCCCATGCAACACTTGTCCCTGTCCCTGAAATTTCAGACTTCTTTCCACAGCGCAAAGCCTCGGGCCTTGAGAAACTGCAGTGAGCAAGGGGAACCTCACCCCCAAGCTAAGGCAAGAATGCTGGCTCTTCCATCGCTCCTAAGTTCCAGGCTGACCTCTTCCTCCAACTCAACATATTCAAAATGAAACCCAGCGTCTTTAGCTCACCCTCCTTCCCCGCTGCCCCTGCCAGGGCCATGGCCACACTGACCCACACCCCCCGGTCACACCTCCAGGCCTGGCAGTAATATTGCCTGGACTCCTTGAGAACTGCAACCAGATTAATCGTCCCAGAGCTCCGCTTTGATAATATCACTTTTATAGACACATGAAAGGAAGCATTTAGGCAGTCAGTCATGCTAAATCTTAACCACCTTTACAGATTTTTTAGTGCAGCCCATCAAAATTGTCACCAGTCCTGAAGGTCCCACATTTATGGTGTCCATGATAACACCTCCCATGCCAGAGGCAGCAGCACTTGGAGGTGGTGCAGAGCTGGCACTGCAGGAGCTGTCCTCGCCAGGCCTGATCTCACAGCCAGGGCTGCTTCTCCTGGTTCCGCACAAAGCCCATGGTGACCTCCTGCACCTCCCACTCCAGAGGCATAACTGAGCAGTCTGTCTGGGCACCATCAGCACTCCTCTGCGAGGTGACAGATTACAGCTCTAAAGATGTTGGGCCGTTAGGCATTACCTTTCCAGTCGCTGGGTGCAAGGGGGCCTGGGAGTCCTTGGCAGGGGCTGGCATGGGCAGGCTGGTCGGGCTTCAGCAGCAGCTGTGGGCCAAACAGCATGGGAACAGTTGTACCAAGGCAGAGATTGGACTAGAGGGGAACAGGAACAGGACCAACAGTTTTGATTCGCGGGCGTTGCGTTCCAGGTGGTTGTTTTCTGTGAAAGCCCCATTGATGTCACAGTGACGTATAGTAATAATTAAAAAGACAGCACTTGTAAAGACATAGAGACAGTGATGAATAATCACAATTTGATGAGCTTTGTGGAGCTGGACTCCCTGAGTTCAAAACCTAGCTTCAACACTTACTGGCTGTGGGACCGCCCGACCTCATCTCCATTTCCCCGGGAAGCCTTCCCTGCCTGCCTTAGTGTGCTGTCAGCTTGGTGTCTTCTGGTCTCCCAGGACTGACCTGTTGGGTCGTGTACTTGGTGTTTTGTGTATGGCTTCTGTGGTTGCGTATACACTCACGTGCATAAGACGTGTTTTCCCAACTAGTTTGTCATCTCTGAGCGCACAGACTTGATTTAAATTTCTTCTTGACCCTGCAGTGCTCCCGGGAATGCTGTCTACTTGTTGCGATTTTACTCCCGTGGCCTGTGCTAGCTGCCTGCTTGGCCGTTGGGACTGAAGGGATGCTCATCCACTTGGCACACTGACTGCAAGCCTGGCACCGGCCTTGCCTTTGTTCTCCCATGAGTCCTCTTGAAGGCAACCCACTTGTGGTAGGAGGCGTAGAGTCCAGCAGGGCTCTTGCCCCTTTTGCCCTCCTGAATCATGGAGGAAGAGCTCGGTTCCTCGTCCATACAGTGGGAAAAACAAATGAGCAGTTACCTTGGGCAGAGTCCACAGTCCAGCCTGCTTGGCTGCCCGGGGGGAGGTGCCGACTGCAGAAGGCGTGGGCCCTTCCAGGTGTGGACTCGGCCCCTGGGCAGTGCGACCTGTGGCCTCCTTACCAATGAAGAGGAGTGGAAAAGATGCTCTCTCTGCTGCTCACGGCAGCCTCAGCCCACACAGGCTGCTGGCATTTCTGTGCTATTAAATAATTAACTTGGTACTACATGGAGTGAAACGCGCATTGGTCTGGTAAAAGGCCTCAATTAATTGCTTTCATGTTAGCTGTGTACTGTGTCTCCAGGAGGAGATAAGAGGTGGGAATGTGGGTTTTGAAGCCAAGCTGAGAGACACCCTCACAAAAGGTGACAAGTACCCCTCTTCCCATGTAGCTGGGTCTGTTCACTGACGCAGTGCAGAGGTGGCAGCCGTTGCCAGCTTTGGCTCTGGTTGTCTTTTGGGGAGTAGGGAGGGGGATGTGGGACCCAACTCCCTGTTGATGGATGGTGTATGACTGGCTGCCTCGAATGGGCCGACCCAGGCTGTGACAGGTGGTGGCAACATTGGGCTGCTTTTCTGCCACTGCTCTTGGAAAATGCTCTGAGTCATCACATGCCTGCCTTCTGCGCCTTCTGGAGGTGGCCTTTGCTGACTGCATGTGGCTGTCAAGGCTGGGGACATTCAGGGCGCCTGCAATGCCACCTAACACACACAGTGATCGGGAGGCGTGTCTCATGGTAGCTTGCACTGTGTGGATTGGTGCCCACCCCACCATGCTGCCCTCATGTGGTGTAGTGTCCACCTCCCCACAGGATATCCCGTCCTCAAGGGCAGAGACTGCTTGATTCTTGTGTTTCCTGCCCCAGCTCAGGGTCCAGGGCCCCTGCCGCTCGCCAGGACTGTGCCAAGTTCCTACAGGTGGGGGTGCAGCGGCCCTGAGAGTAAGCACTTAACAATGACTTCAAATAAATGATGGACGTTCTCAGATGTGCCTGAGTGCCCCTTTGGTTTTAGGGACCATTGTGGGCAGTGGAGTTACAGTTAGACCAAGACAGACCAAAGCTCCCTCATAGAGCTTAGATTTTGGTGAGAGGAGATGTGCAGTAAACAAATACAAAAGGAAGAGATACAGGATCCCAGGTGGTGATCAGGAAAGGACAATAGAACCAGAGGGCAGGAAATGCCAGGGCATGGGGGATGGGAAGGAGCTGCCGTTTCTTTTTAATATTTAATTTTTGTGGGTACATAGTAGGTATAGATATTTACGGGGTGTGTGGGGTATTTTGATACTGGCATACAATGGGTAATAATCACATCAGGGTGAGGGGGGGTGTCCATCCCCCCCAAGCATCTATCATGTATGGACTGATAGATGGGTGGATCTATCTATCCATCCATCCATCCACTCATCCATCCATCCATCCACTCATCCATCCATCCATCCATCCATCCATCCATCCATCCACTCATCCATCCGTCCATCCGTCCATCTGTCCATCCATCCATCCACCCATCCGTCCATCCGTCCATCCATCCATCCGCCCATCCGTCCATCCGTCCATCCATCCATCCATCCATCCATCCATCCATCCATCCACCCACCCACCCATCCATCCATCCATCCATCCATCCATCCATCCATCCACCCATCCATCCATCCATCCACCCATCCACCCATCCATCCATCCGTCCATCCGTCCATCCGTCCATCCATCCACTCATCCATCCATCCAACCATCCATCCATCCATCCATCCACTCATCCATGCATCCATCCATCCATCCATCCATCCATCCACTCATCCATCCATCCATCCACTCATCCATCCATCCATCCATCCATCCATCCATCCATCCACTCATCCATCCATCCATCCACTCATCCGTCCATCCACCCATCCATCCATCCGTCCATCCATCCATCCATCCATCCTTCCTTCCAATATTTACTGAGCCCCCACTACATGCCAGGATGTGTTCTTAACACCAGGGACACAGCCTTGAACAATGCAGTTATAGTTTCTGTTCTCAAGGGGATAGCATTCTAGTGATTTGATCCAGTGATATCAACCAGAATTTAAGTTAAATATTTTGGATGTTGATTACCTCAGAAAATGAAAATATGAAGTCTACAAGGAGCCTTAAAGATCATTTAGTAAAACCCCTTTGTTTTACAAGTGAGGACTCTGAGGGCAGAAAAGAAACACTGGGTGGCCAGGGTTCCCCTGGCTGGACAGCGGCCCAAACAAGATGCAGCCCAAGTCTCTGGCCGGAGCATTTCCCATCGTGTGGGGCAGCCCCCACAACCTGTGATTTCCGGGTTTACATTTGGCATCTGTGGATGGGTGCTTTATAAGGCTGATGTGTACACACTGAGGTCACAGTTGGAAAAGGGAATACAGAGACATTTCAGGTGGCTGAAATCTGGGTGAGAGGGAGCACTTCTAAAATAGAAACCCTGTATATGGGAGGGACACGTGGTCATGTCTCAGGGAGGGGTGTCTGCAAAAGCCTGGGAGCATTGTCCCAAGGGGTAAGAGCAGATAGGTACACGCAACTGGCTCTGCAGCGTTCACCAGGCTCCCAGGCAAGGCCAACAAACCCTACATGCCTCTGTCCCCACCCAGGCCTGCTGGCTTACACCGCCCATGACTGTGCCTCAGGGTCATGCCTCTGCAGCCCCCTGCTTTTCCCGCAGTGCGGCTCCCACCCGGGGAGCTGCTCCTCACACGCAGGCTCTCCTGGGAAGGCTGTTGAATCGCAGCTGTCCTGGCTCTGCACATGCACATCATCTTTTATTCATTTCTCTCTGATTCCACAGAGCTTCCCAAGCTTGCTGCTTTTTCATGTCATGGCATGCACAGAAAACAATATTCGAGGGTTGCACTGCAGCAAAGTGGAGGGGACTTGGGGTTCTGTGTGGGACCCGGTCAAAATATTCATTACATTTTTTTACATTAAAAGGTTGGTGAAAAATGTTAAAGCACACAGTTTAAAAAAGATATTAAAAATAAATTTGTGTGAGAGTTCTAGAAATCTATAAAAGTATTTAAATGAGAAAATTGAGGGCTTTCCTGAGCATAACCTTTTTGAAGTACCCGTTTTGATGCTTAAAAAAATGCCTACAGTGCAATTTATGCCTCGGACTTAGTGATAATTTGTTCAATTTCCTGATAGGCACCATTGACTAGAAACTTTGTTCACACAAGTGGGTGAGAAATTTTTGAAACCATTTTTTTAAACAAACATTCAGAGATTTATGACAGTTGAATTTATATTTAAGGTCTCAAACAGTTCTTCCTTTTCTTTGGCCGACAAAAGTAATGTCGAAATTTCTTGTAACGGATTTCTTATTGGACTTTTTTATATTAAGTATTTTGAAATAATGAATGCATGTGCACTGTGAGGGCAGTTAGTGTGCTCCCTGCTGCCAGCTCAGACACCACCAAAGGGCACATCAGACAGACACAAGCAGGCAGATGGACCCAGGGTGTGGGTAGGGAGACTAGGGCCTCTGTATACAGCTGCACCTGCCAGAAGCCCCTGTCAGCCCCACTCACAGGCTGGGCCCTTGGGTGCTGGCACAGACTCCTCCTATGTTGACCAGGGGCCCAGCTGCTGGAGAGGTGTGGTGGCGGCGGAGCACCCCCTTGGCCGCACATATCGTGCTGGTGGTCCCGTTGTGCCGCAGTGTGCTGAGCCACCCTGAGATGCCACAGCGGGGCCGCTAGAGCTGCAGGTGCTGACCAGGTCCTCTGTCCTCAGGTCTGGTGGCTGACAGTACTCTGGCCCTCTGATCTGCCCCAGCTCCCCGCTGGGAAGCTTTCCTTAGCATATCGCTCACAGGGGTCTCCACAGCCTCCCCAGGTTGCTGAACCCTCTAGCACTTCCCCACCTGCTGCATCTTTGAGCAGATGACGTTTTTCTCCTGGTCATCTGCAGAAGTTGAGATTATTCAGTAGAACCTCCATTTCTCTTCTTTTATATCTCAAATTCTCTATTCCTCACTTCCCTCCCCTCTCTTTCTTTCCTTCCATTTTCATTTGCAGGTATTTGCGCACCACCTTGTATTTGGTGGTGGGTGTGGGTGTTGTGGATAAAGAACAGGACAGATCTCTTCTGCTGGGGACTGCCGAGCCTGCTGTGGGAGGCAGCTGGGACTCAGCAGACTCCCCTTATGTAGGTCCTCTCTCTCCAGCACTTCCCACACATCACTCCCCCACATCTCCCCTCTGACACACTCCCCGGGTCCCTGTTGTCTATACAATCTCTGTTGCCCCCTTTTATTACTTTGCTGCTGCTCCCTCTAATTCACTGCCTGGGTTCCTAGTGCTCCCTGTGGTCCTCCTTGCCCCCTCAGCCTTCAACTTTTCACCATCTGGGTCCCGCACTCCCCACAAAACAGAAATTGCCTTCTCAAAGGTCACCAGAGACAGAAACGCCAAGTCTACTGCATGTCATTGGCCCTCCTCTCCCTCAGCCTCTCTGTGAGATCGCACCCTGATGGTGGCCCTTATTCTTGCCACCTTCCTCCCTGTCTTGGGGATATCACCTTCTCCTGGCATCCTCCTGCCTCGCTGGAGTTTCTTTTCATCACTGTGGGAGAGACAGGCCTTGAGAAGCAAAGGTCACTGTGGTAGGAGCGCAGGCCTGGGCTAGGGGAAGGCAGGCACCAAGCCTTCCACATACCAGGATTGCGGGACTTCTGTGAGTCACTGTCAATCTTTGGGTTCCCCTTTGGTTTTCACCTCTCACCATTACTGGTAGTGAGCACCCTCAGGCAGCAGAAATGTGCTTCACGTTTGTTTAAGAAGCAGTAGGGAACAGGTGAGGGGCCAGATCCTGTTTTCCGGGTCAGTCATTTGGATCAAATTCGAATCTCCAGAGGCAGCTCACAGCATGGGCTGTCCCTAGAGTCTCCAAGGTAGAGAAGCCACACTCATCTGTCTGGCAATCCGAGGCCCTCTTGGAAGAGGCCTTGTCTGCACCAGAGCAATCCTCCCTCTCCTGCCTGATAAAGCAGGCTGAGCAGAGCCTCTCTCTTCTGCCCTCTGCTCCCTCTCTGACATCCCCCCTACCCCAATGGCTTGAGCCTTCTCTTCTCTGCATTTGGAATCCTAATCTGTAACACTCTAGTCCTCTAGTCCTTGTCTTATCTAGGTTTTTCCCAAAAAGGGCCCAAGAGAAGGGCTTGGCAACAATCCATTTATTTGGACACTGATACCAAGCAACTGGAGTGAGGGCCTGGGGCAGTGGCCAGGCAAGCAGAGCTTCTCCAAGGGGACATCACTGAGCTAGCCATCCTCAGGGCCTCTGTGTATGTAGGGTGCATCAGAAAGCCCCCTAAAGAATAGAGTAGAGAAGTCCAGAAATGCCCCATGGGCATTAATATGCTCCCTGAGTGATTAGAGAGTGTATTAGTCTGTTTTCATGCTGCTGATAAAGACATACCTGAGACTGGGCAATTTACAAAAGAAAGAGGTTTATTGGACTTACAGTTCCACGTGGCTGGAGAAGCCTCACAATCATGGCAGAAGGTAAAAGGCACTTCTTACATGGCAGCGGCAAGAGAGAGAATGAGAGCCAAGGGTAACGGGTTTCCCCTTATCAAACCACCAGATCTTGCGGGACTTATTCACTACCATGAGAGCAGCATGGGGGAAACCTCCCCTATGACAAACCACCAGATCTCGCGAGACTTACTCACTACCACGAGAGCAGCATGGGGGAAACCTCCCCTATGACAAACCACCAGATCTCGCGAGACTTACTCACTACCACGAGAGCAGCATGGGGGAAACCTCCCCTATGACAAACCACCAGATCTCGTGAGACTTACTCACTACCACCAGAGCAGCATGGGGGAAACCTCCCCCATGGCAAACCACCAGATCTCGCGAGACTTACTCACTACCATGAGCGCAGCATGGGGGAAACCTCCCCTATGACAAACCACCAGATCTCATGAGACTTACTCACTACCACCAGAGCAGCATGGGGGAAACCTCCCCTATGACAAACCACCAGATCTCGTGAGACTTACTCACTACCACGAGAGCAGCATGGGGGAAACCTCCTCTATGATAAACCACCAGATCTGGTGAGACTTACTCACTACCATGAAAGCAGCATGGGGGAAACCTCCCCTGTGATTCAGTCATCTCCCCCTGGGTCCCTCCCACAACACATGGGAATGATGGGAGTACAATTCAAGATGAGATTTGGGTGGGGACACAGAGCCAAACCCTATCAGAGGCTTAGGACTTTGAGCCCCTGTGAAGGGAAGCCGGCCTGGAGACTCATCTTGGTAAAAACATTTTTTTTTCCTTTTTGAGACATAGTTCATTCTTGTTGCCCAGGCTGGAGTGCAGTGACCTGGTCTAGGCTCACTGCAACCTCTGCCTTCCAGGTTCAAGCCATTATCCTGCCTCAGCCTCCTGAGTACCTGGGATTACAGGTGCCTGCCACCATGCCTGGAAATTTTTTTTGTATTTTTAGTAGAGACAAGGTTTCACTATGTTGGCCAGGTTGGGCTTGAACTCCTGACCTCAGGTGATTTGCCCACCTCGGCCTCCTGATTACAGGCGTGAGCCTTGGTGCCTGGCCTCATCTCGGTAAAAACTTGAGCAACACCATTAGATGAGCTCGCAGGCTGCTGAGCTCCCAGGCTGCTGACCATGTGCAGGTGCTGGAGAGGGGCACCCAGAGAGGGTGCAGCAATGTGCGTCCTCCACAACCCCCACACCTTGTGCACCTCTGCATCTGGCTGCTGTTCTGTAGCCTTTGTAATTGTGAACCAATATTCAGTCTGTATAATCAACTGGCAAACCTAAATAAAATGTTTCTCCGAGTCTGTGAGCCGTCCTAGCAAATGATCAGATCCATCGGGGGGTTGTGGGGTCCCTGATTTATAGTGAGTTTGTCAGACACACAGGCCCTAGTCTGACACTTGCAAGTGGCATCTGAAGCAGGGCAACCCCGTGTGACTTAGCCGGAAACCTGTGGGATCTGATGCTATCTCCGGATGACAGTGTCGGGATTGAATTATTGAACACCCAGCTGGTGCCCACTGCAGAATTGCTTGGCATGCAGGGAAAACCGCAAACACATCTGGTCACAGAAGCATTCTATGTTGAGTGTGGGAGAGTTCGTTTTTCCCTTTTCACAAAGTGACTTGCCCAAGAACCATTTCAGTAGCCCAATCTTGTCGCCTACTCTGGAACTCACTGGGTGAGACAGGGCCAGCAGTTGGGAGAGAAAGGGCTGGTGGTGGTGGTGGGTGGGAGGACACCCAGGTACACATTCAGTGAGCTAGGTTCAGAGAGACAAAAGCGGCTGCACTTGCAGAAGGTGAGAAGGCGAGCTGAGCCTTTGACAGGTGTCGGCAGGTAAAACCATGGTATCAACAGCTGTGCTTTGAGCTGCACGAGTGAAGGTGGAGGAGAGGGTGGCATCCCAGCATCGTGCAGTCCACCTGGGTCTCCAGAAGAGGTCCAGATGGGATCAGAGACGATGCTGCCAAACACAGGGCTTGAGAGGGTGTTCGGTAAATATCAAAGAAACATTCTACATAGTCTTCTTAGTGAGGAAGAACTGGAGCTGGCACCACAACCATACAGTGTCTTTATAGTCACTGCATGTCGCCTTGTGGGAGAAACTATGTATTTCCCCTTACAGAATGTGGCCTCAGGCATTCTCCAGAAACCCTTTTGCTATCTCCCTAAAGTCCTGAGTTCAACAGCCCCTCTAGTTATTATGATCCATAGACCCCTGGGCTCCAATCCCTACTGGATAATGAGTCAGGGTAAAAATACTGAGAATTTTTTTTTTTTTTTGAGATGGGGTCTTGCTCTGTTGCCTAAGCTGGAGTGCAGTGGTATGATCTCGGCTCACTGCAACCTCCGCCTCCCGGGTTCAAGCGATTCTCCTGCCTCAGCCTCCCAAGTAGCTGGAATTACAGGCGTGCACCACCATGCCCAGCTAATTTTTGCATTTTTAGTAGAGACAGGGTTTTGCCATGTTGGCCAGGCTGGTCTCGAACTCCTGACCTCGTGATCTGCCCGCCTTGGCCTCCCAAAGTGCTAGGATTACAGGCCTGATCCATCGGACCCAGCCAAATACTCAGAATTTTAAAGTAAAACTGTAATTTGTAAGGACTGCATTTGAAGAAGGGAGAAGTATCCTCTCCAGTCAGACTCTGAGGACCAACACATACCCACTTCTGAACGCATGACGATTACAGGCTTTTGCTCATACAGAAGTTCAGTTTGAGACCCCTGCAGGCGTTCCCTGCAGTCAGCTGTCGTGAGAGGCCTTGTGACACTTGGGCTGGAGAGGAGATGACCTGTGATACTCATCAGGTGAAAGGGAGATACAATATTTGTCTAGTAACATCTTTGAGGCCGATAATGATTTCATAGTGTTTATCCAGGGGAACAAAACATTCATACCCTTGTTGTTAGTTGGGACTTTGACTTTCTTTCACCTGTTTCTTTTTACTATTTTTTTTTTTTGAGACGGAGTTTCGCTCATTGTTACCCAGGCTGGAGTGCAATGGTGTGATCTCGGCTCACCACAACCTCCACCTCCTGGGTTCAAGTGATTCTCCAGCCTTAGCCTCCCAATCGGCTGGGATTACAGGCGTGCACCACCACGCCCAGCTAATTTTGTATTTTTAGTAGAGACCAGGCTGGTCTCAAACTCCCGACCTCAGGAGGTCCGCCTGCCTCAGCCTCCCAGAGTGCTGGGATTAGAGGCGTGCGCCACTGCACCCAGCCTAGAGACTTTGACTTTCTCTCTCTCCTACTGGTGTGAAGCCGTGCCTCATTCAGGGAGGTATGTGTGCCAGTTTCCTCTTCAAAGGATTCCTACACCCAGAAGAGGAGAAGCAGAAGCAGTCTTCAGGTTCTCTGCGTGCGAGCTGACGCAGCTTACTTTGGGCCAGGTGCACTGGATGCGCCCTCGCTCCCTCCGTGGGGCCCTGGCTGGTGTCGGAGCCCTAGCGCAGCCATCTCACAGGTAGAAACGCCCGCGCGGGGCGCTCACTGCCTCGGACTCGGCCCTTCCGCTGCGAGGCCCTGCTGTCTCGGGTTCCCCCATCAGTTTTGGGTAGGATTATCAGAACCCTTCCCAGGAGCGCGCTTGGAGCGCTGTGGACACTATCCTCTCCTAGCACAGGTGGCGCGGTGGCTTGGGCCACTTGCTGGCTTCATTCCCTGGCTGGTGTACACCAGGGCAAGCCGCTTCACCCCTCTGCTCCTTCTCATCGCACCTGCGAGCTGGGCACGATGGCAGCACACCCTCGATATGTTTGCTGTGTGGGTTAAATGTGGTCACGTGTGTGGGGCTTTAGGCCAGTGGCCACCACATGGCAAGACCTCAGTCATCACTTGGTATAAATGTGTCTCCTTAGTGTGGTATAGTCATTTCCTTCCCGAATTTTAGTACCTTTGCAATAAGAACATGCCACCACTCCTCACAGTGGCTTTATCTAGGTGTTGGCCATGAAGAGTGCCCATTGCTGGCACTTGAGTAAACATCAGAGGCTCCAGCCCCAAAACTTGCAGAATGGGTGTCAGTGGCCTAGAAAACCACCCAGAGGACAATACAGGTGGATTTTCTAGGCCCTAGCAATCAGACAGCTGTGGGTGATAGTGAGTTAGGCATGCTTAGTAATATTCCCAAAGCAAGAGTCAAAAGTAGGCTAGCTCTACATAATTGCAAAACCCACTTAAGTGCTCCCAGTGGCTTCTAGTTCTCATATTGTTTCCTATAAAACACGGCACCAGCCAGACTTGTGATGCAGAGACAACATTGAGTGGAAAGATCTGAACATCACCAGCTCTGAATGCAAAAGTGGTACAGCAGACTTTGATTCTGAATGTGAACTTTTAAGAATATCTTACCTTACTTTACAGATATTTTTTCCTTTTACCTATGTAGAAGAGTATATATAAGAAAAAGTTGGCTCACGCCTGTAATACCAGCACTTTGGGAGGCCAAGGCGAGCGGATCACAAGGTCAGGAGATCGAGACCATCCTGGCTAACATGGTGAAACCCCCATCTCTACTAAAAATGCAAAAAATTAGCGAGGCATGGTGGTGGGCACCTATAGTCCCAGCTACTTGGGAGGCTGAGGCAGGAGAATGGCGTGAACCCAGGAGGCGGAGGTTGCAGTGAGCCGAGATCACGCCACTGCACTCCAGCCTGGGCGACAGAGCAAGAGTCCGTCTCAAAAAAAAGAAAAAGAAAGAGCATTACCCAAATAAGCCCAAACAACTCTTTGAATAAATATAAAATAAAAATTGTCATAAGAATGCCTCATGTCCTACTTTAATTGGCAATCTCTTTTAAAATAAGTAGCATGTAAAACAATGCAATACATTTGGGAGTGTCTTACAAAAAGAATTCAGGCTGATATGCTAATGTTTCTTTGGGAGTTTATTGTGTCAGCTTGGCTGGGCTATGGTGCATGCTGTTTGGTCAAACACTGGTCTGGATATTGCAGTTGGATATTGTAGTTGTGATTAACATTTACAATCAGTGGACTGTAAAGAAATAAAACAGATTACCTTCCATAATGTGGGGTGGGGGACCTTATCCAGTCAGTTGAAGGCCTTAGGAACAAAACCTAGGGTTTCTTGAAGAAGGAGGGATTCAACGCTTACCTAAATTTCCAGCCTGCTGGCCTGCCCTATGGATCTCAGACTTACAACCCCCTGTAATTGCTTGAGCCAATTCCTTAAAATAGTTCTGTTTCTTCGGAAACCCCTAATATAATCTTTTTAAATAGGTTGGTTAGAATTGAGCAGTGTGACCCATGTAAAACAAAGTTATATTTAGAGATAACTTGCTTTTCTTTATGCAGACTATCTTTTGCACCAGCTTTCTAGGTGGCTGGTTGCTGCCTACCTAGTGACTCTCACTGTCAACTCAACCTTTTCCCTGTGCTCATGTGACTGGCTTTTGCAGCCCCATGTGCAGGACCTTATATCCACCCCAAGCAATTTCCTTTTCACAAAATTTGATCAATTACTTTGGGCATCCTTCACTACTCAGGGGGACATCCTCTGGCGCCACCTTCCTGTCTGTGGCAACGGTGGTACCTGGAAGGACCCAGGTATGTGCCCCTGCAGGTTCAGGTGAGGTGGTGCCACTGACATCATCACTACCAGGCATGGAGCAGTCACCTCGGGTCCTTGCAGTGCAGCCCAGGGTCTCCGGAGTCAGTGGCTCTGGGCTCGGCCGCACATGGGCAGCGATGAATGAGCAGTATTAGTGGTTCTTCCAGCACAACCCATCATCCCTCAACAATGCATTTCTGGAAATTAATTAGAAGCCACACAGTGGAATAACGAACACCATGTTTAGAATTACAGTCTATCGCTAAACGACAGCTCAGACAGCCCATGGCTGCCCATAACCCTGGATGTCTTGAGTGTCTGCCCCCAGTGCCTGTTGAACCCTCTTTAGTGACTAACCTGCAGAGCGGGTCTGGATGGCTTAATCGCTTCTGAGGCTGGGATGCTACCTGGGCAGGGGCAGGAGCTAAAGGAAGGAGGAAGTGGACTCAGCACCTGGAGAAGGGAAACTGCTGGTGCCTACGGCAGCAAACCAGTGTCTTTCCCTGGTATCCAACGCTCCGACAGGAAGCCTTCTGCCGCGTTCTTGTTTGGGGGCAAACCAGGTTCCCTGTGTTTACTCACACAATGGGACACCCTCAGGGCCTCTCTGTACCCTGAGGGGGCTTCTGGGGAGCCTCCAAGATTAGAACCCAGCTCCACAGCATTGATTTACCCTGGCTCCTACTCACTGTGGGAAATTCAGCTTCCTCATCTATAAGAGGGGCAGAAACCACTGTATATTTCTTTGATTGCTAGAAGGGATAAATAATGTAATCATTTAAAGTCCTTGAATAATTGCATAAAGTATCCTGTCTTACACACAGTAAGTGATCAGTAAATTTGTTCCGTGTGTGTGTGTGTGAGAGAGAGACAGAAAGAGAAAGACACACACACACACACACACACACACACACACACACACACAGAGTTCACTTTTGTGGTCACTCACCTTTTTTTTTTGTTTTTTTTTTTTTTTTTTTTTTGAGATGGAGTCTCACTCTGTCACCCAGGCTGGAGTGCAGTGGTGCGATCTCGGCTCACTGCAAGCTCCGCCTCCCGGGTTCACGCCATTCTCCTGCCTCTGCCTCCCGAGCAGCTGGGACTACAGGCGCCCGCCACCACGCCCGGCTAATTTTTTGTATTTTTAGTAGAGATGGGGTTTCACCATGTTAGCCAGGATGGTCTAGATCTCCTGACCTCATGATCCACCTGCCTCAGCCTCCCAAAGAGCTGGGATTACAGGCGTGAGCCGCCATGCCGGGCCAGTCATTCACTTTTATCTGTAGTTTCCCCACCACAGGCGGGAGCTGCATACTTGGGGGACAGGGCACTTTCCTTTCATGCCTTGGGGGTGGGTGGGACATGTTTCCAGATTCTATTCTAGTGGACAGAGCTCTTCACTGGCCTAATGACAGTGTGTCTCTAAATAAGTTTAAGAATAGGTAAGAGAAAACCAGAGTTTATTTTATTCTAACCACTCAGGCTTGGGAGCAGGGTTGCAGGGAGGGCCGTGGTATACTGATAAATGCTTATAACCTGGCAGGCAAGAAAAGCCTTGGTTTAGAGATGCTGGTTTCAGTGGTGTAAATACCCTCACCATGGCTAACCTTGAGACCTTGGGGTTGGGATGGGCACGATGCTGGTTTCAGTGGAGTAAATACCCTCACCATGGCTGACGCTGAGACCTTGGGGTTGGGATGGGCACGATGCTGGTTTCAGTGGTGTAAATACCCTCACCATGGCTGACGCTGAGACCTTGGGGTTGGGATGGGCACGATGCTGGTTTCAGTGGTGTAAATACCCTCACCATGGCTGACGCTGAGACCTTGGGGTTGGCATGGGCACGATGCTGGTTTCAGTGGTGTAAATACCCTCACCATGGCTGACGCTGAGACCTTGGGGTTGGGATGGGCACGATGCTGGTTTCAGTGGTGTAAATACCCTCACCATGGCTGACGTTGAGACCTTGGGGTTGGCATGGGCACGATGCTGGTTTCAGTGGTGTAAATACCCTCACCATGGCTGATGTTGAGACCTTGGGGTTGGGATGGGCATGATGCTGGTTTCAGTGGTGTAAATACCCTCACCATGGCTGACGTTGAGATCCTGGGGTTGGGATGGGCACCAGCGGCTCTTCTGAGTGGGTCTGAGTCTGCTCCTGACACCCTGGGGAGGGTGGATGCAGGGTAAGTGGGGTCTGGGCTGCTTGGCTGGCTGAGTTTCCCCGTATGAGCTTCCTCCTGCCCCATGCCAGGCTGTCAGGCCACCTGGAAGCTAAGGATGGCTCCTTCTCCAGTTGTTGCCTAAGGCGCCTGCACAGGCTGTCAGGCCACCTGGAAGCTAAGGATGGCTCCTTCTCCAGTTGTTGCCTAAGGCCCCTGCACAGGTCTGCTTGACAGGCCCACGCTGCAGCCCCAGAGTCTCAGAGCCTGCCTGGCTTAGCCTGCACGAGATCCCCTGCCGGATGGCATTTTACCCACCTTTGTAACCGCATTCCCCACCCTCCCACCCTCTTCCAGCCTGCAGCCTGGCATGGTGTAGGCGTTTTGTGAAAGCCTGTTCAGTGCAGACGTTTTCAATCACGAGGCACACGTGGGCACAGGCAAGAAGAATTAAAGGCCCTTTGAAGCTTCCCTTTGCCTGAGTCCTGGAGTGGTCTGAGGGCCTTTGTCTATCAGCATTTGTGGGGTTCTCACTCAGTGGCTGTGCTTGTTCCTCTCCATATCTAACAGCAATGCACAAGTCAGAACCTCTCTGCTCACAGGCAAGCTGAGTGTAGAGTGGTTCTGCCAGACTCACCACACTCCCTGTTTGTGGAGGGAAGGATTCACGGGCCTTTCCCAATTCACCAGACCAGGGCCTGACCCAGAGAAGCCTGCTGAGTGGACGGGGCTCCGTTCCCAGCTCTTGGCTCTGCCAGGCAGGAGGAAGACACACTTGAATGATTCACAGTTGCAATGCCTGGCTACAACTTTATGAATAAATTGGGTGCTTTGCAGAAAGATCACTGTATCTCCGATGCAAATCCCCACAAGACAATAAATATAGATTCCTTTGTCGTAATCACAGCAGCATCTTGATCTGCCTGCGGTGATTAAAGTGTAACCAAACTGCCATTTAATTTCATTCCAGGCCATTTCAAATTGTGTTGTGTTAAGCTATCCTGATGCAGAAATACTCCCTGCAGCTCTGGCCCTGTGTGAGACTCCAAGCTGAAGATCGTGGCTTCTGCTGAGGAATATGCGTAGGTTGTATGTGAACATCAACAACCTCCATCTCCTGTCTTTGGCTCTCTCCACAGAGGCCATTTTTGGTCTATGGTTTGGAAGCCATCTCCATCCTCTTATCTACGGATGAGGAAGCTCAAACCTCAGTTCAGAGAAGCTCAAGCCCTCGCCAGGTCTGCTGAGTGCCTGCTCAAGAACTGCTTTTAGGAAGGTCCCATGGCTTTGCCCCCAGTGGCAAAGGCCATTGAACAGGGCCTATGAACATGGCTCTTTCTGGGACAGCCGAGCTTCTGCAGAGACTGCTTCAGCACCGCAGGTCTTATGCATGCCAGAGGGAGAAAGGCAGAGGCCTCTGGGCAGAAGGGAATTTTAGGCTTGAGCTAGGAGGGATGCAGAAAGGAAAGCAGGGGAGGAGGCTACCAGAGCCGCTGGTGAGGGTGAGCCCATGACCTCTTCCAGCAAATTGGTGGGGCTGGCCTGTGGGTGCTGCTGTAGCTGCAGTGGCAGCCAAGCAGATTAATCTGATTTCCTGGCAGTGATGCATCCAAAGTCACGAGGCCCCAGCTGCACGGCGGCTCTGGCCAGCACTGTGCCGGGGGTGTTGGGAAGGGGGCCCCAGTTAACTTGTGTGTGTCTACAGGTTGACTCAACATAATTGTGAGCTCCCAGGAACATCTTTCCACCCTGTTGGCACTGGGAGGAGATGGAAATGTGACTGTGGTCTAGGCGGCAGGAGAGTGCGATGGGCTGGGAGGTGGGGGTAGGCTGGGGTGCTCCTGGGCTGTTACAAGCTTCTGTTTGTCCTTTCAGAAGAGGTTGCTTTTGATTATGCAAGGTCCTTACATATCTGTGATCCCATTATTTTTAGCCTGGGCCCCAAGGCTTCCAAAATAGGGAGCGAGGAAAGAGGGTGGTTAATAAACAGAGAAGCACATCTTTTGAAGTTGCTATGTGTTTTAGAGGAGAAACTGTCCCTGCTTCTGCTGCTGCTGCTGCTGCTGCTGTGTGTGTGTGTGTGTGTGTGTATGTGTGAGAGACAGCATGCACACAACTAGGTGTGAGCACTCTAATGGAGACAGCAGGGACAAGAGTTTGGTTGCCTGGGTCCAGGATGCTGGGAGGGTTCCATTCTGGAGTTGCCACCTGCAGTCCAGGACTGAAGGGAGGTCTTAGGGGAACTCTGGCCATCTTATTTATGCAGCTGCTGCACCTCCCCTATTCCTAACTGCCTTCTTTCCGGGCTCACCAGCAAGGCATGGAAGCTCACTTACAGCAAGACCAGGCTACACGGGAAGGCTGAGGAATGGCCCTGGACCCAGGACCACCAGGATCCAATGGCAGGGAGGTAGCCACCCAGGCTACGGAGCTGAGGTCAGCATGGCAGGGAGAGCAGGTTCAAGGCTGGCTTCCTACTAGCTGGGCAGTCCTGAGCGACTGTATCTTCTAGCCTCTGCAAAGCACCAGCTCAGGGAAGGGCACATGGAGCTGCTCAGCAAGTGCTGGTTGAGTAGACGGAGATCCAAACTGCGGGTCAGGCAAATAACATGTGGGAACCTCAATGTATGTTCCTTCCTATCTTGGTGAACAGCTCTGCTCTGTACCTGATCACCGAGGGCATCCTTTTACTCCTCTCCCACCACACCCAATAGATTTCCGATACCTACTGATTTGACATCCTGAATGTTCCACAAATCCTTCATGACTCCTATCCCTAGCATTGTCACTCGGGCTCCAGCCACCACCATTCCTTGCCTGTTTGTCACAGCAGCTTCCTAATAGGTATCTGTCATCCTCCCACCCATTCTCTGTGTTGCATTTTTGGTACCTTTAAGTTTGTGAATCTGCTCATGTCATCCATTAGCTCTAGTTCCTTTCATGGCTTCACATTGTCCACAGGATAAAGGCCAAGGCAAACCTCTAGGTCTGTCATGACCTGATATCCAATATCATTTCTCTCTCTCCACCGCCCAGGCCTCCAGCCAGGTTAAACTCCTTGCAGTTCCTGGAAGTGCTGCCCTCTCTTTTGTGCATGGACATTTGTGTCTCTTGTTCCCTCTGCCTGTCATCCCTTGAATCTCTTGCCTTGGCTAAGTCCTCACCTTTCAAGCCTCCCTTAGACATCAGCTTCCCCTGACAACTGCACTGGCGTCCCTTCTGGGTGCTCCTAAAGACTCTGTGCATCTCCCCTCCAGCCCTTCCACATAGCTCGTGATCACCCCACCTGCTCACGGTCTCTTCCATTGGCCTGTGAGCATCCTGAGGGCAAGAACCACCCTGGTTCTATCAGAGACGTTTGAACCACAGCAACTCCATCTTGAGTAGGGCCTTGCTGAGACCTGCTGGGCTGCACTCCCATAGGTTAGGCATTCTAAGTCACAGGATGAGATAGGAGGTCAGCACAAGTTACAGGTCATAAAGGCCTTGCTGGTAAAACAGGTTGCAGTAAAGAGGCTGGCCCAAACCCACCAAAACCAAGAAGGCAATGAGAGCGATCTCTAGTTATCCTCACTGGTACACTCCTACCAGCACCATGACAGCTTACAGATGCCATGGCAACACCAGGAAGTTAGCCTATCTGGTCTAACAAAAGGCGGAACACTCAGTTCCAGGAATTGCCCACCCCTTTCCAGAAAACTCATGAATAATCCACCCCTTGTTTAGCATAGAATCAAGAAATAACCATAAAAACGGGCAAAACTAGCAGTCCTTGGGGCTGCTCTGCCTATGGAGTAACAATTCTTTATTACTTTACTTTTTAAATAAACTTGCTTTCACTTTATTCTTTATTACTTTACTTTTTAAATAAACTTGCTTTCACTTTATGAACTCACCCCAATTTCTTTCTTGCACGAGATCCAAGAACCCTCTCTTGGGGTCTGGATTGGGACCCCTTTTCAGCAACAGTTCTGATACCTCACACAGTGCCTAGGCCAGAGCAGACACTCAAATGCTGCACTGTATTTTCTTGCTTCTAAGGAAATTCCATACTGTAATACATTCCATCTACCTGCATTTTAGGAGGAAACAGAGGTGCCCCATTAAATGTATGCCAAATTTTTTTAAATAGTGAAATTCTGCACATGTGTGTAGGCCAATGCATGTCTTTTTTCAGAAAGGGTTGAGATTAGTGGTTGGATCTTCCTTCTCTGCACTTGGGGTGGGTGCTTCTCCAGAGGCTGCAGCAGCAGTTCTGCAGAGCCTCAGATGGCCACTGTGTTCCTCTGGGCATGCTTGACAGGGACTCCTAGAGCACTCGAGGATTGCCAAAGTAATTTCGAGCGTATTGAAAAATGCCATGATTTCTTCTGTTTTTGCCGCTTGATTAAACTTAGTTTCTCATTTTTACCTATATTGACTTATATTGCTGGAAGTAAAACAGAATCTCAGGAATCAGTGTGATGCGTTTGACAGATGCTGTTCTGCTGCTGAGTGATAGTCCCACGAGGGCTGTGAACTTTCCCCCTTCCAACCCCCCTCTCCTACCACCATGCGGTCTCCAGGCTCAGGAAGGGGTTCTGTGGTCTTTATCAGAAATGGAGGTACTGCAAGGTCTGGTTTTCTAGCCTGATGCTCCATTAACTACCAAGAGTGAAGAAACAGCCTCATCCTGTCGCTTAAGTCCATCTTCTCCCATGGGATTTCTTCCACTTTTGAGGAGCTCAAGCTCTGTGGGCCATGCGAGCTCTCCTCCTTTGTGAGCATACATGTTCCCTCATTTGTCAATATCCACTTAGAAAGGCGAGAGGGGTCTTTGTCTTTAGAAGACAATGCTGGCAGGTGGGAGGAGTGGGGGTTCAGAGGCCCTTCTGTTAGTGCGTGTGGGAAGGGGCAACCTTCTTTGCAGTGTGAGAGGTTTGTATTCTTGTCTGTTACAAATCTTCTCTCCCACCGTGATCATAAATGTAGCCTGTGCATAGCCTTCCCTTCTGTTTCTCTTCTACCCATCTCTAGTTGGTCTATTTTCAAGGTATTCCAGGACATGAAAAGGCCTCAGTGAGTGGTAATGTCTAGGAGTGCAATGCGACCTAAGGGACAGAAAAATCACTTAAGGGATAACCTGCTTGGAAAACAAAATAAAGCTAAACAAAAAACCAAAACCACTGCTTCACTGTGACTCAAACCTTGGCTTTAAATGGCTATCTTTCCTCCTAAGACCTTTCATAAGTGTGCTGTCATACCACCCTTGCATAAGGTCTCTGTCTCTGTGCTGTCACACCACCCTTGCCTAAGGCCTCTGTCTCTGTGCTGTCACACCATTCTTGCCTAAGGCCTCTGTCTCTGTGCTATCACACCATCCTTGCCTAAGGCCTCTGTCTCTGTGCTGTATCACACCATCCTTGCCTAAGGCCTCTGTCTCTGTGCTATCACACCATCCTTGCCTAAGGCCTCTTTCTCTGTGCTATCACACCATCCTTGCCTAAGGACTCTGTCTCTGTGCTGTCACACCATCCTTGCCTAAGGCCTCTGCCTCTGTGCTATCACACCATCCTTGCCTAAGGCCTCTGTCTCTGTGCTGTGACACCATCGTTGCCTAAGGCCTCTGTCTCTGTGCTATCACACCATCCTTGCCTAAGGCCTCTGTCTCTGTGCTGTATCACACCATCCTTGCCTAAGGCCTCTTTCTCTGTGCTATCACACCATCCTTGCCTAAGGACTCTGTCTCTGTGCTGTCACACCATCCTTGCCTAAGGCCTCTGTCTCTGTGCTATCACACCATCCTTGCCTAAGGCCTCTGTCTCTGTGCTGTGACACCATCGTTGCCTAAGGCCTCTGTCTCTGTGCTATCACACCATCCTTGCCTAAGGCCTCTGTGTCTGTGCTGTCACACCACCCTTGTCTAAGGCCTCTGTCTCTGAGCTGTCACACCACCCTTGCCTAAGGCCTCTGTCTCTGAGCTGTCACACCACCCTTGCCTAAGGCCTCTGTCTCTGTGCTGTCACACCACCCTTGCCTAAGGCCTCTGTCTCTGTGCTGTCACACCATCCTTGCCTAAGGCCTCTGTTTCTGTCCTGTCACACCGTCCTTGCTTAAGGCTTCTGTCACTGTGGTGTCACAGTATTTTTGCTGCCGGAAAACACAGATAGGGAGAGAACTTGTAAAGATAACTTCAAT